>NC_000016.10:47895833-48198863 GCF_000001405.40 Homo sapiens
TTGGTGGAGGAAGGGCTTTATCTGGGAATTGATCCCAGGGAGCAGATGTGAGAGGCTGGGGAGAGGGAGACAGGGATGAGAAGAAACCTCTGTAAGGATGCAAAACTGAGGCTACTGCTGTGGGCCCTAGGGCCTGGATCCCACTGCTCTGGGGAAGCCTGCAGAAGGCCTCGAAGGGCAGTCTGCCTGAAGCACAGAGGGAAGAAGCAATGGCTTTCGCAACACCTCCATTGGTTGTAGGTTTCCTGTGGGAACATTAACCTCACATTCAAGGGTGACACATGGGTTCAGAGGTAGTGGAATCCTAGGACATTAGAGAAGACCCTGGGGCAGAAAGAAAAGTCTATGAGTGCTTGAGGTGAGATCCAGCCAGCAAGAGGCAAATAACTGGGGCTGGGCAATAGGAAGAGGGGCACCTGAGCCACCTGCCACATAGTAATTGTCAACTCAAAAGAGGTAAAAGACCAGACTGCAATCCAATATAAGAAGGTGTTTATTGGAGTCTTAAGAACTGCAATTTGGAAGACACAGATATGGCTAGAAGCCAACTTGTGTTCTGAAGAGAGGGAAGGGAGTATGGTTTTTTGTTTTGTTTTGTTTTTTGACAAAGTCTCACTGTGTTGCCCAGTTAGCACTTCTGCCTAACTGTATGTTTGTAACCATTGGCCAGTCTCTCTTCATACCCTCTGCCCCCGACATTTTTCCCAGCCTCTGGTATCTATTATTCTACTTTTCACCTCCACGATATCAACATTTTTAGCTCCCACATGTGAGTTAGAACATGAAAATTTGTCATTCTGTGTCTGGCTTATGTTACTTAATATAATGACCCCCAGTTCTATTCATGTTGCTGCAAATGACATGATTTTCTTCTATTTTATGGATGAATTGTATTTAATTGTGTAGGTATACCAGGTTTTCTTTATTCATTTCTTTGCTGATGGATATTTAAATTGATTCCACAGCTTTACTATTGTGAGTAGTGCTGTAATAAATACTTGAGTGCAGACACTAAAATGGAAGATGGCTGAATAGGAACAGCTCCAGTCTGCAGCTCCCAGCATGATCAATGCAGAAGACGGGTGATTTCTGCATTTCCAACTGAGGTACCTGGTTCATCTCACTGGGACTTGTTGGACAGTGGGTGCAGCCCATGGAGGGCTGGCGGAAGCAGGGTGGGGCGTCGCCTCACTGGGGAAGCACAACAGGTCAGGGAATTCCCTTTCCTAGCCAAGGGAAGCCATGACAGACTGCCTGGAAAAATGGGGCACTCCTGCCCAAATACTGCACTTTTCCCAAGGTCTTAGCAACCAGCAGACAAGGTGATTCTCTCCTGTGCCTGACTCTGCTGGTCCCAAGCCCATGGAGTCCTGCTCACTGCTAGTGCAGCAGTCTGAGATTGATCTGTGAGGCAGCAGCCTGGCTGGGGGAGGGGCGTCCGCCATTGCTGAGGCTTGAGTAGGTAAATAAAGTGTCTGGGAAGCTCGAACTGGGTGCAGCCCACTGCAGCTCCACAAGGCCTACTGCCTCTAGACTCCACCTCTGTGGGCGGGGCATAGCTGAACAAAAGGCAGCAGAAAACTTCTGCAGACTTAAACGTCTCTGTCTGACAGCTCTGAAGAGAGCAGTGGTTCTCCCAGCACAGTGTTTGCACACTGAGAACAGACAGACTGCCTCCTCAAGTGGGTCCCTGACTCCTGTGTAGCCTAACTGGGAGACACCTCCCAGTAGGGGCCAACAGACAACTCATATAGGTGGTCACCCCACTGGGACGAAGCTTCCAGAGGAAGGATCAGGCAGCAATATTTGCTGTTCTGAGATATTTGTTGTTCTGCAGCCTCTGCTGGTGATAACCAGGCAAACAGGGCCTGGAGTGCAACTCCAGCAAACTCCAACAGACCTGCAGCTGAGGGACCTGACTGTTAGAAGGAAAACTAACAAAGAGAAAGGAATAGCATCAACATCAACAAAAAGGTCATCTACACCAAAACACCATTGGTAGGTCACCAACATCAAAGACCAAAGGTAGATAAAAACACAAAGATGAGGAGAAACCAGAGCAGAAAAGCTGAAAATTCTAAAAATAAGAATGCCTCTTATCATCCAAAGGAATGCAGCTCCTTACCAGCAACGGAACAAAGCTGGAAAGAGAATGACTTTGACAAGTTGACAGAAGTAGGCTTCAGAAGGTTGGTAATAACAAACTTCCCCAAGCTAAAGGAGCACGTTCGAACCCACTGCAAGGAAGCTAAAAACCTTGAAAAAAGGTCAGACGAATGGCTAACTAGAATAAACAGTGTAGAGAAGACCTTAAATGATCTGATGCAGCTGAAAACCGTGGCATGAGAACTACGTGATGCATGCACAAGTTTCAATAGCCGATTCAATAAAGTGGAACAAAGGGTATCAGCGATTGAAGATCAAATTAATAAAATAAAGTGAGAAGACAAGGTTGGAGAAAAAAGAGTAAAAAGAAAAGAACAAAGCCTCCAAGAAATATGGGACTATGTGAAAAGACCAAATCTACATTTGATTGGTGTACCTGAAAGTGATGGGGAGAATGGAACCAAGTTGGAAAACACTCTGCAGGATGTTATCCAAGAGAGCTTCCCCAACCTAGCAAGGCAAGTCAACATTCAAATTCAGGAAATACAGAGAACACTACAAAGATACTCCTCGAGAAGAGCAACCCCAAGACATGTAATTGTCAGATTCACTAAGGTTGAAATGAAGGAAAAAGTGTTAAGGGCAGCCAGAGAGAAAGGTTGGGTTACCCACAAAGGAAAGCCCATCTGACTAACAGCGGATCTCTCAGCAGAAATCCTACAAACCAGAAGAGAGTGGGGGCCAATATTCAACATTCTTGAAGGAAAGAATTTTCAACCCAGAATTTCATATCCAGCCAAACTAAGCTTCATAAGTGAAGGAGAAATAAAATCCTTTACAGACAAGTAAATGCTGAGAGATTTTGTCACCACCAGGCCTGCCCTAAAAGAGCCCCTGAAGGAAGCACTAAACATGGAAAGAAACAACTGGTACCAGCCACTGCAAAAACATGCCAAATTGTAAAGACCATCAATGCTAGGAAGAAACTGCATCAATTAACAGGCAAAATAACCAGCAAACATCATAATGACAGAATCAAATTCACACAAAACAGTATTAACCTTAAGTGTAAATGGGCTAAATGCTCCAATTAAAAGACACACTGGCAAATAGGATAAAGAGTCAAGACCCATCAGTGTGCTGTATTCAAGAGACCCATCTCACATGCAGAGACACACATAGGCTCAAAATAAAGGGATGGAGGAAGATCTACCAAGGAAATGGAAAGCAGAGAAAAGCAGGGGTTGCAATCCTAGTCTCTGAAAAAATAGACTTTAAACCAACAAAGATCAAAAGAGACAAAGAAGGCCATTACATAATGGTAAAGGGATCAATTCTACAAGAAGAGGTAACTATCCTAAATATATATGCACCCAATACAGGAGCACCCAGATTCATAAAGCAAGTCCTTAGAGACCTACAAAGAGACTTAGACACCCACACAATAATAATGGGAGACTTTAACACCCCACATCAGTATTAGACAGATCAATGAGACAAAAGGTTAGCAAGGATATCCAGGACCTGAACTCACCTCTGCAACAAGCAGACCTAATAGACATCTACAGAACTATACACCCCAGATCAACAGAATATACACGTTTCTCAGCACCACATCGCACTTATTCTAAAATTGACCACATAATTGGAAGTAAAACACTCCTCAGCAAATGTAAAAGAACAGAAATCACAACAAACTCTCAGTCCACAGTGCAATCAAATTAGAACTCTGTATTAAGAAACTCACTCAAAACCACACAACTACATGGAAACTGAACAACCTGCTTCTGAATAACTACTGGGTACATAACGAAATGAAGGCAGAAATAAAGATGTTCTTTGAAACCAATGAGAACAAAGACACAATATACCAGAATCTCTGGGACACATTTAAAGCAGTGTGTAGAGAGAAATTTGTAGCACTAAATGTCCACAAGAGAAAGCAGGAAAGATCTAAAATCAACACCTTAACATCACAATTAAAAGAACTAGAGAAGCAAGAGCAAACACATTCAAAAGCTAGCAGAAGGCAAAAAATAACTAAGATCAGAGCAGAACAGAAAGAGACAGAGACATAAAAAACCCATCAAAAAAATCCATGAATCCAGGAGCTGGTTTTTTGAAAAGATCAACAAAACTGATAGACCACTAACAATACTAATAAAGGAAAAAGAGAAAAGAATCAAATAGATGCAATAAAAAATGGTAGGGCCAGGCACGGTGGCTCACACCTGTAATCCCAGCACTTTGGGAGGCTGAAGTGGGCGGATCATGAGGTCAGGAGATCGAGACCATCCTGGCTAACATGGTGAAACCCTGTCTCTACTAAAAATACAAAATATTAGCTGTAGTCCCAGCTACTCGGGAGGCTGAGGCAGGAGAATTGCGTGAACCCAGGAGGCGCAGCTTGCAGTGAGCCGAGATCATGCCACTGCACTCCAGCCCGGGCAACAGAGTGAGACTCCATCTCAAAAAAAAAAAATGATAAAGGGGATATAATCACCAATCCCACAGAAATACAAACTACCATCAGAGAATACTATAAACACCTCTATGCAAATAAACTAGAAAATCTAGAAGAAATGGATAAATTCGTGGATATATACACCCTCCCAAGACTAAACCAGGAAGAAGTTGAATCTCTGAATAGACCAATAACAGGCTCTGAAATTGAGGCAATAATTAATAGCCTACCAACCAAAAAAAGTCCAGGACCAGATGGATTCACAGCTGAATTCTACCAGGGGTACAAAGAGGAGCTGGTACCATTCCTTCTGAAACTACTTCAATCAATAGAAAAAGAGAAATCCTCCCTAACTCATTTTATGAGGCCAGCATCATCCTGATACCAAAGCCTGGCAGAGACACAACAAAAGGACAATTTTAGACCAATATCCCTGATGAATATCTATGCAAAAATCCTCAATAAAATACTGGCAAACTGAATCCAGCAGCATATCAAAAAGCTTGTCCACCACGATCAAGTTGGCTTCATCCCTGGGATGGAAGGCTGGTTCAACATACGCAAATCAATAAACGCAATCCATCACATAAACAGAACCAAAGACAAAAACCACATGATTATCTCAACAGATGCAGTAAAGTCCTTTGACAAAATTCAACAGCCCTTCATGCTAAAAACTGTCAATAAAATAGGTATTGATGGAACATATCTCAAAATAATAAGAGCTATTTATGACAAACCCACAGCCAACATAATACTGAGTGGGCAAAAACTGAAAGCATTCCCTTTGAAAACCAGCACAAGACAAGGATGCTCTCTGTCACCACTCCTTTTCAACATAGTGTTGGAAGTTCTGGCCAGGGCAATCAGGTAAGAGAAAGAAATAAAGGGTATTCAGTTAGGAAAAGAGGAAGTCAAATTGTCACTGTTTGCAGATAACATGATTGTATATTTAGAAAACCCTATTGTCTCAGCCCAATATCTCCCTAAGCTGATAAGCAACTTCAGCAAAGTCTCAGGATACAAAATCAATGTGCAAAAATCACAAGCATTCCTATACACCATTAACAGACAAACACAGAGCCAAATCATGAGTGAACTTCCATTCACAATTGCTACAAAGAGAATAAAGTACCTAGGAATCCAACTTACAAGGGATGTGAAGGACCTCTTCAAGGAGAACTACAAACCACTGCTCAATGAAATAAAAGAGGACACAAACAAATGGAAGAACATTCCATGTTCATGGATAGGTAAGAATCAATATCATGAAAATGGCCATACTGCCCAAAGTAATTTATAGTTTCAATGCCATCCTATTCAAGCTACTAGTGACTTTTTTCAAAGAATTGGAAAAAGCTACTTTAAAGTTCATATGGAACCAAAAAAGAGCCTGCATAGCCAAGACAATCCTAAGCAAAAAGAACAAACCATCGCATTACCTGACTTCAAACTATACCAAAAGGCTACAGTAACCAAAACAGCATGGTACTGGTACCAAAACAGATATAAAGTCCAATAGAACAGAACAGAGGCCTCAGAAATAACACCATACATCTAAAACAATCTGATCTTTGACAAACCTGACAAAAAAAAGAAATGGGGTTAGGATTTCCTATTTAATAAATGGTGCTGGGAAAACTGGCTAGCCATAGGAAGAAAGCTGAAACTGGATCCCTTCCCTACACCTTATACAAAAATTAATTCAAGATGGATTAAAGACTTACCTGTTAGACCTAAAACCATAAAAACCCAGAAGAAAACCTAGGCAATACCATTCAGGACATAGGCATGGGCAAGGACTTCATGACTAAAACACCAAGAGCAATGGCAACAAAAGCCAAAATAGATAAATGGAATCTAATTAAACTAAAGAGCTTCTGCACAGCAAAAGAAACTACCGTCAGCATGAACAGGCAACCTACAGAATGGGAGAAAATTTTTGCAATCTACCCATCTGACAAAGGGCTAATATCCAGAATCTACAAAGAACTCAAACAAATTTACAAGAAAAAAAACAACCCCATCAAAAAGTGGACAAAGGATATGAACAGACACTTCTCAAAAGAAGACATCTATGCAGCCAACATACACATGAAAAAATGCTCATCATCACTGGTCATCAGAGAAATGCAAATCAAAACCACAATGATATGCCATCTCATTGTGGCAGTTAGAATGGCAATCATTAAGTCAGGAAACAACAGATGCTGGAGAGGATGCGGAGAAATAGGAACACTTTTACACTGTTGGTGGGACTGTAAACTAGTTCAACCATTGTGGAAGTTGGTGTGGCGATTCCTCAGGGATCTAGAACTAGAAATACCATTTGACCCAGCCATCCCATTACTGGGTATATACCCAAAGAATTACAAATCATGTTACTATAAAGACACATGCATATGTATGTTTATTGCGGCACTATTCACAATAGCAAAGACTTGGAAACAACCCAAATGTCCAATAATGATAGACTGGATTAAGAAAATGTGGCACATATACACCATGGAATACTATGCAGCCATAAAAACAGATGAGTTCATGTTCTTTGTAGGGACATGGATGAAGCTGGAAACCATCATTCTGAGCAAACTATCGCAAGGACAGAAAACCGAACACTGCATGTTCTTACTCATAGGTGGGAACTGAACAATGAGATCACTTAGACACAGGACGGGGAACATCACACACTGGTGCCTGCTAGGGGGTGGGTGTTGGGGGAGGGATGGCATTAGAAGAAATACCTAATGTAAATTATGAGTTGATGGGTGCAGCAAACCAACATGGCACATGTATACCTATGTATCAAACCTGCACGTTGTGCACATGTACCCTAGAACTTAAAGTATAATTAAATCAATAAAAAGTAAAAAGTAAATAAATAAGTGAGTGCAGGTATCCCTTTAATACGCTGAATTCTTTTTCCTTTGGATAGATACACAGTGGTAGGACTGTAGGATTGTATGGTAGTTCTGTTTTTAGCTTTTTTTTTTTTTAGAAATCTCCACACTGTTTCCTGTAGTGGCTATATTGATTTACATTCCCACCAACAGTGGACAAGGGTTTCCCTTTCTCCACGTCCAAACCAGCAAGCAAGGTACATTCTTATTCTAGAAAAAGTGGTCACGGAAAAGACGGCATTGAATAGAGTTAGGGAATAAGCCGAGAGAAGAGCGGTAGTGGTGAGGGGCTTGGGGAGGCGATGAGAGCACTCAGGATGGAGATGCCGACAGAGTGGTGGTGCTGCCGTGGGAGGAAGGCCTGTGTGTTTGAGCAGAAGAAGTCCAGCGTGACTGAGGCTGAGTGAGCAAGGGTGAGAGTTGGGGAACTAAGACCACAGAGGTGGCAGGGGGAGGTTGTGCAGTCCTATGAAGGGAGGTTGGGTCTTCTTCCTTCTGGGAGCGAAAGCTGTTGGCAGGCAGTAATGTGAGATGGTTGAGTTTTTCAATAAGAGTTTTAAAAATCAAGACTGTACTGAATACTTTTCATATTCAGAATTTTCCTTATAACTACCCTATGAGGTTTTAGGGACAGGGAAGGAATGCAGTTTCTCTAAGCTCATACAATTATGCAGACAGGATTTGAACTCAGGGACTCTGGCTCCAGAGCCCTAGATTTTATGTTATTTGCCTTTAGTGCCCTAAAGTTGTTTCTCTAGGACTATACCCTGGATCCCTCCAAGACAGCACAGTCTTCCAGGTCAGAGGTATTCTTTCACTGTCTTTCTACCTCCCACAGCAACCAGCGATGCTCACATTTGCTGTTACCTAAGTGATGCGGCTGGCCTGGGTGGGTGCACAGCCTAGGGACAGAGAGGCATAGGTGCTGGTGGAACACTGCGGTGACATTTTGTCCTGCCTTAATCACTGCACTGGGGGCAGACTTTTATGAAGGGGCATGCCTTTCTGCTTCAGTGTGTCCAGATCATGCCTGCTTAGTGGGGAGGGCAGTCTGCCTGGAAGATTCTGAGGCCCCAGAGCACATCCATGTAATGGCTGAGTGAGAGACATAGGCAGAAGGAGGAAGTAGGAGGGACTGACGTTTTCCAGTTTTTCTATCTATAAAAGTAAATTCAAACGGCTCCCACAATTTGATTTAAGCCAATATTCTGACCTATTTGTGCCCTCTTTCATCCTGTGTCTGAAAAGGAAAGTGTTAAGTATTTTTCTGCATTTGCAAAAAATTTCTTTGACCAGCAAGGACATTGGGTCAGCTTACCCTTTAAAGGTGGCAACTCCAATTTAGAAGATTTAAGTTTGGGAAAATGTGTGCTTACTAAGAGCCCAGGAGCAGAGTCGTAAAGAACTCGCCCATCCGTTCTGCAAGCAGTAGTTTATGTGGGTTCATTCCAGAACCTTTCAAAGGCTGTGAAAAAGGCAGGAGTGACTCTGCCATTCATTGAGAGTGCAGTATCAGCCTCAGGGGCTGACCTGAGCAGCTTGCTCCACCCCTGCTTTGAGGAAGGACAGCACCTGGTCAGAGAGGTGTCTTGCTCAAGGTACAAAACAGGTAACAGGTAAAGCGCTCCAGAAAAGCTCGTTAATCAGGGCTTCAGTGTCCGAGTTGCCATAGCTTGGTGATTTCAGAGGTCAGCCATGGGGAAGCCCACAGTCAATTAGAGTGAAAGGCCAGAGGCCAGGTCAGCTTCCCTGTGATCTGGGTCCTAGCATTGTGGAGGGCAGTGGATGGATTTTACTTGCTGATTTTCGAAACACCAATAGCAGACTTCCTTGACCCATGCTTAACACCAGTCTCACCTGGCGTTATTAGCAATGCAATGCCACAGGAAAGAAATTCTAACTGAAAACATGAATAAACTCCAGGAGGGTTGAAGTAAGGTAGTCAAGAGTAACTTCCTTTGTGGTTTGTTTGGTGTCCAGGAGAAGAATCATGATAATACTCAAATTTACCTGAAAACCTCCATCAGCATGACGGTTCCTCAGTTGAGTGGACTATGGAACTGACCCGAGAGACATTTCGATCTCCTTAATATCTGGTGTAAGCTACTGTGGCTTGAGTTGTATGTGGCTTTCCTAGATCTTAGGGTGCAGAAGTAAGTATGCCGTCATGAGCTGGGGTCAAATCAGGACACCTGAAGTTTTCCCTGAATCGTATCAGAGTCTCAACAGTTGCCATTAGTAACGACAGTCAATATTTTCTGCACACTCATGTGCCAGGCCCTGTGCTGAGTGCTTGTCAGACTTTCTCACATCAATCTTTGCAGTAATTCCATGAAGTAGGTTTGGATCTTTAGCCCTGTTTTACAGGTGAGGAAACAGAGGCACAAATTCACTGGATCAAGTCTGCCCTGGTAGGTGGAGGCAGAGCTGGGATTTGACTGCAAGAGTCAAGATTCCAGAGCACACTCTTTCGAACCCCAGGAAGAATTCCCTCTCCCAGGCAGGCACATACATGACCTAAAGGAATGTTGGCCTGAGGGACAGTGGCATTGAGTCATGCCTGCCTGGGGTCTGGAAAATGACCAGAGTGCCAAGGGGTCTGGAAAATGCCTGGGGTAGAGATTGCAGTAGCTACACTCAGACTCCTCAGGCCAGAGAAGTTGACAACAATGCCACATGCACAATCTGCTTTCCCAGCTGCCGTGGTTATGAACAGAAATGCTACAAATTCCAACCTGTTTGAACGTGGACTGGAGTTTAGGGAGGGCTGGTGACTTGTCTTTGACTCACTGAATCCATCTCAGCACTTTTTTGACAATCATATTTTCTGTCTTTACTGTCTCTGAGGCTTGGGCTTTTCATTTGTTTCTTTTATTTATTTATTTATTTCTAGAGATGGGGGTCTCACTATATTGCCCAGGCTGGCCTTGAACTCCTAGGCTCAAGCGATCTTCCTGCCTCAGCCTCGCACCTGGGATTACAGGTGTGAGCCACCACCACCCTTGGCATTTTTTTTTTTTGAGTGGGTTTTTCTTTTTTCTTTTTTTTTTTTTCTTTTTTGGCAGAGTCTAGCTCTGTTGCCCAGGCTGGAGTGCAGTGGTGCGATTTCGGCTCACTGCAACCACCACCTCCCAGGTTCAAGTGATTTTCCTGCTTCAGCTTCCTGAGTAGCTGGGATTAAAGGCGCTCACCACCATGCCCAGCTAATTTTAGAGTGGGTTTTTCTCGAGACACTTTCTGTACCCATTCATTACATTTGTTTTGGGAAAGGAAATAAACAAACCAGTGGTGGATGGAGGGCAGTGGGAAAGTGAATAATCCGGCTAATAGTGAACTAACCAAGGTCAAGCTGCTTGGAATCAGAGGAAGATGACTCCTGCCTCCTCCTCCCAAAAATTCAAGTCAAGAGTTGATTCTAATCCTCTGCAGAATCTGTCCTTCAAGTCAGACCTGCTTTGGAGGAACAGAAGGGCCTAGATAATTTCTTAACATTTGAGAAAAATTATAATTTGATAAAGACATTTTATATTCCTGGTGGCAGCAGTTCATCTGTAGAAATGATTTGAGGTCTGGGGGAAAATAGCTATGTTGAAAAAAGAGTTGCTGAGACACTGAAAAGGACAACGTGAGCAAAACTTAATTAGGAGTAAAGGCTAATGGAATGGAAAGGGAGGCAGGATAAGTTCATTTTATTAATAATAAACCTGAACTTAGGGAAGGGAGAGCAGATGGAAAGAAAGGAACGCGTAATGCGTTGTTTCATTTCCTCTGAATAAAGTGTGGTGTGCTGAAATGTAACAAGATTATCCATCTGCTTTTGTCTAAATAAATTCAGGGTTTTCACAAACGTAGTGAATTTTCAGCTTGTAATTTGCTGTCTCCGGTGAGCGCGGTGCTGAGAAGACCCGTGATGCTCTCTTTGAAGCCCATTTGCGGCATGCCCCAGGCCTGGGACCTCCATTAAGCACCAGGGCCTCGCCAAGCACCGGTGAGAACGCTGGAGTCGTGGGGCTCTCAGCCTGGGTGGGATGCTCCATCACGGCAGCTGCCCGGGGGCTGCATGGCACAGGGTAGTGGAGAAGGAGAGTGGTCTGGATTTAAGGGATGGGGCTAGAGCTGCAGGATGGCTCTCTTTATTTGCATACTTTGGAGTAAGATGAAAAGCTCTTCGCACCTCATTCACCACTCATTTACTTCTATGCCTTTATTCACAAAGTTTTCTCTACCAGAAATTCCATCTCTCCTCTACTTCTCCCCCCTAAATTCTATAGTTTTTAAAAGTCACTTATTTCCAAGTGCCTTCTTCAATGGCGTTGGAACACACAGATTTATTTCTCATATCCTGGAACTGTTGCTCTGTTACTTGGTGAATTCAACCGTTCAAGCAGTTATTTAATTCCCTGCTTTGCTTCTTCACCTTCTATGTGTGTATGTTTTTAGTTTTGAATATGACTGTAACTTCCTCCTCTTTCCTTCCTTTGACAGATATTTGTTGAGTACCTTCCATTTGCTAAATACTGTGCTTTGAAGGCACTGGGAATTCAATGATGAGCAAAGTAGATATGGTCCTTGACCTCATGGAGCTTGAGGGAAAATGAAGAAGACATTCACCTAAATAAATAGATAATTGCAAAATTTAATACATCAAATTTAAGTCAATATTATTGAGATATAATTACATACAATAAAATTCACACATATGAAGTCTATAGGTCAATGACTTTTGACAAATGCCACCATTTATGTAACCAACATCCTAATTAAGATATAGAACATTTCCATCATTTCCATCTCTCCAAAAGCTTCCTCACATGCCTTCCCAGTCAATCTCCCCGTATCTAAATCCTACTATCTGCTTACCACCTCTGATTATTTTTGCCTACTTTAGAATTTCATATAAATGGAATAATACAGCATACATTGTTTTGTGTATGTTTTCTTTCCCTCAGCCTAATGTCTCTGAGATTCCCCCATGTTGCTGTGTGTAGCATGACCTGTTCCTTTATATGGCTGAGTATGTACATAAGGGTGTACCACAATTTGTTTATCAATTCACCTGTTGATGGACATTTGGGTTGTTTACAGCTTTTGTCAATTTTTAATAAAGCTTCTGTATACATTTGTGTTCAAGTCTTTTTGTGCCATATATTTTTCTTGAAAAAATACTTAGGAGAGGAATGGCCAGGTTATATAGAAAGTACATGTTTAAGTTTATAAGAAACTGTTGGGGTTTCTCAAGGTTTCCAGCATTTTTATACTCCTACCAGCATCACATGAAAATTCCAGTTGCTCTATGTCCTTGCCAACATTTGATGTTTTTATTCTTCGTTAGTCATTCCAATGGAAGTGAAATAATTATTTCATTGTGGCTTAAATTTGCATTTCCCTGATAACTAATGATATTGCATATATTTTCATGTAGTTATTGGCTTTTCAATATTATCTTTCATGGGGTATCTGTTCAATCCAGCAATATATTTTTTTTTGAGATACAGTCTCACTCTGTTGCCCGGGCTGGAGTACAGTGGTGCAATCTTGGCTCACTGCAAGCTCCTGGGACTACAGGCGCCCGCCACTATGCCTGGCTAATTTTTTGTATTTTTAGTAGAGACGGGGTTTCACTGTGTTAGCCAGGATGGTCTCGATCTCCTGACCTCATGATCTGCCTGCCTCAGCCTCCCAAAGTGCTGGGATTACAGGCGTGAGCCACCACGCCCAGCCCAATCCAGCAATATGTTTAAAACATAATGCCTCATAACAAGGTGTGGCTATCCCAGGAATGCAAGGCTGGTTTTATATTCTACAATCAAGCACTGTAATTCACTATGTTAATTAAACCAAGGAAGGCAACTACAAGATTATTTTAATAGATGCATAAAAAGCATTTGATAAAACTCAACATCAATTTATGATAAAAAAACTCTCATCAATCTTGGGGATAACTTATATTTTTAAAATATTGAGTCTTCCAATCTTATTAGCATTATATATCTCTTCATTTTTAGATCTTAGATTTCTTTAAGAAACGTTTTATAGTTTTTATTGTACAAGTCTTGTACATATTTTGTCAAATTTATCCCTAAGTGTTTCACATTTGCTATGCTACTGTTAGTTGTGTTATTAATCTAAATTTTCAATTTCGTTCTTTAAATAACAAAGTTGGAAGACTCAACTATGTGACTTGAATACTTACTATAAAATTGCAATGATTAAGACAATGTGACATTAGTATAAAGACAGTGTCAGTGAAACAGAATAGAGTCTAGGAAAAAACCCTACACATCTATGGTCAATTGAGTTTTGACAAAGAAGTCAAGGAAATTCAATGAGAAAAGTATAGTCTTTTCAACAAATTGTGCTGAAATTTGGGACAACTGGAAAAAACAATATTTTACACTATAACCAAAAATGAATTACAAATGTATCATAGACTTCAACACAAGAGATAAAGTTGTAAAGATTTTTCATGAAAACATAAGAGAAAGCTTCATGACATTGAGGTAGACAAAGGTTTTTTGGAGATGCTCTGCTTTTACATAAAGTAAGTTTTTAAAAACTTGACAAATTGGATTTCATCACAATTAAAAGGCGATTCCAAGAAGGCTGAATAGGAACAGCTCCAGTCTACAGCTCCCAGCGTGAGTGAGGCAGAAGATGGGTGATTTCTGCATTTCCAACTGAGGTACTGGGTTCATCTCACTGGGGCTTGTTGGACAGTGGGTGTAGTGCACCGAGCATGAGATGAAGCAACGCGAGGCATTGCCTCACTCAGGAAGTGCAAGGGGTCAGGGAATTCCCTTTCCCAGCCAAGTGAAGCTGTGACAGATGGCACCTGGAAAATCGGGTCACTCCCACCCAATACTGCACTTTTCCAATGGTCTTAGCAAACAGCACACCAGGAAATTATATCCCACGCCTGGCTCAGAGGGTCCCATGCCCATGGACCCTAGCTTAGTGCTGGCACAGCAGTCTGAGATTGAACTGCAAGGCGGCAGCGAGGCTTGGGGAGGGGCACCCACCATTGCTGAGGCTTGAGTAGGTAAAGCGGCCAGGAAGCTCAAACTGGGTGGAGCCCACCACAGCTCAAGGAGGCCTCCCTGCCTCTGTAGACACCACCTCCAGGGGCAGGGCATAGCCAAACAATAGGCAGCAGAAACCTCTGCAGACTTAAATGTCCCTGTCTGACAGCTTTGAAGAGAGTAGTGGTTCTCCCAGCACACAGTTGGAGACCTGAGAACGGACAGACTGCCTCCTCAAGTGGGTCCCTGACCCCCAAGTAGCCCAACTGGGAGGCACCCCCAAGTAGGGGCGGACTGACACCTCACACGGCCAGGTACCCCTCTGAGATGAAACTTCCAGAGGAACAATCAGGCAGCAACATTTGCTGTTCAGCAATATTGGCTGTTCTGCAGCCTCCACTGCTGATACCCAGGCAAACAGGGTCTGGAGTGGACCTCCAACAAACTCCAACAGACCTGCAGCTGAGGGACCTGACTGTTAGAAGGAAAACTAACAAACAGAAAGGACATCCACACCAAAAACCCATCTGTACATCACCATCATCAAAGACCAAAGGTAGATAAAACCACAAAGATGGGGAAAAAACAGAGCAGAAAAGCTAAAAATTGTAAAAATCAGAGTGCCTCTTCCCCTCCAAAGGAATGCAGCTCCTCACCAGCAACGGAACAAAGCTGGACAGAGAATGACTTTGACGAGTTGAGAGAAGAAGGCTTCAGACAATCAAACTTCTCCGAGCTAAAGGAGGAAGTTTGAACCCATCACAAAGAAGCTAAAAACCTTGAAAAAAGTTTAGACGAATGGCTAACTAGAATAACCAGTGTAGAGAAGTCCTTAAATGACCTGATGGAGCTGAAAACCATGGCATGAGAACTATGTGATGAATGCACAAGCTTAAGCAGCTGATTTGATTAACTGGAAGAAAGGGTATCAGTGATTGAAGATCAAATGAATGAAATGAAGCAAGAAGAGAAATTCAGAGAAAAAAGAGTAAAAAGAAATGAACAAAGCCTCCAAGAAATATGGGACTATGTGAAAAGACCAAATCTACGTCTGATTGGTGTACCTGAAAGTGACAGGGAGAATGGAACCAAGTTGGAAAACACTCTTCAGGATATTATCCAGGAGAACTTCCCCAACCTAGCAGGGCAGGCCAACATTGAAATTCAGGAAATATAGAGAATGCCACAAAGATACTCCTCGAGAAGAGCAACTCCAAGACACATAATTGTCAGATTCACCAAAGTTGAAATGAAGGAAAAAATGTTAAGGGCAGCCAGAGAGAAAGGTCGGGTTACCCACAAAGGGAAGCCCATCAGACTAACAGCAGATCTCTTGGCAGAAACTCTACAAGCCAGAAGAGAGTGGGGGCCAATATTCAACATTCTTAAAGAAAATAATTTTCAACTCAGAATTTCATATCCAGCCAAACTAAGCTTCATAAGTGAAGGAGAAAAAAAATACTTTACAGACAAGCAAATGCTGAGAGATTTTGTCACCACGAGGTCTGCCCTAAAAGAGCTCCTGAAGGAAGCACTAAACATGGAAAGGAACAACTGACACCAGCCACGCAAAAACATGCCAAATTGTAAAGACCATCAATGCTAGGAAGAAACTGCATCAACTAATGAGCAAAATAACCAGCTAACATCATAATGACAGGATCAAAGTCACACATAACAATATTAACCTTAAATGTAAATGGGCTAAATGCTCCAATTAAAAGACACAGACTAGCAAATTGGATAAAGAGTCAAGACCCATCAGTGTGCTGTATTCAGGAGACCCATCTCACATGCAGAGACACACATAGGCTCAAAATAAAGGGATGGAGGAAGATCTACCAAGCAAATGGAAAACAAAAAAAGGCAGGGGTTGCAATCCTAGTCTCTGATAAAACAGGCTTTAAACCAAAAAAGATCAAAAGAGACAAAGCCATTACATAACAGTAAAGGAATCAATGCAACAAGAAGAGCTAACTATCCTACATATATATGCACCCAATACAGGAGCACCCAGATTCATAAAGCAAGTCCTTAGAGACCTACACAGAGACTTAGACTCCCACACAATAATGGGAGACTTTAACACCCCTCTGTCAACATTAGACAGATCAATGAGACAGAAGGTTAACAAGGATATCCAGGAATTTAACTCAGCTTTACACCAAGCAGACTTAATAGACATCTACAGAACTCTCCACTCCAAATCAACAGAATGTACATTCTTCTCAGCACCACATCGCACTTATTCCAAAATTGACCACATAGTTGTAAGTAAAGCACTCCTTAGCAAAAGTAAAAGAAAAGAAATTATAACAAACTGTCTCTCAGACTACAGTGCAATCAAACTAGAACTTAGGATTAAGAAACTCACGCAAAACCACTCAACTACATGGAAACTGAAGAACTTGCTCCTGAATGACTGCTGGGTAAATAATGAAATGAAGGCAGAAATAAAGATGTTTTTTGAAACCAATGAGAACAAAGACACAATACACCAGAATCTCTGGGACACATTTAAAGCAGTGTGTAGAGGGAAATTTATAGCACTAAATGCCCACAAGAGAAAGCAGGAAAGATCTAAAATTGACACCCTAACATCACAATTAAAAGAACTAGGGAAGCAAGAGCAAACACATTCAAAAGCTAGCAGAAGGCAAAAAATAACTAAGATCAGAGCAGAACTGAAGGAGACAGAGACACAAAAAACCCTTCAAAAAATCAATGAATCCAGGAGCTGGTTTTTTGAAAAGATCAACAAAATTGATAGACCACTAGCAAGACTAATAAAGAAGAAAAGAGAGAAGAATCAAATAGACTCAATAAAAAATGATAAAGAGGATATCACCACCCATCCCACAGAAATACAAACTACCATCAGAGAATACTATAAACATCTCTACACAAATAAACTAGAAAATCTAGAAGAAATGGATAAATTCCTGGACACATACACCCTCCCAAGACTAAACCAGGAAGAAGTTGAATCTCTGAATAGACCAATAACAGGCTCTGAAATTGAGGCAATAATTAATTGCTTACCAACCAAAAAAAGTCCAGGACCAGACGGACTCACACCCGAATTCTACCAGAGGTACAAGGAGGAGCTGGTACCATTCCTTCTGAAACTATTCCAATCAATAGAGAAAGAGGGAATCCTCCCTAACTCACTTTATGAGGCCAGCATAATCCTGATACCAAAGCCTGGCAGAGACACAACAAAAAAAGAGAATTTTAGACCAATATCCTTGATGAACATTGATGCAAAAACCCTCAATAAAATACTGGCAAACTGAATCCAGCAGCACATCAAAAAGCTTATCCACCATGATCCAGTGGGCTTCATCCCTGGGATGCAAGGCTGGTTCAACATATGCAAATCAATAAACGTAATCCAGCATATAAACAGAACCAAAGACAAAAACCACCTGATTATCTCAATAGATGCAGAAAAGGCCTTTGACAAAATTCAACAACATTTCATGCTAAAAACTCTCAATAAATTAGGTATTGATGGAACATATCTTGAAATAATAAGAGCTATCTATGACAAACCCACAGCCAATATCATACTGAATGGGCAAAAACTGGAAGGATTCCCTTTGAAAACTGGCAGAAGACAGGGATGCCCTCTCACAGCACTCCTATTCAACATAGTGTTGGAAGTTCTGGCCAGGGCAATCAGGCAGGAGAAAGAAATAAAGGGCATTCAATTAGCAAAAGAGGAAGTCAAATTGTCCCTGTTTGCAGATGACATGACTGTATATCTAGAAAACCCCATCATCTCAGCCCAAAATCTCCTTAAGGCAATAAGCAACTTCAGCAAAGTCTCAGGATACAAAATCAATGTGCAAAAATCACAAGCATTCTTATACACCAATAACAAACAAAGAGCCAAATCAAGAGTGAACTCCCATTCGCAATGGCTTCAAAGAGAATAAAATACCTAGGAATCCAACTTACAAGGGATGTGAAGGACCTCTTCAAGGAGAACTACAAACCACTGCTGAACAAAATGAAAGAGGACACAAACAAATGGAAGAACATGCCACGCTCATGGATAGGAAGAATCAGTATTGTGAAAATGGCTATACTGCCCAAGGTAATTTATAGATTCAATGCCATCCCCATCAAGCTACCAATGAATTTCTTCACAGAATTGGAAAAAACCACTTTAAAGTTCATATGGAACCAAAAAAGAGCCCTCATTGCCAAGTCAATCCTAAGCCAAAAGAACAAAGCTGGAGGCATCACACTACCTGACTTCAAACTATACTACAAGGCTACAGGAACCAAAACAGCATGGTACTGGTTCCAAAACAGAGATATAGACCAATAGAACAGAACAGAGGCCTCAGAAATAATACCACACGTCTACAACCATCTGATATTTGACAAACCTGACAAAAACAAGCAATGGGGAAAGGATTCTCTATTTAATAAATGGTGCTGGGAAAACTGGCTAGCCATATGTAGAAATCTGAAACTGGATCCCGTCCTTACACTTTATACAAAAATTAATTCAAGGTGGATTAAAGACTTAAATATTAGACCTGAAACCATAAAAACCCTAGAAGAAAACCTAGGCAATACCATTCAGGACATAGGCATGGGCAAGGACTTCATGTCTAAAACACCAAAAGCAATGGCAACAAAAGCTAAAATTGACAAATGGGATCTAATTAAACTAAAGAGCTTCTGCACTGCAAAAGAAACGACCATCAGCATCAACAGGCAACCTACAGAATGGGAGAAAGTTTTCGTAATCTACTCATCTGACAAAGGACTAATATTCAGAATCTACAAAGAACTCAAACAAATTTACAAGATAAAAAACAACCCCATGAAAGAGTGGGCAAAGGATATGAACAGATACTTCTCAAAAGAAGACATTTATGCAGCCAACAGACACATGAAAAAATGCTCATCATCACTGGCCATCAGAGAAATGCAAATCAAAACCACAATGAGATACCATCTCACACCAGTTAGAATGGCGATCATTAAAAAGTCAGGAAACAACAGGTGCTGGAGAGGATGTGGAGAAATAGGAACACTTTTACACTGTTGGTGGGACTGTAAACTAGTTCAACCATTGTGGAAGACAGTGTGGTGATTCCTCAAGGATCTAGAACTAGAAATACCATTTGACCCAGCCATCCCATTACTGGGTATATACCCAAAGGATTATAAATCATGCTGCTATAAAGTCACATGCACACATATGTTTATTGTGGCACTATTCACAATAGCAAAGACTTGGAACCAACCCAAATGTCCACCAATGATAGACTGGATTAAGAAAATGTGGCACATATACACTATGGAATACTATGCAGCCATAAAAAAGGATGAGTTAATGTCATTTGTAGGGACACGGATGAAGCTGGAAACCATCATTCTCAGCAAACTATCGCAAGGACAAAAAAACCAAACACCGCATGTTCTCACCCATAGGTGGGAATTGAACAATGAGAACACTTGGACACAGGAAGGGGAACATCACACACCAGGGCCTGTTTGGGATGCGGGGAGGGGGGAGGGATAGCATTAGGATATATACCTAATGTAAAAGACGGGTTAATGGGTGCAGCACACCAACATGGCACATGTATACATATGTAACAAACCTGCAGGTTGTGCACATGTACCCTAGAACTTAAAGTATAATTTAAAAAAAAATCTGCCCCCTCAACAACAACAGCAGCAATAACGATATAACAAAAAAACACCGTTAAGAATTTAAAAGGGCACGTCACAGACTGGGAGAAAACATATGGAAAATATATATAAAGCATACTTGGCAAAGGAGTTGCATCCAGAATATATAAGAAATATATATACACACACACTCAATAAGAAGGAGATACAGCTCAATAAAAAGTGTAAAAACGGCAAATTATTTGAACAAACACTATATAGGAATGACCAAAAATCACATGAAAAGATGCTCAATATCATTAGTCTTCAGGGAAATGCGAAATAAAACTCCAGTGAGACACCTCTTACATCCACCAGAATGTGCTACAAATAAAAAAAATCCCAGGGGTTGGTGAACTGTAGAACAACAAAGTAGTGCAACCACATTGGCAAATGGACAAATTTTGTAAAGTTAAACATGCACTTACAATATGACCCAGAAATTCCAGTCTCAGACTATTACCCAAGAGAAAGGAAAACATACTTCCTCATGAACAGTTGTATACAAATGTTCATAGCAGCTTTATTTATAATAGACCAAACTGGAAACAATCCAAATATCTCTCACCCAACGAATGGATAAACAAAGTGTAATTCATCCATGTTATGGAACATACAAAGCCATAAAAAGGGACAAAAACTGATGCACACAAATGGATGAACTTCACAGACATTTGCTTAGTGAAAAATGCAGACATGAAAGACTATATGTGACATGGTTTCATTTATATGAAACTATAAAAAAGGAAACTCTAACATACAGTGACAGAAACAGATCAGTGATTTTCCAGGGCTGTGGGTTGGGGAGGAGTTAACTGCAAAAAGTCAAAAGGAAAATTTCTGGGGTGACCTTAATGTCCTATATTTTGATTGTGTTGGTTATGTGGGTGTATACCTTTGTCAAAGTTATTGATCTGAGCACTTAAAATGTATGCAATCTTTTGAAAGTGCATTATGCCTCAATAAAGTTGAACAAAACACCCACAAACAGGCATGGACCCACCAGAGATGATTGTCTATGCACAACTCCTCTCTTTCCCGCTACTGTTTTCCCAGTGAGAAAATGGAATCAGCACAGGCGTGTGTCCTTTTGGAGATTCTATTCATCCTGTGGGAGCATGTTAGAAACTTGCTGGGGTGCTAGTGATTTAGTTCTGCATTATGCTGCAGAAAATTAAATAAGAAGTGGATTCCATGTGACACCTGCATTTATTAGCAGAGAAAGAATGGATCTGCTAAGAGTGACACCCCATTGTGTAGATGTCACTTCTGATTGTCAAGTTGCAGAAAACATTCAGGTAAGTCCTCAGCTTGTTAAACCTGAAAGAGCTGTTTACAGGTTTTGTATTTTCCTCATGTGAACTAAAGCATTCCATTTAATTTGCAAAGGCAGAACAGGTTTTCTTGATGGCTTTGTTCCTTTGGGATGATTGCTGAGAACCAAGTTTAACAGTGCCTATGGATCTGGTCCTTTCTATTAAAGACAGTTTGAGTCTTAAATTGGGGGCATCCAGAGTGCCAAGAGTTGCAGCACATCCAAATTATAATGCTATGTCCACTCAAAGATATCCAGTCATAACTCCTCCAAGAGAGGTCAGAAGAGAGCTCAACATGGCTACCCTTCTTTGTAGCAGATATTCCACTGTGAACAAAACTCTACTTCCCTGACTACACATGCCTTTTTGCCATGGTCAGGGTTAGCACAGCTCTTTGGGCATGCCAGGAAAAGGGAGACAAATCTCACAGAGGAGTGCAGCCACACTGTCAGTGACTGGAGGTTGTATAATATTGCTTCAGTAGAGAAATGGACAGCAGAATAACTCACTAGGAGTACCGGGTCTCTTGGAGTCTAACATTTTCACCCAAAGCAAATTTTAATGAGCAAAATATTTGATGTTGACTACTGAGGGGTCAACTCTTTGATTTTAGGAGGAGTGCAAGACCTGGAAACAGAGATAACTCAAGGGGATCTGCACTGTAGCTGGGGTTAGGATGCATTGAATGATGTCAGATGAGCCTCTTAGCTCTTCTTATGCAGTTTCCTTCCTTATGAATTAGGTTAAAATCTGATACTGTGAACCAGTTGGCAGCCATTTCTTCATCCTTCAGTTCCCCCAGCTTGAGATTTCTGCCTTTGCTTACCGCCAAGGTGGAAATAAAACCTAAGTACCCCCAAAGAACTCACTCACATAAAGAGTGTAATGAGTGTTGATGAAAAAAAAACCAAACTCTGTCAAATATTTAAAGGGTTTGTTCTGAGCCAGTATGAGTGACCATGGCCTGGGGAACAATCTGATGAGGTTTTGAGAAAGTGTGCCTGAGGCAGTCAGGTTACAGTTTGGTTTTACACATTTTAGGGACACAGAACATACAGGCAAAACAATAAAACAATACTTGTAAGGTATAGATTGGTTTGGCTGGCAAAGGCAGATCATTTTGAAGTGGGAGTGGGGGTGGGGGTAAAGTAGGGGAGTGGGAGGGGTGGGGGGGTGTCATGACTTATAGGTCATAGGTGAAGTCAAAGGTTTTCTGATCAGCAATTGGTTGAAACAGTTAAGCTTTGTCTAAAGATGAAGTCAATGGAAATAAATGCTTGAATTAAGACAAAGGAGGTTGTGGAAGTCAAGGTTCTTACTATGTAGATGAAGCTTCCAGGTAATAGGCTTCAGAGAGAATAGATGGTAAATGTCTCTTTTTGGACCTTAGAAGGTGTCAGACTCCTAGTTAATCTCTCCCCCACAAACGATGGCTTTGCACAGCCTTTTAAAAATATATCAAATAAATATATTTTTGTATAAAATATTTTGATTTCCTTCAGGGTCTGCTATCCATCATGTGATGCTATACCAAAGCCAGGTTGGAATTTGGTACCTAACTGCCATGAAGAGTGTTTTGTAAGCCTTATGATCTCTATTTTAATGTTGATGCTGGTCAGTTGTGCCTAAACTCCAAAAAAGGCAGGAGTATAATGAAGTGTGTCTGACCTCCCTTCCTGTCTTGGGCTGGAATTTAGTTTTTCACGTTTCTCTGGGAGCCCTTTGGCCAGGAGGGGTGTCCTTTCAGTCAGTTGGGGAGCTTACGATTTTATTTTTGGTTTACATGAGCAATGGCAACCTTACTGAAAATCCGGTAAAGAAAAGGAGAAAGGGGTTTCATTGCACTTCCCACATTTAAGGAATATTCCACAGGGACCGTGTTTGAGCAAGGTGAATGTGTGTGTGAGTGTGCACATTCATGAAGAGTGCATGTGTTTAAGGTTCTTGCTCTTCTTTCCTCTAGTACTCAGAATCCTCACTTCTCTTTCACCTCCTGATATTCCACCCAGGACTTCATAATTCTCTATCCTCTATCAAGCACAGCAATTCTGCCTACCTTTCACCCTATTTTGTTTACCCAAACTCATCTGGGAGCTCAGCAAACCAAATGACCTCCAGGCAGCAAGACTCCCTCATTTAGAAGATGGCTTGGTGATCATCCTTTTGTAGTTGGACATGATTTGGTGTTTTCCCCTTGCATGTTGAATAACTTATAAAAAATTTCTGTATTTCATCAATTTGAAGACAGACTTTCTCACATTTTAACTTCTCTGAAATTAGAATGCAACTTAACAATAAAAGACATCTTACAATTGTAAGTGACAGCATTTTTATTTCTTAGCATTTTAGGTTTGATTACATATGGCATTTCCTCCAGCTGAATACGGGACTATTTCTTTCCAAGAGCAATTATGATTGTTATAAACTTATTATGTAAAATTTTCTCTGCCTCAAAGCAAAAAATAACTCATAGCCCATGGAGTTCAAAGGGCTGGTTAACAAATTATATACATAGCTATGTCCATCCCTGCTCCTCTCCCGTTCACTCTAACTCTTACACTGCAAAGGACAGAGACAGTTCGAAATAAGGGGAGGACGTGGTCTGTTTGTCTGCATTAAGTAGGATTCCATTCAGGAGGAAGGAGTCATCAGTGGATTTGAGACTTACCTAGTAAAGAGGTGATTCTCAAAGAATCTTCTGGCAAACTTGTTAAAAAGTGTGACACTCAGGGCCGTATTTCTGATCATCCCAGTCACATCTCTGAGGATGGTGCTTTAGAATCTGTGCTGCAAACAGGGGATTTTAATTCGTACGAATGTTTGAACATTAGATTATTACTTTTGGGAAAACCCATCATAGACCAGGCACTTCCATTTAAACTCACTATCATTAAAAACTCTCCAGACTCTTTAAGCACATGCATTAGTCCTATGTTTGCAGTGGGGAAATTGAGGCATAAATAGCTTGAATAACTTCCCACGTCATCACTTAGGAAGTGGTGGAGGCTGAATATGAACTCTATCTGTCTGACTCCAGGGCTTTCCAAACCCCATCTGGTCTGCATTGAACACAAAACATGATTTGTGCAGCCTTTTCGAAACACAATTGGACAAAGCCTATTGAAACTTAGCATGCCTATTTCCCTAACTAAGCAATTCTATTTCTAGGAGTTATACTATAGAAATAAGCATTAGCACAATCTCACACACACACACACACATACACACACACAGACACACATGAATATTCACTGTAATACTAGTTGTAATAAAAAAATCAGAAATAATCCATAGGCCCACCAACAGAGGGGAGTCAAATTATGATACTTTTATACTACGAAATACCATGTAGCATTTAAAAAGATGTGCATCTATATGTGACAATATGGAAAGATCTCTGAGACATATGATTCAATGTAAAAAGTGAATTTAAGTGCAAAAATGTAGAAAAGAATGCCACTTATGTAAAGTTTAAAAAGCCTTTGTATGCTGTGTCATAAATGAAGACATCTTGAGAGGTAAGTGGCACTGGAGGTGGCTGGGGGTGGAAATATGGAGGTGGACATTACTCACAAGTTTGTTTATATTGTGTTAATCTTTAACCACGAGAATTCAAGTGCCAGGTAAAATTTAAATGTAAAGAAAAGGCAAACATGTTTAATAAACTGCTTACACACTCCTTTTCAGCCCTGAGGTTAGGTACAGACAGTGGCTGAGGACTGTAGTCTCTGCAGAATAGCACATATAAAGGATCCTTGTTGTTTCTTGTTATGAATTATGTACTCTGCCTAATGGGTAGCTTGTTTTTTTTTCCTTATCCCAAATCAGAACTGTGAAGTATAAAAATATAACTCAGCAAAATCTACAAGTGCAACCTGCATTGGTGAAATGTTCCTATTAATGGTAATGCCAGGCTTGGAAACTAGTCATATTTCATTTTATGCTTAGTTGCTCCCAAGTTTTAATAAAAAGCCCATAATATTTGTGATTTACCAAGAGAATTTAAGAAAGCTCATCAAAATGTATATGAAAGAACAGTGATGAATTGCATGCAATGAACTGCTACATTCTTCTTGGTATATTAACTAAAAATGACAACTTTACTAAAAATTTCTGTCCCTTGTGTCCTTTTCCTGTTTTGAAAAACCCAAATTGGCTCATAGCAGAATATTTCAATACCTGTGCCATTTGTCTTGAAAAGATCTTTAAAAGATGCCTGTAATTACGGGCTTTGTGCTATAAATCATTTAATTCTCAATAAAGAATAGATTCACTGAGGGAATATTGCAGTAATGTGGCTTGAAGTGTGGGCTGGGCAATTTTTCATGACTTACCCTGGGCAAGGGGATGAAACAAATTTTCATTATTCTCAGCACAAATGACTCATCTTGCACTCCTTGATGGGTAGTTTCACTAGTTTCATTACTTTACCATATGGTCTGGTTGGGTCAGCTCACTAGATGGAAGCAGGTATATCCACTAACAAGCTGTGTGATCTTGAATGAGTTAAGCATTCACTCTGAATCTCATTTCCTCACTTATAAAATGAAGGAATTGCACAAGATAATCATGCATGTCAATTCTAAAATTAAGAATTTACATATTCTTTCATGAAAAGGTCAGTGGGTAATATCTTTTCCCCTTCCTTAAGTCTGGGCTGGCCTTGGGACTTGATTTAACCAACAGAATGTGGTAGAAGTGACACTGTGCCAATTCTAAGCCTAAGCCTCAGGAGACCTTGCAGACTTTCATGCTGTCTTTGGAACCCTGCTAACTTCCATGAGAATGAGCCCAGGCTAGTCTGCTGGAGGATAAGAGACAATATGGAGCAGAGATGAACCAACCCAGCATGACCTGCATGAGTGACCTTCAAGACAGAAGACCCATCCTGCTGAGCCCACCTTAAATGGTCAGCCTGCAGAACTGTGTGTTAAATAAGTGTTGGTTGTTTTCAGCCACTGAGATGTTAATTTTGTGTCAATTTAACTGGACTAAGGGATGCCCAAAGAGATGGTAAAATGTTATTTCTGGGTGTGTGTGTGTGTGAGGCTGTTTCTGGAAGAGATTAGCACTTATATCAGTCGACTGGGTAAAGAATATTGCTCTCACTAATGTGGGTGGGCACCACTCAATCTGTTGAGGGCCCTGGAATTTCCTTTAATATCTAAGTCTAATTCACCATCTGGTGCAGACATTCCCATTATGACTTTCTGTCATTCACCCTGGGCTTACGGAACATCTTATAGATAGCTCATTACTTGTGCACATAGTGTCTCTCAAAAGACCTTATATTGTGACCAATATATATATAATATATATTTTATTATATGTTATATATATTTTACATATACATATATGTATATAAATATTAATGTACATGTATTGCATACATATATTATCTATGGTATACATATTTTACATATATAATATATATAATACATATTTTACATGTATATATCTCTTCATCCCTGATTCCTGGCACAGAGTTCCTAAAACCTTACAATTTCCTAAGCAGAGAGGGGTGCTAGGTGCATCTTCTGTTCTAGTATTTGGTCTTTCATTCTGGTTCCTGACATAGAGCTCCCAGTCCCTTGGAATTTCCTGAGTGATGGGAACATATTTTGTTATACCAAGGTGACTGCTGGTGGGTTTCTGGTTGAGGGCTGGTCACCAGAAAGACCAAGCCATGATAGAATCTTGGAACTTTCAGCTCCATCCTCCATCCTCTGGAAAGGAAGAGGGGCTGGAGATTGAGATAATGATCAATCATGCTAATGTGATGCAACCTCCATAAAAGTCCCTGAATGGTGGGGTCCGGTGAGCTTCCACATTGCTGAACATGTAGAAGGCACCTGGAGAAGGCATGGAAGCTCCTCACCCTTCTTATATACCTTACCCTATATATATATATATATATCTTCATCTGGCTGCTCATCTGTATCCTCTGTAATATTCTTTATAATAAACTGGCAAACATAAGGAAATGTTTTTCTGAATTCTATGAGCTATTCTAGCAAATGATCATTGAACCCAAGGAGGAAGTCACGGGAACCCCAATTTATAACCAGGAGGCCCAGGCTGGTATTTGGCATCCAAAGTGAGGGCCAGTCTTGTGGGACTGGGTCCTCAATCCGTAGAATCTGACTGTAACTCCAGGTAGACAGCATCAGAATTGAACTGAATTCTAGGTCATCCAGCTGGTGTTGGATAATTGGTTAGTGTCAGGGAAAAGCCCCACACATCTGGTCACAGAAGAGTTGTGTTGAGAGTATACAGTAGTAGGAAAAAATGTTTTTCTTACTCTGTAATTGATTTGATTTTCTATCACATAACCTGCATGTGAACTGAGAGAGGATCCCCACCTTTGGAGAAGATCTGAGGCAGGGAAGCTGATAGGTTAAGATTCAGCTGGCCTTTGAGGGAAACGCTCATGTGTATGGAACTTTTCTCCGTAACTGCAGCTGAAATCACAGGTGGGCTGAGTGGAAATGATGCCAGGCCACAGAAACGTGCTAGAGTGACCTGCCCAACTCCAGATCTCATACTCTTTGCGCTCTGTTGTGTTATTTTTCTGGGTTTGGGCATAAGCAGTGTCAGGACAGCCTGGACTTTCTAGGCAACCATCCTGTAGCCCATTCCCACAGGTTCTTGCCTTGGGGAAGATGTCAAGCCTTAGTGGAGACAATTCAACATTTTCCCCATGCCAGAAATTCTTAAGGTTTAAGAGAGAATTCTGGAAGCTCTGTGTCAGGAATCATGGAAGAAGACCAATATATGTATACATCTCTTATTGTAAATTACAGTATCACACGGGTGCAGCCCAGAAATGCAGGGGATTGATGCCTGGCTTCTCATCCTTTGAAGGGGCAATTCTGAAGCATATTCTACACTGTTTCCTAGAGAGTATCCAGTGGGATTGAGCCTAGCTGCCCACAGCAATGGTCAGCTCAATGATGTGGTTTGTGTTGACTCTTCCTTCTTTTGTATCACTCTTCCCACCCCCTCTCTCTCACTTATTGGGGTCACCTCCACATAAACTACCTGTGCTCAAGTCTTTGTCTCAAGTTGTTTTGGGAACAAACCAATACACTTATTCAACGTTTCTGAGCTTTGATTTTCTCATCAGTAAAGGAAAGATATCTATCTATCTATATCTATCTATCTATATATATCTTTAAGATACATATGCATATACAAGCATATGTGCCTATACACACATATCTATACACATTATATGTGAAACTAAATATCTATCATCTATCATCTATATCTTTCTACTATCTCTATCATTTATCTATCATCTATCACTATCTATCATCTAGCTATCCCTCTCTATTATCTATCATCTATCTATATCTAGCTAGCTATATTTAGCTGTCTATACGTATCTTCTATCTATCTCTGTCTCTATATTTATCCACCTATCTACCTTTCCATCTATCTATACCTGGCACATTGTAGATGTTCAACCAATAGTAACTAGTCCCCAGCCAGTGACCATTTTTCCCTCAATCTTGACCGCAACCTGCATCTCTCTCTGAGTCTGTGCATCTTTGCTCTTTACCCCCAGAGCTTTGCCTTGTATAAGCAGAGGCACAGTGGGACATGGAAGTTGAGTTAGTAAAGCATGTTTTAGCACTCAGAATTTATCATTTGACCTTCAGCCTTCTGTCTACTATGCCTTGCAAGTTTCATTTATGCGAAGAAGAGCAAGCTTTCCAAAAGGATGCTAGGGGAGCTGCGGCAATGTGCCCAGTTTCACCATGTTGTCCTGACTTTTAGGAAAAAACCTGCTCAACTATCCAATTAGCAGCCCTGCTGGCAGCCCAGGCAATGGTTCTCAGAAGCCAACAGCAGGAAATCTGGAGAGAAGCCACTGTTTATGTAGCAGAATAAAGGATGCAACTTGTCTGTTTATAACTCATGACCTTGGCAGGTAGAACAGAATTTGTGTTGGCCACATTAATTTAATCTTCTTACTTCTTCTGAATAACTCATGAATCCCAATGTATTTCTTTTGAGAAAATGCTCAGAATTCTTCATTGGAGCAGCCATTTTCTAGGTTTTTAGCGTACTGTGAAAGTAACTTCAGGTGTATGAGAGAGAGACGGGTGTGGGGAGACAGAGGAGAATGGTTCATCAGTGACTTTTCACCTCTGGAAACTCTGATCTGTGGTCCTCCTTTCATGATTTCCAAACCATATTTTGGGTACTCTGGAACTTTAATAATTTTCTGTGCTGTATCAGTATTGTTTGCAGTCTGAATGAGACCTCAGTAGGGAAGTTATTCCAATTTTTATTTCCCCATACTCCAGCTATTCCTTTCCCCAGCCCCAATGCCTAACTTGATTCACCCAGGAGAGGCAGAAAAAGAATGACATGTCTTTTTGTCAGCTATTCTTTCTGCAAGTGGGAGACCGGCTGAATTGCAATTGTCCAGTTCCTGTTGGATGGATATGGTGATATAAGAGAGCCACTTTCCTGCCCTGGGACCTGGATCAAGACAGAGTCTTGAAGGCATAGAGGAAAGGACTTGGTCTCTGCATTAAATATGCCAAGATGGAGGAAATTTATGATGGAATGGTAATCCTGTGCCCTCACTCATTTGGAATGAAAGAATCAGTCCTAGAGTATGAGAGGTCTTACTGACTCATGGCCTGATGTAGGCACGTGGTTTAAGAATGGAGCACCTCTGACTCTCTGATTTGATCTAAAGCAAGACTCAAATGTCAGGCCCTCAGGGTGAATGTAGATGGAAGCTTCCTTCTGACACCTGTATGACAGCATCGTGATCGCATACACCTAGCCTGTCACTCTTGATGGGGCAACCTTGGGTCTGGGAGGCAATAAAGAAACACAATATGAACTCAGCTCTCACCACCTGTTACCTGGTGCTGTGGCAATGCTCTGAGCTGCAAGTGTGGAGACCCGGGATGGTGTCCTGAGAGCCTGGCTCGCTTCTGCAAATGCGAACATTCATGCTTGGACATGAGAACTGCTAATGTCCCCTCCAGCTCTACTGTTTTATGAATCTAAGTAGGAGACCGATGAGTCTTCTCTCTCCTGTGGAGAGGGATTCGTGGCAAGAGAGATGGTTAATTTTACCCATCAGGTTGTGTGGCAATGACTCCAATTCACGCCTGCTCTCTGGTGAGCAACATCAACTATCCCTTTTTGATAGCACATGATCCAGATTACGGGTGTTTCAGGTATTCGGTTTCTTCTTGTTCTCTTTTCTTTCTTGATACTATTAGGCCATTTTCAAGCTAAGTGTTAATGGCAGCCTAGTAGCAGAAACATGAGAAGGGAGGAAGTTGATGATCTGGGAATTACATTTCCTGTGCAATTAGCCTCTGTAGTAGGCTACTTAAGTTTCAAATTTGCCAGTGGGGGGAACCAGCCTCCCCTAGACAGGGTCATACTATTATATATTGGAACAGGAATGGCTCTCAGGAGATCTGCTAGTACAGCTCCAGTCATGAGGCAGTGAGAACGTATTCCCATTTCACAGATGAGGAACTGATACTGGATTATGAAGTCAAAAGACTAGAGAAAATGCCTTTTCTTGGACTGCCTCAATAGAAAATATTTCCTTGAAGACAGGGACTCAGAGTTAAGAAGCGGTAAAGTAGAAAGATGCGTTGAAAACCGTTTTTCCTGATTTCTGCTACTCACATCACACACAGCCGAATTCCTGCAAAAGCCTGTAGATTACAGTATTAGATAGCTATAAAATCACTCTTTTTTTCATTCATTAAATAATCTTTGAGTGGTTTTTTGTGCCAGGTGCTATGCTAGGCACTAGAGATGAGATGGAACAGGGACCCCTCTTATGGGCCTGTCGGGCTCCTCTCTGATCCCCTCAACACAAATTCTAAGCACCTAGATAGCCGGCCAACTAGCAATTTAAAAAGCAAATAAAGAACCCACTAAACAAAAAGAATAATAATGTAAACAATAGCCACCCAAGGAAGCCAGATTCACAAGATGTTTGGTTCCCTATAAAAGCTAAAGATAACATCTGGATATATGTCCCTGAGTTGTTTTTCAGAAACCAGGACCCCCACACCTCCACCAGATGAAAAATTCTGACCACTGACACAAAGACCAGAGATAAGCAAAAACTGAGGACTTAGATTCTGACTACTGTCCTCTGTTGCAATTTCTTTTTGAGAGGCCTGGAGAGTCATGCCCACAGGCCAAACCTTAACATTCCTTTCTGCTTGCCTCAAGGTTTTATACAAAGTCTTACTTCCTTAACCAATTGCAAATAAAAAAAATCTCTAAATCTACCTCTTGTGTCCGGAATTGGTTCCTTCCGTGGGTTCTTGGTCTCGCTGACTTCAAGAATGAAGCCGCGGACCCTCGTGGTGAGTGTTACAGTTCTTAAAGATGGTGTGTCGGGAGTTTGTTCCTTCAGATGTTCAGATGTGTCCCAAGTTTTTTTCTTCTGATGGGTCCTTGGTCTTGCTGACTTCAGGAGTGAAGCTGCAGACCTTCTCAGTGAATGTTACAGCTCTCAAAGATGGCACGTGCAGAGTTGTTCCTTCCTCCTGGTGGGTTCATGGTCTTGCTGACTTCAGGAATGAAGCCGCAGACTTTCGCAGTGAGTGTTACAGCTCTTAAACGTGGCACACTTCTGGCACGCTTTGCTCCTCCCGGTGGGTTGCTGGTCTCGCTGACTGCAGGAGTGAAGCTGCAGACCTTCGCGGTGAGTGTTACAGTCATAAAGGTAGTGCAGACCCAAAGAATAAGCAGCAGCAAGATTTATTGCTAAGAACAAAGCTTCCACATCGTGGAAAGGCACCTAAGCTGCTTGCCGCTGCTCCCCCAGGTGGCCAGCTTTTATTCCCTTATTTGGCCCCGCCCACGTCCTGCTGACTGGTCCATTTTACAGTGTTGATTGGTCCATCTTGCAGAGTGCTGACCAGTCCGTTTTTACAGAGTGCTGATTGGTGAGTTTACAATCCTTTAGCTAGACAGAAAAGTTCTCCAAGTCCCCACCCGACCCAGAAGCCCAGCCAGCTTTACCTCTCACTCTGAACTGTAAGCCCCTGCTTCAAGATATCCTGCCTTTCTAGGCCAAAGCAATATATAATCTCCCTGTATTGATTCATGATTTTGCCTGTAACTTCTATTTTCCTAAAACGTAACTCTGCCTTTAAAAACCCTCCCTTATAATCCATTGAGGAGTTCAGATGGTGTTAGCTGCCCACTTCTCCTTGCTTAGTACCCTGCAATAAACATCTCAATTTCTCTCACTGCAAATCCTAGTATTGTTGTTTGCCTTTTTCTGCGTGCTGAGTGAGTGGATCCAAGTTTGGTTCGGTAACAGAGATACAATGGTGAACAAAAAATTAGGGTCTCTCTCCTAACCGTGTTAGAGAGATATATATTAAATATCACCAAATAAATATATCACCATTGTGGGTACGATAAATAACACAAAAGAAGAAAAAGAGGATGCAAAAACAGGTTATAATAATAGTCTAATTATTTGGTTTGGGGAGGTAAGAAAGGCCTTTTGGGGGAAGTGATGTTTAAGTTGAAGTCTGAAAGGTGAGTGGGAGTTAGTGAGACAGGGAATGGGGGAAATGTTCAAGGCAGATGGAGCACCTTAAGTCAGGCCCTGAGAGAGCAAAGACCTTGGTTTGTGTGAGGAAATGAGAAGAAGCCCAGTGTGCCTGGAGTTGGTGATGGTGGAGGAAGAGACAGGCAAGAAGTTTGGAAAAGGAGCTCAGATTTAATCAGGTTGGCCATGTAGACCTCGCAAAGAATTTTGGCTTTATCCAAATGCAATGGGAAGCTTTTGAGGCAGCATTATCCTATGAAAAGTTTCTGTGTTCTGTCATCTGGGCTGTCCTATATTAGCTGCATGACTATTGAACATTTGAAATGTGGCTAGTGCAATGGAGGAACTGAATGTTTAATTTTATTTCATTTTAATTAATTTAAATCTAAATAGTCACACGTGGCTAATGACTACTGCATTAAGCAGCGCAGCTTTGAAAGGTTTTATGGAAGAGAGCTACAAAATTGTATTTTCTTTAAAAAAAAATAATTCTGGCTGCAGCTTGGAGAGTGAATTGGAGGGGGTCAGGGGCAGGGGTGGGAGTGGAGTGGCCAGTTAGGAGCTTGGCCTGGAATGGGGGTAGTGGATGTGGGGAAATGTGTATGCACCACAGGCCTCAGTTATGGAGAGAATCTAGAGGGAAGGAGATGACAAGGGAGATCAGGTGGGGTCTGGAATGATGCCCAGGATCTTGGCTTGAGAAACTGGTAGATGAGGGTGCCACCACTCACCATGGCAGGATGGGCAGGAAAGGAGCATATTTGAGAGCTGGGATGGAGGAGAGGAAACATTTAGCTTTGTTGCTGGTGTGGTATACATACTGAGGTGCCACTAGGCAGCTAAATATTGGAGTCTGGAGCTTAGAACACATTCCATGGACACTCTAGGCCTCAAAGACTGAGTATCAAGAGAAGGAGGCTGAACATTACATTGGTCAAGTGTGAAAGAATTTGAGATAAATGGGATGAAGCATGGAGATAAGTTGAGGTTTTCAATTAACAATGTTCTCATTGCCTGCATTCTTCTATTACAAGCAATTAATGGGATATTAGAGAAACAGTTTATCCTGATGTATCTACTCACACATAACCATTTATTAAATATATAGTTGGGTAATTGCTTTCCAGTGTTTCCTAAAGCGTGGGCCAAACACTATGAGTGGTAGAGGAAATGATTTTAGGTAAACACAAACAAGAAGACATATCATAAGAAAGTTATTCTTTTTAAAAAATTTGTTTCCCCCTTCCAATGACAGAAGAAATTCTGTTTGTTGTAGGAATGTCCTGAACACTGAACACTTGCTAATCTCTATTTCAAACAAGGGGAAAATAGATCTCAAGCCCCCAGCCCTTCTCTTGGTAGGCAACAGAACTAGCTAGTTAAATAAAGTTATTATTTTAAATTTTTTATTTTTTGAGACAGAATCTCGCTCTGTTGCCCAAGCTGGAGTGCAGTGGCGTGATCTCGGCTCACTGCAACCTCCACCTCCCAGGTTCAAGCAATTCTTCTGCCTCAGCCTCCCGAGTAGCTGGGATTACAGACACCCACCACCACACCCGGCTAATTTTTGTATTTTTAGTAGAGACGGGGTTTCACCATGTTTACCAGGCTGGTCTTGAACTCCTGATCTCAGGTGATCTGCCAGCCTCGGCCTCTCAAAGTGCTGGGATTACAGGCGTGAGCCACCCCACCCAGCCATAACATTATTTTTTATTGTATTTATTTTACAGTGAATTTCTTTTTACATACTAAATATAATTATTTTTTATTTTGAAACAACTTCAAGTTTACAGAAAAGTTTAAGCAATTTACAAAATATTTTTCATTGACCATTAGCGGGTAAGTGATATGATGCCCATAACCCCTGAATGGTTGAGTGTGTAATTTCTGCAAACACGAACATTCTCTTCATAACCACAATCAATCATCAAAATATGAGTTACCATTCAAGCCCCAGACCCCATTCAAGTTTCACCAGTTATACCACATGTCCTTTATAGCAAAATAATCCAACCCAGCACCACTAGATTTAGTTAGATCTCTTTCGTCTTCTTCAATTTGGAAGAGTTTCTCTTTCTTTGACTTTTATGACCTTGACACTTGTCAAGATCACAGGACAGTTATTTTTAGAATGTACTACAATTTGCATTTGTCTGATATTTCTTCATGATTACACCAAGATAATGCATCTTTGGCAAAATGTCACAGAAGTTACGCTGTGTTCCTCCCATTGCATCATATGGAATGGCGTACGACATTGGTGTGTCCCATTACTTTAATGTTAACTTTGATTACTTGATTAAGGTGGTGTCTGTCAAGTCTCTACACCATAAAAAAGCTACTCTTTTATTCTTTGTAATTTATAAGCATTTTATAGGGAGATACTTTGATACTATGTAAATATCCTGTTCCTCCTCAAATTTTAAGGACTACTTTTGGCATCCATTGATGTTTTTTGGATGAATTAATCATTACTCTTGATAGTTGCCAAACAGTGAATTTCTAATTCTATCATTCCTTCTGCTGGGAGAAAAAGCTTTCTCTTTCTTCCATTTATTTATTTATATCTATATGGACTCATAGATTCTTATTTTATTCAACTAGTTATAATCTAATACTGTCATTATTTATTTTGATGTTCAAACTGTCCCAGATTTGACCAGTGAGAGCCTTTCCAGTCTGTCTTTTCTCCTTCTCTCAGGTTTCCATCATTCTCTGAGCACTCCTTGCTTTCTGGCACAAGATTCTCCAGGCTCTTCAGCTCCAGCCTTGACACCTGCCACTTCTCCAAAGAATCCTGGTTACTTTTGGTGGAGAATGGTATTTAGAAATTGTAAGAGCTGGGTGTTAAATGTGCTCATGGCTTTTGGCTCTTTCTCTCTCTCTCTCTCTTTCTCTCTCTCTCTCTCCACACACACACACAGACACACACACACTCTTATAAATACGTATACATATAAACATCTATATTTATTTTTAATTCTAGTTATCTCTCTGCCTATCATGAGTTCATACTGATTCCAACCTAATGCCACAGGTTTCATTCTCATTTCTCTCTTTCCATATTCTTAACTCCTTCTCCAACCACGAGAAACCTGGCTTCCATTAGCATTGTTTTGGAAAAACTCTCCTACTGTGTTTCTCCTCTGCTCTCACACCAGCACAACAACAATCAACAAAGAAAACTTTCATGACTCCCGAATATGTGGGGATTTCTCCCCACCAGCAAGCAAGCAGTTAATTCTGCAGTAGACACCAACTGGGTGTCTTCCAATTCAATTCTGACCCTATCTACCTGGCGATAGTGTCAGATACCACAGGCTGTGGGCTCAGTCCCCAAGACTGCCCCCCTTCCTTCAGACACCAATCGCAAGTCTGGGCCTACAGAACTTCCGACCAATCAGCTTCAAGTTGAAGTTCCCATGAACCCCTCTGTGGGTTCAATTAATTTGCTGGAGTGGCTCACAGAACTCTGGGGAACACTTACGTTGACTGGTGTATTAAAAGGATTTAATGAAGAGGTGTATAGGGTGGGGTATGAGAGAAGGGGTGTGGAGATTCCATGTCCTCCTGGGTTCACCACCCTCCAGAAACCTCCCCATGTTCAGTTCTCTGGAAGCTCTCCAACCCTGTCCTCTTGGGTTTCTATGGAGGCTTCATGATGTAGGCATGATTGATTAAACCATTGGCCATTGGTGATCAACTTGACCTTCAGCCCCCCTCCCCTCTTCCCTCCTCAGAAATTGGCAGTTGGGGCTGAAAGTCCCAACCCTCTAATCCTGCCTTGGTCATTCCAGTGACCAGCCCCACTTGAAGCTATCAGTTAACATCAACATACAAAAAAACAGCACTTTGGAGAGTTTAGGAGTTGTATGACAGGAAGTGGGGATGAAGACCAAATATATATTTCACAATATCACAAGCTTCAATACATTTACTTTGGGAGCATTTTCCACTATACATGGCCAGTCCCCATAGCGGCCTCAATCACAGATGCCCTTCTTACTGTGCTTGGGCTCTGACACCTGACACTGGGCCATCGCTCCTCTATTCCCATGTGTTTTTGCTTCTCACCCTGCTCAGGCTCCAACACTTCTTGTCAGCTGCTGCTACCCTCACCCCTCAACACACACAGCTGCCCTCCCATCTTGGACCTGACACCCTGTGCTGACTGCTGCCATCCCTCCCCATGGTTGTTCTCTTTACCAAGCTAGGACTCCAACACTCCACACTAGATTACATGGTTGCCCTCTTAGGGTACCCCATGGTCCCTGCTGTTAACTGCCCCTCCCCGACACATGGCTGTGTTTCATTCTTCTCAAGCTTCAACACCTTGCACTGGGGCATTACCACCACTGCCTACCACCCTCATGCACTGACTCTGACATCCCATCCCATGCTGCAGGGATGCCCTTCTTCTTTCACTTGTGACACCTCACATAGGGCTGCCTCAAAACCCACACAGACCTACCTTGCTTGGGCCCACGTGACGGCTTTTGGACTGAATTTTTCGGAAAGAAAGGAAAGAGAGAGGAAGAAAAGAGGGCAGGAAGGGATGGAGGGAGGAAGGGAGGAAGAAAGCTATAGTTACTTTCTGTTCTAAAAATGAATAGCTAACATTCATTTTTCACTTACAGAATATATGCTGTTCTTTTTTAAAAATATACTTTATTTTTTAAGAGCAGTTTTAGATACACAGCAAAATTGAGAGGAAGGCATGGAGATATTCAGTATACCCACTGCCTCTGCACATGTAGAGTCTCCCCATTAACAATATCCTGCACCAGAGTCATACATTTGTTACAATTGATGAACCGTCATTAATACATCATTATCACCCAAAATCCATGGTTTACATTAGGGTTCACTCCTTATCATGTACAGTCCATGGGTTTGAACAAATGTATAATAACATTTATTCACCGTTATAGTTCTTATGGAGTCATTTCATTGCTCTCAAAATTCCCTGTCTCTGTCTATTTATCCCTCTCTACCCTCAACCCCGGCAACTGATCCTTTTGTATTTCTGTAATTTTGCCTTTTCCAGCATATCATATATTTGGAATCATACAGTATGTAGCATTATAAGATTGGCTTCTTTCACTTAGTAATATGCATTTAAATCTCCTTCATGTCTTTTCATGGCTTGATAGTTCATTTCTTTTTAGACCTTAATAATATTCCATTGTCTGAATGTATCACAGTTTATTTATCCATTCACCTACTGAAAGACATCTTTATTGCTTCTAAGTTTTGGCAACAGATTGTAGAGAATTGGTATAATTTCTTTCTTAAATGTTTGGTAGAGCTCACCAGTGAGCTCACGTGGGCCTGGTGCTTTCAGAGTTGGAAGGTTATTAATTAATAGTTTAATTTCTTCAGTAGATATAGGCCTATTCGGAATGTCTATTTCTTCTTTTGTAAGTTTTTGAAGATTATATATTTCAAGGAATTTGTCCATTCATGTAAGATATAAAATTTGTGGGCATAGAGTAATTCATAAAGTTTTTTTATTATCCATGTAATGGCCACAGGATCTGTACTGATGTCTCCTCTTTCACTTCTGATAGTAGTGATTTACGTAATCTCCATTTTTCTTAGCCTAGCTAGAGGCTTATGGACTTAATTAATGTTTTCAAAGAAACAACTTTTGTTTTTTCTTAATTTTCTCTATTGATTTCCTGTTTTCAATTTCATTGATTTCTGCTTTAATTTTTTATATCCTTATTTTGAATATAAGTTTTATTGTTATTGAGTTGTAAAACATCCTAAACTCCAGTATCTTTTTTGTTAACAGAGAATATATGAAACTGTTGGACTAATGTTGAAAAATATACTATGCATATTTGAAAGAAAATAACCATTAATTTTTTGTTTTTACAGTAGAGACATCTTGGCCAGAAGCAATGCAACAACAAACAAACTTTAAAAGATAAAAAACACTTGAATCTTCATTCAATATTATTGTTAATATTATTTGTCAATTCATATTTATATTATTTGTCAAATTGTATTGCCGATATACAAACATGGCTTAAAACTTGGAAAGAATATATCGCTTGTTTATTTAATCATTGGAAAATTCCTCAGATTATTTTTCTGTGACATAGAAAAGACCGAATATTTGAAACAACAGTTCTTTGCACCCACAAGATTATTGGCACAAAAATGAAGTTGAGGTTTAGGTTGAGGGAGTTGACCATGAGTACCGTGAATTATTTGAACATTGTTTATTTACATGTGATGAAAACTACTAAATAGGCAATAAAGTAATGAATAGTAAAGGCCATCCAAAAAAGTGGGGACAGGAAAGAAGAAAGGAATTTGGAAGAATGGATCAGAGACACTTTCACTATATACCACATATAATTGGATGTTGCAGCAAGAAGTCACACTGATCAACACAGGTTGCATCAGGAGTTTGCAAACCTAACCACATCCCACAAACCTCTTTGGTGGCAGAATTCTAGATACTGCTCCTCAGTGACTGTGCTGACATAGCTTAAAGCAGAAATCTATTTGTGTGCATTTATTTTGTGTAAATCTGAATTTTGAAATATTGTGACACAAAAAAGTGGATTTCTTCCATTCTGATGCTAATGTGAGGTATCAATGCTCTAATTCAGTCCATTTTCCAGAGTGTGAGTCTCAATGCAATAGCACTTTATCAGTTATCTGAGACTGTTACAGAACTACTTTTTCATTATAAATTATATTTTACATTATTAAATTGAAACAAACATATCGTGGAGGTGAGTGAACATATCCATTACTTTTTTTAGATATGACAATATTTTTTAATTTTTTTAGAAGAAAAGAAGAGGTATTTGTATATTGTAACATGGAGACTGAATAGAATTTGAGTAAGGAAAATCCCGTTTATGAGCAAGATCTTTAAAAATGTAACTTTCAAGTAGAAATTCAACAGCAGTTTATTATGGCATGTATTAGAAGTTGATGGAATTAATGGTAGATTATATATTTTTTTAAATGCGTTATTGATTAAAAAATATTTAGATTAAGGGGAGACACGTGCATGTGCGTTACATGGGTATATTGCACAATGATGGGGATTGGACCTCCAGTGTACCCATTACCCAAATGTTGAACACAGTCTTCAATAAGCAGTTTCTCAGTCCTCACTCTCCCTCACCTTATCCCCTCCTGTAGTCCCCAGTGTCTATTATTTTCATTCTTATATCCATGTGTACCCATTGTTTAGCTCCTATTTATAGGTGAGATCATGTGCTATTTGATTTTCTGCTTCTGAGTTAGTTCACTTAGGATAATGGACTCCAGTTCTACCCATGTTGCTGCAAAAGACAATTTTTATTAATTCTTTTATTCTGCTTACTTGAATTTAATTTGCTCTTCTTTTTCTAATTTTCTCACATGGAAGCTTAGATTATTAATTTTGGATCTTTCTTCTTTTCTAATATATGCATTTAGTGCTATAAATTTCCCTTGAAGCACTGCTTTTGCTGCATCCTACACATTTTGATAAGTTGTATTTTTATTTTTATCTTATTCAAAACTTTTAAAAATATCTCTTGAGATTTCTTCTTTTACAAATGTGTTAGAAATGCATTTTTAAATCTCCAAATATTTTGGGATTTTCCAGCTATCTTTCTGTTGATTACTAGTTTAACTCCATTGTGGTCTAAGAGTAGACACTGCATGATTTCTATTCTTTTAAATGTGCACAGGTGTGTTTTATGGTTCAAAATGTGGTCTAACTTGGTAAATTTTCCATGGGAGCTTTAGAAGAATGTGTATTCTGCTGTTGTTGGATTAAGTAGTCTATAGATGTCTATTATATCCAGTTGATTAATTACTTTTTCATTCTTTCCTAGGATTTCCATCTCTCTGCTTACATTGCCCATCTGTTCTTACATGCTGTCTACTTTGTCCATTAGAGCCTTTAGCATATTAATCATAGTTGTTTTAAATTCCCAATCTGCTCATTCTAACATTCCTGCCATATGTGAATCTGGTTCTGATGCTTGCTCTGTCTCTTTAAACTGTGTTTTTTGCCTTTTTGTATGCTTTGTAATTTGTTTTTAGAAATAGGCTCTTGCTCTGTTGCCCAGGCTGGAATGCAGTGGTATGATCACTGCTGACTGCAGCCTCGATCTCCTGGGTTCAAGCAATCTTCCTACTTTAGCCTCTGAGTACCTGTGACTATAGGTATGTGCCAAAATGACTGGCTAATTTTTTAATTTTTTTGTAGAGACAGGGTCTCACTGTGTTGCCTAGGCTAGTATTGAACTCCTGAGCTCAAGTAACACTCCTGCCTCAACCTCCCAAAGTGCTGGGATTACAGGCATGAGCCACTGCACCCAGACTGTAATTTTTTTTTTTTTTTGAGAGCCAGGCATGATGTACTGGGTAAAAGGAACTGTAGTAATAAAGCCTTTAGTAATGTAATGGTTAAGGTGTAGGGGATAGGAAGCATGCTCTAGTCTTATGATTAGGACTGTTGAGTCCTATGATCAGTCTGTTGGTGAGCTCGTACCCCTGGGTGGTAGGCTTCACAAATGCTTCTCAGGCCCCCTTAACTCCACCCTTAGGTAGGACACACTGGCCAGAGTAGGCTGGAGTTGGGTATTTTTGTTTCCCCAGGTCAGTTAGGTTCGGATAAAATTCCAGAAGTATAAATTCTGGTAAACTAGCTTCTCCTAAGGACAGGTCTTGTTAAGAAGAATGCTCTGGCATATTTCAGAGTGATTCATTTTCTCCTTCCTCTGTTGGAAGCACAAGAGGATTTTTCTCCAATATTCACTGTGAGAAACTGATATTGCTGCTGGAGGTGTAAAACATACAAGTGTGGGGGCCCCGCACGACTAGGTCCCCCTGGAGGTTTAACTTTCAGACTTGTCTGCAAGGAGCCTCTAGCAATTTTTCATTTACAGTTCAGGTTTTTCTATCCAAGTACTGGATTCTGCTGAGGTTTCGGGTCATGGGTTTCTGCTCCGGGAAGTTTTGGTTGTTTGTATTTACCTGTCTGTCTCTCCAAATATGGAGGGCAACAGTCTGCCCTCTGGCCTTACTTCTCTTATGGATCTGAGAAGAGTTGTTGATTTTTCAGCTTGCTCAGATTTTGACTTGTTGGGGCAGAGTGTCAATTTCCAAGTTCCTTACATGCCACATCAGTAGTGGAAAGTCTAAAATATTTTTAAAAATATATTTATTTGTATGGTTCAACATATGCAAATCAATAAATGGGATTCCCCACATAAACAGAATTAAAAAAAAAAACAGTATGATCATCTCATGGATGCAGAAAAAGTATTCAATAGAATTCAACATCCATTCATTATAAAAATTCTCAATAAACTAGGCAGCAAAGGAACATACTTCAAAATAATAAGAGTCATATATGACAAACCCACAGCCAGCATCATACTGAACAAGCAAAAGCTGAAGCTATTCTCCTTCAGAACCAGAGCAAAATAAGGATGCCCACTCTCCCCACTCATATTCCACATAGCCCTGGAAGTCCTCGCCAGAGCAATCAAGCAAGAGAAAGGAATAAAGAGCATCCAAATAGGAAAAGAGGAAGTCAAATTATCTGTTTGCTGATGATATGACTTTTTACCTAGAAACTCCAAAGATTCCTCCAAAAGACTCCTAGACCTGAAAAACAACTTCAGCAACATTTCAGGATACAAAATCAATGCATAAAAATCAGTAGTATCTCTATACATTAATAACATTCAAGCTGAGAGCCAAGTCAAGAATGTGATCCCATTTACAGTAGCCACATACAAAAAGTACCTAAGAATTCATCTAATCAAAGAGATGAATGACCTCTACAAGGAGAACTACAAAACACTGATGAAAGAAATCACAGACAACAGAAATTCCATGCTCATGTATTGAATCAGTATCATTAAAATGTACATACTGTCAAAAGCAATCTACAGATTCAAAGCAATGAGAAACCATCTCAAACCAATCAGAATGACCATTATTAAAAAGTCAAAAAACAGCAGATGCTGGTGAGGATGCTGAGAAAAAGGAACTCTTACATATTGTTGGAATGTAAATTAATTTAGCCCTTGTGGAAAGCAGTTTGGAGATTCCTCAAAGAGCTAAAAATAGAACTACCATTAAATCCTGCAATCCCATTACTGGCTATGTACCCAAATGAAAAGAAATATTTCTACCCAAAAGACATCTGCAGTCATGTGTTTATTGCAGCACTATTCGCAGTAGCAAAGTCATGGATTCAACCCAGGAACCCATCAATGGTGGATTGGATGAAGGAAATATGGTACATATATACCATAGAATAGTATGCAATTGTTAAAAAAAGAACAAAATCACGTTCTTTGCAGCAACACAGATGCATCTGGAGGCCATTATCCTAAGTGAATTAATGTGGAAACAGAAAATCAAATAATGGATGTTCTCACTAATAAGTGGGAGCTAAACATTGAATACATTTGGACATAAAGATGACAATAGACATTGGGAATTCCAAAAGGTGGGAGAGAGGAAGTGGGACAAGGGCTGAAACACTATCCATTGGGTACTGTGTTCTCTATTTGGGGGATGGGTTCAATAAATGCCCAAGCCTTAGCATTATACCATACACCCATGAAACACATCTGCACATGGACTCCTGAATCTAAAATTTAAAAAATATATATTTATTTGGATTAAAAAGTGAATCTGAATAAAAGGACAATTTTATGAAATAATAATACAATTTGTATTGTAATAGTTTAAGTTTGGGAAACTGTGCTGTTGCCCAAAGGGGTTGGGGCAGAAATGATCTCTTCCTTTGTTAACTTCAGCTCTCTGGCCCAGTAACTACTCCACTGTGCGTATGTAGTTTCTTAACCACACAAAGTCCACATGCATATTCCAGTGACCATTTGCACCTGAAACAAAAGGTGTACACAGCGGAGAGCCCCTGCTTTGTCAGCTGTGATTTATGAGCTCCTGTGTTTGGAGGAGCTGCTGCTGCAGGCTGCACTGACTCAGCACCTGAGGGCAGCCTGTCCAAACGTTCTAGCCCCTGAACGCATGTCTATGTACTCCCTGTCCAGACCTGGAACCCCAGGAGTGCTTTGCTTCTCACTACATGCCCATTTCACCCCCAGCATTTCTCTCCTTTCTCCTCCTCAGTTTGGAGAAGATGCCCTCTGCTCCCATCCCAGATAGCCTCCCTATCTCCTCTCAGCCGTGCCAATTTGACCAGCCTCAGGTCTCCCTCTGCACAACTGTGAGGCTTACCTGGGCACCCTATTCACTTCCCTTTTGGCACCTCTTTTCACCACAGCTCCCCTCACTTTGCATGAGTTTGTCCTAGAAGGGTGGGAAAAAAGATGATCAGAAATCAAGACTTCAAGTTGTCCTTGACTGTTACAAATGTGTATGGGTGTGTGTGAATCGGAGCTGTTGTTAAATGAGCAAGTCACTAAACATTCCCAAGTTTAATTCCTTCGAGTGATCCTCTAGACTTCTAGGCTGTCTTGAATCAAATGCCCTTTATCCTATTATCACTCTGATATCTATTCAGGAAACACCTCACTGTACACTTTGAAGAAGGACAGTGCTTATGTCCATCTCTTACCATGGAAGCAGAGGCTCTCAAATCCTTCCTCCACTTTCCCTCCATCCTCCATCCTCCATCCCAGCCAGGAGACAGAAATGTGCTGTAAGTTCAGTCCATCAGCTTCTGTCTTGTATGACCTTGATGACTGGGAAAAGGTGGGAGACCATCTGGCAGTTGGCTCCCTGCCGGTGGAGGAAGGAAGCATAGGCCAGAGAGGTCCTGTGGCCTGACCCACCCAAGCCTGTTTCTCTGACCTCCTGGTGATTCTTTGAACCTCCAATATCCTTTCATTACATTCCCTTTTTTCCTAAGAGACCAAATATTTCTGCCTTTTTTTTTTTTTTGCAACCAAGAGTCTGATTGACATAGCCTTTGCCTGTAAGAATAATAATATCTACCTCACAGGGATTTTGTGATTATTAAATGAGAAAGCATGAGAGCATGCCAACACTCCTAGCTTGGTGCCTGGAATATGCAAACTGGTTTACAGAAAGCTTAGGATGTGTCAGACCCTGAGATAAGCAATACACAACCTTAGCTCATGGAGTCCCCCAATGAATCTATAGAGAAAGTATTACCATTTTGCCAAGCTGGAAACTAACGCAGGGGGAAGTTAGGTAACTGACAAAGGCCATTCTTTTGTAAGACAGGATTGGGCTTTGTTTCCAGGCCTACCCAATATTAAAAATCTTGATCACCTCTCCTCCTTCTTCATTTCTGTGTCTTCCTGCTCAACTCAGCTTTGAGAACTATCAATGTGGGTTTGGAAGTGAAATCAAAAGCAGTCGTAGGGGCTAGAAACCTAGAATGCAGCCTCTCAGGTAAGGTCCTCAGGCACTACCTCTACTAACTCTGATGGTAACACCTCTGATATGTAGAGTAGAATCGTGTTTGCCTCATTCTTACCCTGAGATGTCTCCTGAACATGAGGCCATGAGCTGGGACAAAAGTCAGCCAAGGAGAGCAGCTAGTGTTGCTTTGGGCCTCACAGGCTATGAGCTTCCTGAAAATGTGACTTGGCGTGGAGGCTAGGCACAAATGGAAACAGAGAGTGTGGGTTAACTGGAGAAAGATCCCTGCAATGGTTTTGAAGGTTGTTGGGAAATTTCCGTGGGACAGAGTTGCAGAAGAGGAAGGAGTAGGGGGAGGGGGAGTGAGGAGGAGGGTGGGCTGTGTGAGTTTGCATCCTCTGCTTAGTTCCCGCTGACCAGAACAGAAAACTGGCCACGAGAGGCCTCAGCTCCGTTCTGCAACATCCCTGGAGTCTGCGGAAGCCCCTCCAGCAGCTCCAGGGCCTTGAAAATTCTGGTACTTGTGGCATCTACCTTGGTATCAGCCAGAACTGCAATGAGCTGGCTTACAACCAGCTTTCAAAGGGAGAATTCATAAGCCTAGCCAGCAGGCAACTGAGGGGTGGACCACCTTCAGGCACAATTGGATCCAGGTGCTCAGATAGTGTCTTCAGAACTCTCTTTTTCCCCAGGCTTGGTCTGGCTTTCCTTTGTCGGCTTCTTTCTCAGCAGGATCCGTCATGATGGAAAACACCCCCACCAGCTCCAGGCCAACCCCCTCCAGCTGAACAATCAGAGGGAAAAGAGAGCACCTCTTTTCCAGTAGTTCCCAGAGCAAGTCCTAGGCCTGATTCTTATTGGTCCAACCTGATTGTGTGCACATCCCTGAGCCAGTTGCCATGGTCAGAGGTATAAACTACCCTTTTGGCCATGCCTGTGAAATGGAGAGGGTGGGATGAGGTCAACTCACACCATGAGGACTGAGCCTGGAGCAGAATCCATTACAGTCTTCTGGATTTCTGCACCACTGAAGGAAGAGAAGACTAGCCTTCCCACTCTGCTTCTGCGATCAGCTACCTTGCCCATGCCCAGCTGAACTCTGCTGCAATTTGGAGACAGGGAGAAGGGGCTTTGTTCTGAGGGCAGAAGACCAACATTAGATTTTTGCACGGTGGCCCTTTTGTTTGTTTGTTTCTTCTTCTTCTTCTTCTTCTTCTTCTTCTTCTTCTTCTTCTTCTTCTTCTTCTTCTTCTTCTTCTTCTTCTTCTTCTTCTTCTCTTCTTCTTCTTCCTCTTCTTCTTCTTCTTCCTCTTCTTCTTCTTCTTCTTTCTTCTTCTTCTTCTTCCTCTTCTCCTCCTCCTCCTCTTCTTCTTCTTCCTTTCTTCTTCTTCTTTTTCTTCAGAAACAGGGTGTCACTCTGTCACCCAGGTTGGAGTACAGTGGCACTATCCTAGCTCACTGCAAGCTCTGACTCCTGGGCTCAGGAGATCCTCCTGCCTCAGTCTCCGAAGTAGCTGGGACTACAGGCACATGTCACCACACTGGCTAATTTATTTTATTTTTTGTAGAGGTAGGGGTCTTGTTGTGTTACTCAGGGTGGCCTCAAACTCCTGGTCTTGAGTGATCCTCCTGCCTTGGCCTCCCAGAGTGTTGAGATTACAGACATGAGCCACCACACACGGCCTCATCTGTGCTCTTGAAGCCTCCCGGTGTTTCCTGAGAGCTGTCTTTTTTTCTCTTTGTATCTCTTTCCCTCTTCCCTGGTGACGTGCACATAGTAGATGCTCAGCAAGAGCTGTTGAATTTGATGATAGAATATTGAGGGAAGAAAGGAAAAGAAGACAGTGTCTGCCAACTGACTTTCAGCCCCTTTTATTCAAAGCAGAGTGGACACTCCTCTTTCAGTCCTGGAACACTGCATTTTCTTGGACAAGACCATTGTCATGGCCCCTTCCCCACCTGACCCACGTTGCTGGGTGCTGTGGAGTGGAGAGAAGCAGAGGACGGGGGAGGCTGGGTGCTGCTCTGTTCCGTGGAACGCAGAGCAGAGATGATGTGCCCCTCAGGGACGGAGTCAGGTCCCAGGCCCTTCCGCTCCATCTTCCTCAGCAGAGCTCTGGGCTATAGAGCTGGCTGCAAATGTTAATTGGGCACAACTTAACTTCATTTGACTGCATTAGCTCTGCTGTAATAATCCATAAAGCACAGAATGTGCATCAGATGCAAGTTGATTGTGTAAAAGCTATATCTTAATCATATTAATTGAAGTTTCAGATTAGATGGGTTTCCTTTTCAAGCCACATTTTATTACATTTCATTAGCATCATGTTAATAGCAGCACAATAGCAGAAACTCTGGACATTAGAACAATTTTCTGATGGTTCAACTAAATTTTCTGTGCCGTTAACTCGAATGCTAGCCTGGTTAGGCGGGATTTCTCTGCTGGTAGAAATATGCCTTCTTCCTTTGTGTCTGCAAATTCCTGCAGCATCAGACAAACCCAGCCTACAATATTTAGACTGATTTTTACCAACTTAATAGTTTGGCCTCCAGTGAATCTTGGTCTAGAGATGTAGCTGGTCCTGAGCCCAAAACTGTGCCTTCCCCCTGTCTTTCTTCCTCTTTTCCTCACCTACTCCAAAGTGGATTTGAAGTGGCTTATTAAAATATAGATAGCAAGATAAAAGTAAATATGATCAGTGTGTGCAGGGATGCTTGGATTCAAATCCTGACTCCATCACCTCCTCATTGTGTGGCTTCATACAAGTGACTTCTCCAAGCCATGTTTCCTGCCTGTGAGATGAGGAGTCCCCTCCCCGTAGGGCTGCTGAGGGCTGAATGTGAAGTTCTTGGGTGGCCTGTGTGGCTGGGATGAGTGGGCATGGGGTGGGAGCCGGGGGTCAGGGGTCAGCATGGGCAGGTCCTTCAGGTCCATGGTAGGACTTGGCTGTTACCCCCAGGGAGATGGAGGCCACTGGGGGCTTGTGGAGTGAGAGGGTGCCCCGGGCTGACATAGGCTGTGAAAAATAACTCTGGTTGTTTTGTGGAGGGTGAACTGCAGCGGGGCAAGGGGAAAGCAGGGCCAGGGAGGAGGCTGTTGTGATCATGGTGGTAGCTTGGACTAGTGAGGGGGAGGATGGTCAAGGCAGGGTCCATTTTGAAGGGGAAGCCAACAGTGTCTATGAGAGACGGGGTGGGGACGTTGGTGAAAGAGAGGGGCTGAGGGTGGGTGAAGGGATAGGGGAGTGAAAGTGCTCACTCTGTCAGCCTGTGTCATGCTAGAGCCAGTGCTCCCACCCCTCAGTGCCCTGTCTGCTTCCTTACTGAGCAGGCTTGTAGGGCTTCATTGCTTCCCCTTCTGAGGAGCATGGCCCAAGTCACACCGGCTCCCAGGCACTCTCGAATGCGCCGGGCGAGCCAAGCAGACTGATATCTTGGGTTTTCGTATTGGTTTTCCTGTTCTTCAAGGGGCTCCCACATAGGTTACCACTCTCTTCTCTCTACACCAGCCCCATGCATTAGACAGAGCATAAGTTATCTCCTTCCCAGGTAAGCAAAACCACGAGATAAACCACACGTTCAAGGGCAGATGCTCAGTCGTTAGTCTTTGCTACATGAAGTGAGTGAAATAACAACACGGACACTTTGGGACCTAGTGAGGACAGGTGTTAGAGAAATCCAAGATTTTCTGATGGTAGGAAAAGGTTTTTGTAAAATCTGGTAATAAAGTTTAAAATGTTTAAATCAATATAATTCTTATCTCCCCAATGATCTCTTGATTTGGGGCTAAAATTTTCTAGATAAGAAACAGGGCTGGCCGTGGTGGCTCACATCTGTAATCCCAGCACTTTGGAAGGCCTAGGCAGGAGGGTCACCTGAGGTTAGGAGTTCGAGACCAGCCTCTGGTCAACATGGTAAAACCCCATCTCTACTAAAAAATACAAAAATTAGCCAGGCGTGGTGGCACACAACTGTAATCCCAGCTACTCGGGAGACTAAGGCAGGATAATCGCTTGACCCTGGGAGGTGGAGGTTGCAATGAGCTGAGATTGTGCCACTGCACTCAAGCCTGGGTAACAGAGTGAGACTCTATCTCAAAAAACAAAAACAAAAACAAACAAACAACAACAACGAAAAGCCAGAATGAAACCAGTGTTTGATCTCCTCCTGTAAAACTACATGTGATACGCACCTTTTCTCAGTTAATCCCAGTAAGGACCCAAGAATACATACTATTATCCCCATTTTACAGCTAAGTTACTGAGGCAATTTTGGCCCCGAAATAGTTTATATTCTATAACAAGCCAGGTGCGGTGTCTCATGTCTCTAATCCCAGCTACTTGGGAGACTCAAGTGGGAGGATTGTTTGAGGTCAAGAGTTCGAGACCAGCCTAAGCAACATAGTGAGACTTGCATCTCTAAAATGAAAATGATAAGAATAATTTATATTCTATAAGATGCCTGAGTTTCCACTCAGTCATAAAAGGTGAGCTGAAATCTCAGTTAGATAGGAGGAATAAGTGCAGGAGATCGTTCATACAACATGGTGATCACAGTTAATGGTAATGTGTTACATACTTCAGAATTACCAAGAGAGTAGATTTAAGTGTTCTCACCACAGAAAGAAGTATGTGAGGTAATACATATGTTATTAGCTTTATTTAGCCTTTCCACAGTATGTGTATGTGTGTGTATATATATAAACATCGTGTTGTAGACCATAAATATATACAATTTTTATCAATTAAAAAAATAGCTGAGCCAGCCAGCAGTTTGTGTACCATGTGTCATCTACTCAGAAGGGATTTTCATATCAAGGCTTGTGTCTCCAGAAGCCTTCTAATGCGAGCCCTAAATACAAACATCAAAACACATCACCCTCCGGGGAGGCTGCCGCCATCTCAGGATTGCATGTGTAAATGACTCAAGAAAAAAAACACAGCTCTTGGATTTACAATCGAAAGCTGAAGGTTTCGTCTTGGGGAGAGCTGTGCGTCAGGCAACCAGCCAGGGGTGGGAGAGGCGGCCAGTGCTCCCCACGCGGGATCCCAGGAGGACCCTTCTAGGAGCAGTGGGCTGAGCCTGCGGTGGGAATCTGTCCCAATTGTCAAGTCCCTGTGTCATCGTTTGTCAACCAAACAGGCTATGTCACAGCAGATTATGCTGGTGTCGAAGAGAACATTCTGGCTGAAAACACGTCTGAGGCTGAAAAATGTTCCTCCTCAAAAAATTGAGTGGTTTTAAGGGAAAAAATGTTCCAGAGGGTTGGTAGGCAGGTGTGGATGTAAATTTTCCCTCCTTTAACGACACAGGGGCAGGTGTCCTTCAGTATTTTGTGTGTCGGCCCCAAGACAGGGACATGCGCTGTGACTCCGTACCAGCAGGACAGCCTGGACATCTCAGTGAGGGGACAGTGGGCCAAAGACAGAAAGGTTAAAGCAGAGATGGAAACTGGTTTGCTGGATCAAATGGGGCCCACAGGTGTATGGGTGGTTGTTTGGTTGTTTGGCTGGCTTAGTGTTCAAAAATTATTTACAGCCAGGCACAGTGGCTCACACCTATAATCCCAGCACTTTGGGGGGCCGATCACGAAGTCAGGAGTTTGAGACCGGCCTGGCCAATATGGTGAAACCCCGCCTCTACTAAAAATACAAAAATTAGCCAGGTGTGGTAACGCGTGCCTGTAGTCCCAGATACTTGGGAGGCTGAGGCAGAAGAATCATTTGATCCCAGGAGGCGGAGGTTGCAGTGAGCCGAGATCACGCCACTGCACTCCAGCCTGGGCCTCAGAGTGAGGGTCCATCTCCAAAAAAAAAAAAATTATTATTATTATCCAGGTATGGTGGCACATGTCTGTAGTCCCAGCTACTCACGAGGCTGACATAGGAGGATCACTTGAGCCCAGGAGGTTGAGGCTGCAGTGAGCTATGATTGTACCACTGCACTCCAGCCTGGGTGATATACCAAGACCCTGTCTAAAAAAGAAAAAAAAATATTTAAATTGTGCACTCAAAAGAAACTGAAAAGAAAAATCCAGATGTTTGCCTTTTCTGGAAAGACTGGAGGATCTGGCAATTTGGGGCTGGTGTTCTAACATGAGGCATTGTCTGCACTGAGCAGTAGCTGCCCACTTTTGGGCAGAGCATGAACTCGCCAGTTTGTTACGCTCTTCACTCATTTAAATTACCTGCCTAGCCCATTTGGCGCTTAAATTTGCAGTCCTGATTCAATGCAGGGTCCCAATCACAAGTTCGTTAAAGGGGCCCCCATCCAGCTCCCCATCCGCTCCCCAGTGACTCCTTCCCCCTCCTCTTTTCCTTCCTGTCTGCTCCTGAGTGAGATAGGACTTAGGGTCAACATTTAAAGAGAAGCCGTTTCCTATTTGTTTTGAAGCTGCAGAATCCCCATTCTCCTCCCCCAGTTCCTTCTACCTATTTTGTTCTTCTAATAGCGGGAAAGGGCAGAATTTTAATAATATCTCTCTAGAATGACTTTCTTCATGCATGAATTATTTCTCATTTACAAAGGTTTGGGAGATACTTTTTCCCCCTCCCTTCTTGCTGTGGAAAATGATGACTGTTTTCATTGCTAGACACATTACTGTCAGAGCTCATGAAGCTGACGGCCGAGCCCATTTTCCCATGGAGTCCCTCTCCAGCAGCTGGCTCAGCTCATCACATCCCTGAAATAGCTCTTGTCAAGGTATGAACAAGTATCACAGTCACGGTGACTAATGGCAGGTGACTGCTGTCATGACTCTGCTGGCCTAGAACAAAGGCAGATGAAAGGCCATGGACAGCCAGCTCCCCTCCATTCATCCTTACAACAACCTCTTGGAAGTAGGCATTATTGTCATTATTCTTACAGATGAAGGAGCAGAAGCACAGAGAAGTTGAGCCACTTTCCCAAGGTCACCCAGCGAGTAAATGGAAGAACTAGTACTTAAACTTGGCTCTGCCAACTCCCAACACTTTAACCACCACACTGGGCTGCCATACCTGGGCTTTTTTTTGAGGGGGGTGGGGTGGGATTTCACCCAGAAGCCTGGTTCACATTGAAGAATACAAGATGATTTCTGAGATGTGTGGGTAGCAATGGCGATCCTTCAAAGACTCTACATACCCTTGAAAGCATTCATGGTTTCGAGTCACTGCAACCTTTATACTGTGCTCAGCAGTTTGCAAACTCCATTCCATTTAATCCTCATAACACTCCTTTGAAGTAAGCGTTGTTCATTCCCACTTTACAGATGCAAAAACTGAGGCTTACAGAGTTTTGTGACTTGCCAAAGATTGAATAGCCCAGAAAGGAAATTGTAACTGAGTCCTGTCTGGCTCCAAGGACCACTGTCCTTTGATATCCTCTTTACTGAGGCCTCCTGGGGGCAATGGTCCCAAAGTGCAGAACTCACATCACTGGGGGATGTGAAATCATTTTAGGAAATCATGGACAAACTCTTTTCGTTTAATGTCATGCCCTTATTATAATCTTGGCTAGAAAAAAATACTTTATGACTATTATTGCTTAGGCCAAGGCCAAATTTTACTTAAATAAAACATGTGTGTTGATTTTTTAAAGTTATGTAGATAACTGGAGAGGATACTCATAGATGGCAAGAATTGTCACGATGGTTTGTGGGGCTGGGCATGGTGGCTCACATCTGTAATCCCAGCACTTTGGGAGGCCAAGGCGGGTGGATCATTTGAGGTCAGGAGTTTGAGACCAGCCTGGCTAGCATGGTGAAACTCCATCTCTACTAAAAACACAAAAAAAGTAGCCAGGCGTGGTGGCACGCACCTGTAATCCCAGCTACTCGGGAGGCTGAGGCAGGAGAATTGCTTGAACCCAGGAGGCGGAGGTTGCAGTGAGCCGAGATCGCGCCACTGCACTCCAGCCTGGGCAACGGAGTGAGACTCCATTTCAACAAATAAATAAATAAATAAGACAGTTTGTGATGACTAACTTTGGGGAGCACAGAGCACGAAGGAGTCACCGATGACATTAGAGAGTAGGATTTCATGTACTCAGTACCCACACCAGGGAGGCGTGCAGGACAGCCTGGTGGTTGTCTCCCAGTCACTGCACAATTACCTCTTCTCTGAGAACTGCCGCTCCCCGCCCCCAACTTCTTCTGTGCAGTGAGAAGGGCCATGTTCGTGTGGTGCGGCCATGCCCCACAGGCCAGTTGGTTGCCAGTCCATGGTGGCCAATGCCAGCTGGGTTGATTAGTCACTTCCTGTTAGAGACAGACGGAGCTAAGAGATGGAAGAGAGGCCACGTGAACCGGGAACTGGTGGTCCGTCCTGCTACCTTGTAGATAGGAAAGTAGGGCTGGCTGCTCTGTTGGGTGGAAAAAGAATGAAGTAGGCGTGCTGAAGACTCAGAGATGAAGTGCAAACTGGGCCCTGAGCTCCCTACAGCCCTTCACTCGTTGGCTTCTTGCCAGAGCCAACTCCAGAGAGGATCTGTTTGGAGCATAACCTACACAAAGGCAATCTGATTGAGCTTCACTGCTGAACACTCGCCCTTGCCAGCTCACCCCGGCACCTTCCTGCCCTCTCCTGGGTGCTGTTGTAATGCTTGATCACCAGGAGAGACAGCTGGGGCACACGCAGACGCTCCCGCTTCCAGCATGGGCCCTTCCAGATGAGACAGGTCTGCTCCGCTTCTCAAAATGGCAATTAGGGCCGGTTGGTGCAGCCCCATCTGGAGGCCCGGAAATCTCAACGTGCACCTGCCAATGCTGTCAGGAGATGTGAAGGCCTCTGCACCTCTGGGGTGTGAGGAAGGGTAGTCTCTGTAATGAGAGGAGGCAGGCTATTACAGTGCTTATAACTGCATTTCTGTGCATGGAGTGCCATTCTGCAGCTGAGCCCTGGATTGCTTTGTGCTTGCTCTCTGTGGTCCTCATGCTTGGAAAGGCATTTCTAAGAGGGGTACAGGATACCCTCCCCCCCGAGGAACGTGGAGCCCAGTATTAAAGTATTTCTAGAGCATAGGCTCTTTCTTGCCTAAAAGATACTGTGCATGACCCTGCGGGGCTTTCAGTTGGTCCAATTCTTTTTTTTTTTTGTAATCAAATTAATTTTATTTTTAGTTTTTATTTAATTTCATTTTTTTTGCAAACTCTTCTTTTAGGTTCGGGGGTACACATGCAGGTTTGTTACATGGGTAAATTGTGTGTCCTGGGGGGGTTTGGGGTGTAGATTATTTCATCATCCAAGTAATGAGCATAGTACCTGAAAAGTCGTTTTTCGACCCTCACCCTCCTCCACCCTCCACCCTCAAGTCGGTCCCAGTGTCTATTGTTCCCCTCTTTGCTCATTGTTTAGTCCCCACTTACAAGTGAGAACATGCAGTGTTTGGTTTTCTGTTCCTGCATGAATTTGCTTAGTATAATGACCTCTAACTCCATCCATGTTGCTGCAAAGGACATAATTTTGAGAGGTGAAGCCAGCTGGGCTTCCGGGTCAGGTGGGGACTTGGAGAACTTTTCTGTCTAGCTAAAGGATTGTAAACACACCAATCAGTGCTCTGTGTCTAGCTAAAGGTTTGTAAATGCACCAATCAGCACTCTGTAAAAACGCACCAATCAGCGCTCTGTGTCTAGCTAAAGGTTTGTAAATGCACCAATCAGCACTCTGTAAAAACGCACCAATCAATGCTCTGCATCTAGCTAAAGGTTTGTAAACGCACCAATCAGCACTCTGTAAAAACGGACTAATCACTGCTCTGTAAAATGGACCAATCACCAGGATGTGGGTGGGGCCGAATCATGCAATAAAAGCTGGCCACCTGAGCCAAAGCGGCAACCCACTTTGGTCCACTTCCAAGGTGTGGAATGTTTGTACTTTTGCTCTTCACAATGAATCTTTCTGCTGCTCACTCTTTGGGTCTGCACTGCTTTTATGAGCTGTAATACTCACTGCGAAGGTCTGCAGCTTCACTCCTGAAGCCAGCGACACCACCAACCCACAGGGAGGAACAAACAACTCTGGACCCGCCACCTTTAAGAGCTTTAACACTCACTGCAAAGGTCTGCAGCTTCACTCCTGAAGTAAGCGAGACCACGAACCCACCGGAAGGAAGAAACTCTGGACACATCTGAACATTTGAAGGAACAAACTCCAGACATACAATCTTTAACTGTAACACTCACCGCAAGGGTCTGTGGCATCATTCTTGAAGTCAGCGAGACCAAGAACCCACTGGAAGGAACCAATTCTGGACACAATTTTCCTCTTATTTTTAAATTCTTTTTATGCAAACCCTCTATTCTGGTCCAGGTGCTCCCCTTTGGGGCAGAGGATGAACTTGCCAGTTTGTTATGCTCTTCACTAATTTAAATTACCTGTCTAGCCCAGTTGGCACTCAAATTTGCAGTCCTGATTCAATACAGGGTCCCAATCACAAGTTCCACAGCATGCCCTGTTGTTGACGCATCCATGGATGTGTCAGCCTAGGCCTCCTTCTCTCCACCACCATGGAAGTAGATCCTCACAGCCTCTTAGGCATCCCCCTTCCCATAACATAGCTGATGGGACCATAATACCTTCCAGCCTAACTCTGCTACTAACTAGTGTCTCTGTGAGATGCTGCAGATCCACTGTGCAGTTAGGCTGGAAGGTATTATGAACTGCAGGGCTGTGGGGGTGAGTTGGGGATATCCAGGCTGGACTATGTGTGTGTGTGGAACAAATGCAGCTGGTCTGAGAGAAGTTGAGCTTGGAGAGAGCAAGAGGTAAGAGGCCATCCGCCCAGGATCTTGCTAACATTCCAGGTCCTTGGTCCTGTCTGTCTTGACAACCTGCCAAGTTTCCTATGTCTTGCATTGCAGGAGATAAATTTATAAGAAGCCTAATTTTTAATTGAGTTATAATTTATATACAATAATTGCTCCAATCTTGAGTTGCTTCTGGACGCTGGATGATGCCTGATGAACCACTTCCCCACGTGATGACTGTGCCACAGTCCTCCATTTGTTTACTATGCTGCTCCCAAGCCAGTGGTGCTCTCCTTCCTGTTCTTTGCTTTGTTGAGCCCTTCCCATCCACCATGAAGCCCTCACTGACTTCCCCAGCCCAGAAAGGTCTGCCTGCACTTTGAGCACAGGACTTGACTCTACAGGGAGGCAGTGCAGTTAAACAGGCTGAAGTGAGCTTCTCCTCATGCGAGGTCCGGACTGGGTGCTGGAGACACAAAGACAGACACAAAGACAGACACAGTCCGGCCTCCAGGGGTTCGCCACAGAGGAGACAGCCATGTAAAAACCCCAACCACAATGCAGTGAGACAGGTGCTAAATGAGAGCCTTTCCTGCTGTTAGGGGAGGCCAGGGTCCTCAAGGAAAGATGGAAAACAAGGTAACGTTGGAACTTAAGGATGGATGAAACTTTGCCAGGTACAAAGAGACAAAGAGACCCTGCATGTTTGCTTGCTAAAGAAAAATATATTCAGAAGCTTGTTAAAATGGTAAGGAAGACTTTATTTAAGATTGTTGCAATAGAAGTATCGTAATAGGAGAGAGAGATTGAGCTCAGCTCCAAATACAGCAAGGATAAGTGGGGATTTACAGCCAAGCAGTAGGGTGAGGGGGTCAGGGGATAGAAAATTACTGAGGAGGGACATCAAAGGCAAGGAACTTCTTGCTAAACTGACTGTCTTAGCTTGGACTGCCATAACAAATGCCATAGACTGGATGGCTGAAACAACAGACATTGATTTTCTCACAGTTCCAGAGGCTGGAAGTCTGACATCAGGAAGCCAGCAAGGGCAGGTTCTGGTAAGGGCTTCTCTCCTGGCTTGTGGCTGTCTTGCTGTGTCCTCATATGGCCTTTCTTGTCCATATGAAGAGAGAGAGAGTGAGAGAGAGAGAGAGAGAGAGTGAGAGAGAGAGAGAGAGAGAGAGAGAGAGATCTCTTGTCAGTTCTTTTTCTTTTTTAAGGCCGTTAATTACATCACGAGGGCTATATCCTCACGACCTAATCTAACCTTAATTACCTCCCAAAAGGCCCTTCTCCAAATATCATCACACTGGGGGTGAGGGCTGACACATGTAACTTGGGGCAAGAGGACACAAGCATTTGATCTCTAACACTGGCCTGATAGGATTCTTGCTAAAGACAGGCCAAGGATTTAGACACCAAGGGTGAGGGATGAAGAACTTGATCAGATGTCAAGCGTGATCAGTAGGGGGACGACTTAGCAGGACTCTTTGCTAAGAATGGGTGGGGCAGGTACAAGACAAGACCTTGGGGTTGAGGGCTGGTTGAAAAGAGAGCTCAGAGGAGCCTGATCAGTGTTTGTTCAAGGAGAGAATCTTTGTTGTAGTCCAGATTCTTACTATTATGTGCAAAAAGGACTTCTCTCCTTCACTGTCCCTGGCCTGGAGTGAAAGAACTGTCCACTCTCTGATACAGGAGGCATCTCTCTTTTACTCACTCACCTTCTTCTCTCCCTGACTTCGCCCTCTTTCTTTTCCCAACTACTTTAATTTCCGGAGATCTAGAAGTCTCAGCATCTGGAAATCTCACACACACACACATACACACACACACACACACACAAACACACACACACACAAAATGATAATGAGACCATACTGGAAGTCTCTTCAGATGTAAAGAAGGAAGGGGTAAAAACCCCACTTCCCAGTTGGGCGCAGTGGCTCACATCTGTAATCACAGCGCTTTGAAGGTTGAGGTGGGAGGCTTGCTTGAAGCCAGGAGTTCGAGACCAGCTTGTTAAAATGGTAAGGAACATAGTGTGATCCCATTTCTAAAAAAAAAAAAAAAAAAAAAAAAAAAAAAAAACTAGCCAGGTGTGATGGTATATACCTGTAGTCCCAACTACTCAGGAGGTTGAGGTGGGGGGATCGCTTGAGTCCAGGAATTCAAGGCTGAAGTGAGCCGTGATTGTGCCATTGCACTCCAGCCTGGGTGACAGAGTAAGACCTTGTCCCTAAAAAAGCAAAACCAAAACAAATAATGCGAAAATACCTACTTTATGTAAAGTCATGTTATTAGGGAGCTAGGAACCAAAGCGAGCAGGACTGGAGGCAGTCAGTCCTCTCAGACAGACAAAGGCTGGTGAATAAAGAAACCCACATGCAGTAAGAGCAAGGATCAAGGTGCTGGCCCAGCATCAGGATCAAGGTGCGGAGGCAATGCTGGCTGCTCCCATTTTGCAGAAAAGAGGGAGCAGGCTTGACTTATTTATGACACACTGTAAACTCTGCTCCATTCGTGCCACAGTCTTCTCCATGGTCCCTCCGTGCTTTGCATAGAGTTGTGTCTCAGAAAATATTTGTTGTACAAATGAAATTTAATTAGAAGCCACTGCTTAGTTACCTTTATCACAAATGTTAGCATGATTTATCACCAGGTTGCCCAGTAAATTGAGTGACAGGCCAAAGATATATTGTAAGGTGTTAAAAAGAATTCTGAATAGCCTGCCCTTCTTTTCAAATACCTTTTTTTCTATTCTTTTTCTTTGACAAGAGTTTTGAAATCATGAGTGCAAGTAGGTGATATATGAGTGCCCTTGATTTCTTATAGCTATGAAAAATATAAGGAGCTTGGCTTTAAAAAATCCCATCTTTACTGATCATCTACCCTTGGTGGATATGTGAATTGGTATAGCCTTCAAGGAGGAGAATTTGACAATATCTATGAAATTGTAAGCGCACCTTTCCTTCTATCCAGCAGTCCTCATTCGAGGCCGTCTGTTCTGGTTATCTATGACTGTGTAACAAACCACTTCAAAACTTAGTATCTTAAAATAACAATTTATTATTATGGCTCACACTTCTGCATGTAGACCTGGAGATTCTTGCTTAGGGACTCACATGGTCACAGCCAGATGAAGGCTCGGCTGGTCCGGCCATCTAAGGTGGCTCACTTCCAAGTCTGGCAGTGGGTGCTGGCTGGCAGCTGGGCTCAGTGGGGGCTACTGGCTGGGCCACCCTTCCATGGCCTCTTCAGTTTTCATAGCTTGGTGGTTGGGTTCCTAAGTGCGGTATCTCCTCAAAAAGTGTTCCAAAAAGGAAAAACTGGAAGATTCCAGGTCAGCTAAGGGCAATTCCCAGAACCAGTCGATTGTCCCGTCTGCCCTGTTCTGTTGGTCACAGCCATCAGTGGATTCCACCAAGGCCTCTAGGCCCCTACTCCCATTATATGGTCTTTGAAATGTTTTCCCAATTTCCTTCTCCTTGTTTTATTAAGTATCAGAACTCTTTTATATACTGGGTTATTTTAGTTAGGGTTCAACAACTGTAAGCAAGAGAAACTGGTCACAAGCAGTAGAGAATTCACTGGATGGGGAGTGGTTGAGGAATGGAGCCTGGAAAAGGCAGAAGTGCTCAGCACTCTCTTGTGGGTTCTGCTGTGGGAATGAATGAACTCAATGATTTATTTTGTCCTTGTTTCTCTGCTCAGGGGTCAGTATCCCAGGAAAGAGACCCTGGCTGGCTGAGCTTAGGTCAGGAGCCAAACTCCTGTCTGCGGGGAGCAGAGGAAAGATCTGGCAGAAGGAGCTTCTGGGGACTCTGATAGCTTCCCCAGCGGGAGAGCAGGTGCCCAGATTTCCATCCCAGCATGATTTAACCCCGTGGGGGAGGGGCAGTCTCCTGAAAGGGACAATGGACGCTGCATGTCCCCTCCACTGAGTTTTTTTGTTTTTGTTTTTGTTTTTGGTTTTTTTTTGGAGACAGAGTCTCGCTCTGTCACCAAGCTGGAGTGCAGTGGCATGATCTCGGCTCACTACAACCTCCGCCTTCCGGGTTCCAACGATTCTCCTGCCTCAGCCTCCTGAGTAGCTGGGATTACAGGCACGTGCCACCACACCCAGCTAATTTTTGTATTTTTAGTAGAGACAGTGTTTCGCCATGTTGGCCAGGATGGTCTTGAACTCCTGACCCCAGATGATCCACTCACCTTGGCCTCCCAAAGTGCTGGAATTAACAGGCATGAGCCACCACGTCCGGCCTAATTTTTGTATTTTTAGTAGAGATGGGGCTTTACCATGTTGGCCAGGATGGTCTCGATCTCTTGACCTCGTGATCCACCCACCTCAGCCTCCCAAAGTGCTGGGATTTCAGGTGTGAGCCACCATGTCGGGCCTCTTCCACTGAGTTTCTAACACCTCCTCCCTATCTCACACTCTGCATCCACAACCAAGTATGAACCCCAGGTAAGGTCCAAGAAGGATGGACTTCGGGGCCAGACACACCTGGCTGGGTTAGCTATCGGTTGGGTGACTGTGGGCACTCACAATCTCTCCCAGACTCAGTTTCCTTATCTGTAAAATGAAGGTAATAATTCCTAATTTTCAGAGTTCTTGTGAGGATTTGAGATTACCTATATAAAGAGTTTTGTACAGTCTATGGCCCACAGTAGACCTTTAGTAAGTGGCAGCCATTGCATCATTCTTCATGATGGAGAAACAACAGACCTGTCCCTCCCTATCCCTCCCTACCACCACCATAGAACCTCTGTCTTCTTCCTCTCCAATGGGTGTTGAACCTACTAGCTATCCAAAGGTGAGAGGCATGCTTAGGTCCAATCATTGTGTGAATTTGGTGTGAATTACAGATCCCCAGCACATACCAGAGAGGAAACGTGGCTGACAGAGAGGCCCCTGCCCACCCCAGCATGGTGGTAATTGCCTGCACCCAGAGTTTTGGAAGAAAGGGCTCAAGCCTCACATCCATGTGACAATGTGTTTGAGCACAGATGCTCTCATAGCTATTGCTACTTCACAGGATGTCAGGCACACTGTGTGCTATTTTAAGCTGAGATTCCACATGCAGTAACAATCCTCCTCTTTCATTCCGGGGCTTTTCTGTTCTTGAAACAGACCTTTGTTCTTCTTTTTTTTTAAATGTTTTCTGTCTCACTAAGAGTAATAGGATGAGTTCATGACTCCTGCCATCCTCAGAATTGCCTGGCTTTGAGTGTGTATTCAAAATCCTTTAATGGTGCTTTAATGTCAGGGGCAAAACGAAGCCTTTCCCAAGTCTTTATAACATGCTTGAAAGGACAAAGTGGTCTTGTCATAGGCTGCTGTGATGCTCTCAGAGCTTTGCCACAATTCTTGTAACAGATGGACTCTTCATTAGGTGCACATTGCACCCACCTGGGGATTCACTACCTTTGGATGAGAGAGAGATTTGATTTTAGCTGCAGATAATTTCTCTTTCTTATCTTGACCCATAGATCAAAGATTATCAACAAATTCAGATTCCTTTGTCTTTTTTCTTCTGCCGAATTGGAATGCTAGAATAGGTTGGATGAGTGACCAGCTTTTTTTTTTCAAACAGCTTGACTTGAACTCACATAACAAGACCAAGGTTTTGAGTGTTTGGTGGGGGCTGCAATGTGAGGTTTTTGGCATTTATGTCCATGAAATTCACTGATGACAACAGATTATGTTTCTATTGCTTTATTAGCATTACTATCTTGCAAAGCTCAGCTTAGGGCCCAGATGACCCCCATGTTGTAAATCCTGCTTAAAGCACTCCCTGTCCTGTCCTGACTTTCCTCTTACCTCTCTGACCATGATGTCTGTCTTTTTACAGGTTCATCTTTGCCATTAAATATTGAGGAAGCTCTGGCCGGGCACAGTGGCTCATGCCTGTAATCCCAGCACTTTGGGAGGATGAGGCGGGCGTATCACCTGAGGGTGGGAATTCGAGGCCACCCTGACCAACATGGAGAAACCCCGTCTCTACTAAAAATACAGAATTAGCCAGGTGTGGTGGCACATGCCTGTAATCCCAGCTATTAGGGAGGCTGAGGCAGGAGAATCGCTTGAACCCGGGAGACGGAGGTTGCGGTGAGCCAGAGATTGTGCCATTGCACTCTGGCCTGAGTAACAAGAGCGAAACTCCATCTCAAAAAAAAAAAAAAAAAATTAAGGAAGCTCAAGTCTTAGTCCTAGTTCCTATTAGCATTCCTTTAATTACCCCCTAAAGGCAGATGCCTCATAAGCCTCAAGTTAGAAAAGCCTAAGCCTGTCTTTTGAATCCCAAACCCATACACCTAGCTGCCTTCCTGACATTCTTTAAGGATATATCAAAGTTTCCTCAAACTCAGCCTGATAAAAGCTGAACTTAAGAGTTTCCCTCAGAAGCCATCATCTTTCAGGATATTCCCATCTCTGTGAATGGAAGCCTCATCCACCAAGCTGCAAATGACACACTGAGGTATCTCCCCTGACATGTCTTTCTCCCATCCTCTTCCATCCAGTCCATCACAAATCGCGGCAACTGTATCTCTTGAGTGTGTCTCATTGGCCCACTTGTTTGAGCCTTCCCATCAGCACCCTGGCCCACATCACCTTTCTGGCTGAGTCTCCTGGTCTACTTTGTTCATGGCTCCCATCTGTTTCCCATGATGTAAGCTTTCTGAAACTTACATCTTATGATGTTACCCTCTGCCTAAAATCCTTGAGGGTTTTCCAATTGATTTTAAAATAAGAACCCAAATCTTTCACATGTCCACAAGGCCATTCACAGTGTGACCCCTCCTGCCTCTCTGGCTGCACCTCCCATCACTTTCCCTTCGCCTGTGTCTGTTTCTGTGGCCTCATGAAAAGGCTTTTGCTCTGCTCTCTCCACAACTTCCTTTTTTTTTTTTTAGACAGGACCTCACTCTGTCACCCAGGCTAGAGTGCAATGGCTCAATCACAGCTCACCGCAGCCTCCACCTCCTGAGCCCATGCAACCCTCCTACTTCAGCCTCTCAAGTAGCCGGAACCACAGGCGTGTGCCATCGTGCCTGGTTAATTATTCTTACTTTTTGTAGAGACAGAGCCTCCCCATGTTGCCCAAGCTAGTCTCAAGCCCCTAGGCTCAAACAAGCCTCCCACCTCAGCCTCCTGAAGTGTTGAGATTACAGGTGTGAGCTGTGGTGTGCAGCCCACCATTTCCTTTTCTAAGATAGTGTTTACTTTCATTCAGGTCTCTGCTCAATGATCACTTCCTCAAGGCAGGCTTTCTCTTACCTCCTGGACAGGCCACATCCTCTCGTAAATGCTCTCGGCATTATGTATCTCTCGATCACAGTACTTCTCGTGGTAGAATTGTGGGATTCTTTGATTATATGGCTGTATTTCATGACAGTGGGGACTGCATCTCTTTTTTTCCTCACGTTGCAGCACCTAGCACAGTGACCATATACATAGTAGGTGCTCAATAGGTATTTTTAAATGCATAAATAATAGATGAAAGTCTAGAAGTCCAGAAGTCATGCCATTCAAGTATTGAACAAGATAAACCTCCACAAGACCTCGGATTTTGCATAGAAACAAATGAAAAGGGGACAAGTTACTCAGAAAGTCTGATTTGAAGAGGGGCACTGAGGTCTACTGAGGTCTGTGCTCTTTATCATGAATGTCTTTGCAACACCTACTGTGTCAGTCTACTGCCCAATGGGGTTCCTTCAATTGCACAATCTGGGTCTGTGATAGGAAGGAAAGTTCTACCAGGGCATAGAGTTCTGTCTGAGGATTGCTCTGTTAGTTGTTAAATGCTTAGTTCTATACACAGTCCCATTCCTGTGCTCACCGAATTCAAGGAACTTGTAGTCTAGTGGGAGGGCCAAGTTTACCAGGCATGAACAGCATGGATTGCAGCATGAGGCTAGAGAACTAGGTTTATAGTCAGCTCTTCCAGTTTCTATAAAAGATGAGGGACCTCTAATACATTTCTTAACCCCTTTGAGCCTAAGTTTCTTCAGCTGTAAAGTAAGGATGCTAAAACCACAATTATCAAGGTGGTTTTGAGGATTCAATAGATAATACCAGTGGGTGCTGTGCACAGTGAGCAAAGGCTGGTTCTTGTTCCAAGCACTGAGCATGGCTGCATGGGCTCTGAGAAGGCAGAAAGGAGAAAGCAGGGAGGAGATGGAGCCACAGGAGAGCTTGGGTTGGGCCTTGGAATGTGGGAGGGTATGGGATGGGGAAGAGGAGGAATGGAAGGAAGAGGAGAGAGGCAGGTAGGTTTCAGTGAGAAAAAGGCACAAAGGCAGGAAGAGAGCTTGCCTTGAGCCAGAGGAGAAAAACATCAAAGGCCCAGTGAAGAGACCTGCAGAGGCTTAGATTTCATGCCATGTGTGAGCCTTGGGTAGGGTTGTTAGCCTGGGAGGAACTTATTTCTTACAACATATCTCTTTATTAAACATCAAGAGACAAATCAAACTGACCTTGTGGAGCTCAACCTTGGGTTTGTAAAGTGTTTGTATAATGCAAAAAAAATAGTGAATCACTTGGGACCTCTGCTGAATATTTTGGCACTTGATTTTAGAAACAAAGAAGAGAAGGCACACAGGTTTTGGAGTGTAGCTGTTCTGTGAAAGCATAACATTCTCTTTCAACCTCAGTTTTCTCATCTTTAAAGTGGAATTAAAATGCCATCTGACAATGATGAATAGCCTGTATGTGCCAGGCACCAAAGCATGTTAAGTAATTGAGACAAACTGAACACTGTGCTATGTGCTTTACGTGAACTTGCGACTCAGGGCTGCTCGTTGAGATAGGAAGTTATTATCCTCATTTTACTCTTGAGACACAGAGAGGTTAAGTAAATTGCCCAGGCACAATCCAAAGCTCTCAGGCTCTGGCCGGTGAAGCTGGCTTGCCCTAATTACCACCTTATAGGGTCGTACCTAAAACATGAGGGACCATGTATGGAAAACATCTAGCCCACTGCCTGATTTGTAGTAAGCACTCTATAGACCTCAGTTTCCTGTCACAGTTGATAGTATTTAGCTCAGTAATTTATCATATACTGTTCTTTGTTTGTTTCAGGTGTTTCTCTCTTATCTACCAACAATGGTAAATAAATTGCTTAAAGAAAGGAAAGGCATTATAGCTTGATTTCTTTTGTAGCTTTCCCAGTGCACCTAGAAGTTCTCAATAGAAATGTCTTAAAATGAACTGAATAAATGCTTACTGATTGAATAAATGAAGGATTCTGTAAAAAAAGCAAATGTAGAATATGACTGATTGGCTTTTATAGCTTCTTATTTATTTTACCCCACTGAATTCTAAAACAGGATTTGAGGAGGATTATACAAATATGTAAGATTCAACAGGATAAAAGCAAACAAGTGAGAAAATTGGAGTGAAGGGAAAATAAAACCAGGGGTGTTTATTTCTTTGTCATTTCTTGATAGAAATTTGTCGGCAAATCTCCAAGATGAAAGCACAAAATTTGCCAAGAACTAAAACTTACTCCTGTAGGGTATTCCTTAAACTCTTTGATGGGACACAGCTCAAATCTCAAAGGGAGAGGGAGTCATGAGCAGAAAATGGAGGGAATTGGGGATTGTCTCTGGTCTGGCTGCTGAGAAAATACCATGTTTTCCTTGGGGCCAATGCACCCAGAGCTTTGCACCCAGACCAATGCACCAAGACCTTTTTTGAGAAAAAAGTAGTTTTCTCAAATGTAGAGAGAACCGTGTTCTACAGGCTCATATTACCACATCAGACCTCCCTCATTTTTATGTCTACTTGATCTTTAAGATCTATCAACACATGTCTGGGAGGCTTGGAAGAGCCTTACTTACCCTTCTTCTCTTCTGGACTTGGTATCAATTAAGAATAGGAACAAGAGAGTCCTGCAGAAGCCAAGGATGGTGGAACAGGGTTAAAAGGTTGTGTGTAAGGCTGTCTGCCCCTCCCATCTGACTTGGCCTCTCTGTATAGCGATCTCTCTCTATATCAATGGTTCTCAGTTTTGGCTGTGCATTAGAATCACCTGGTAGCTTTTTAAAATTACCAATGCCTGGGCCTGGCATGGTGGCTCACACTTGTAATCCCAGTACTTTGGGAGGCTAAGGTGGTGGATCACTTGAGCCCAGGGGTTTGAGACCAGCCTGGGCACCATGGTGAAACCCTGTCTCTGCAAAAAAATATGAAAATTAGCAGATATAGTGGAACATATCTACAGTCCCAGCTACTCAGGAGGCTGAGGTGGGAGGATCCCTTGTGCTCAGGAGGTCGAGGCCACAGTGAGCTGAGATTGCATCACTGCACTGCAGCCTGGGTGACAGAGCAAGACCCCCATCTCAAGAAAAATAAAATAAAATAAAAATAAAATAAAATAAAATAAAATAAAATAAAATAAAAACAAAAACCAATTCCTGAGCCCTATGCATGATGAGTCTGATTTAATTGATCTGAGTGGGGCCAGGCATTATTATTTTTTAAGCTCCTAAAATGATTCCAAAGTGCAGCCCAGGCTAAACAGAATTCCCTGGAGGGCATGTTAAAATACAGATTGCTGGATCCCACCCCAGAGTCTCTGATCCAGAGGTTTGGGTAGGGCCTGAGAATCTGCATTTCTAACAACTTTGAAGGTGACACTGTTGCTGCTGGTCCTGGGGCTCCATGTTGAGAGCCATTGCTCTAAACCAACAAGTGAGCCAGGGAATGTAAATGCTTGCAAACATGCCATTATAATATATATGTTTCTTTATTATTATGGAGGTTTTTTGTGTGTGTCTTGATTTTTATTTACTGAACAAGTAATACTAGAACAAGAAAAATGAGACTGGAACACACATAAGCCCACAACCTTTACAGACGTACCATTGCACTGTGTAATCGCAGTAGTAATAGTAGCTAGCATTTATTGTACGTTTACTGTGTGTCAGGCACAAGCTGAAAACTTTAGGGGCATTCTTTCCTTTAATTCTCATGATAACTCTATAAGGTAATTAATTTACTATCCCATTTTACAGATGGAGAATTTGCAACACAAAGATTAAATGGCTGTTTTACACACTTGTAACCAGAGCATAAAGTCCACTTTGCATTCAGCTTCTTTCACTTAGTACAATGGCATATTTTCCATGTTGAATAGACCATTCCATTGTATTCACGTATCAGTTTTCTTCTCATTAGATATTTAGATCATTTCCATTTTCACAATCATATTTAACAGAGCAATGATCAATTTCATTTAGTGCTTGTCTTGAATTATTTTTCTTAGAATAGAGTCTCAAAAGTGATCTTCCTCAGTCAAAAGGTGAAATTGCCTAGCTTTGATTTATAACATACTAGAACAAAAAGGTTTTTTTTTAAAAAAAAAACCCACATTTCATCCACTTTTTTCAAAACCAAATCATTCTCTGGACAGGTTTATATAGTCACACATTTAAAGTAAGTTACTGTAATTTAAAAATTATGGAGGTATTTTTATATAATTTAGTTCCATTGCAAAACTCACTCCAGTGGAAATTACCTTCCAGGCAGCCAACTTCTTCAAGAAAACTTCCCTGGTTTATGAAGACAAAGAAGTTTCTGCCATCTTCTATGGAAGTCACCCCCAACAACAAGAGCATGAGAACCAGAACCACAAGTCCATTTTGGACAACACCAGAAGATATCTGTAACTCAGAACCCGCTTGTACAAGAGGGCAGTGGCAGGAAAGGTCAAACCAACTGCCCAATTAAAGGCTCAGGAACCCACGGCCCCAGCAATGGCTGAGGGTGAGCCAGAAATGCAGGCTGCAAGCAAGGGAGGGATGTGGGTCTGGGTAAGGGCCAGAGTCTTCCGATCTAATTGTCAAGAAGCTGGAGGGAATTATTCAGAGAAACTGAACAGAGAGCCTCCGGATATGCGGACGCCAAGTGCAGAGGAGGGCCATGTACCAAACCAGACCCAGAGGACTGGGTGCAGGTCTGTATCTTGAATGGGGAAGCCTCTAGCCCCAGCCTGTGTAAAATCATGTTACTGAGTTTCCCTAATTAGTTCAGCAGTGAGCCAATATTTCCATGTCCTTAATGATGAAAACATCATAATCCATAAATAGGATTTATTCAAAAGTTGCGATACACAGTCATGTGTCACATAATGACATCTTGCTCAACAATGGGCCACATGCATACATGACAGTGGTCCCGTAAGGTTATATTGGAGCTGAAAAATTCCTATAGCCTAGTGACGTCTTGATGATTCTGACCCTGTGAAGGCCTAGGCTAGCATGTGTGTCTGTGTCTTAGTTTTTAACAAAAAGTTAAAAAATATTTAAATAGGAAAAACGTTATAGAATAAGGATATAAAGAAAAAAATTTTTTGTACAGCTGTATGATGTGTTTATGTCTTGAGCTAAGTGTTATTGCAAGACTCAAAAAGTTTTAAATGGTTTAAACGTTTATAAAGTATAAAAGTTATAGTCAAGTCAAGGTTAATTTGTTGTTGAAGAAAGAGAAATAGTTTTTATAAATTTAGTGTAGCCCAAGTGTACAGTGTTTATGAAGTCTACAGTATTGTACAGTAATGTTCTAGACCTTCCCATTCACTCACTACTAGCTCCCGGACTCATCCAGAGCAACTTCCAGTCCTGTAAGCTCCATTCATACTACATACTCTACCAAGCTGTACCATTTTTAATCTTTTATACAATATTTTTACTGTAGCTTTTCTATGGTTAGTTATGTTTAGATACACAAACACCATTGTGTTACAATTGCCTATACACAGTATTCAGTATAGTCACATACTATACATGTTTGTAGCCTCAGAGCCATAGGCCACACCATACAGCCTAGGTGTGTGGTAGGTTCTACTATTTGGGTTTATGTAAGTGCCCTCTGTGATGTTTGCACAGGGACAAAATCACCTAACAACTCATTTCTCAGAAAGTATCCCTGTCATTTAGTGGTGCATGACTAAATGGTGCATAATCATATTAGGAGGTTGAGTTTAAGAGAGGCAAGTTGTGAAGAGCTTTATCTACCCACTTTAATAGGAAATTTTAGGCAATGTGGAGATATTTGAAAATATGGAGGTAAATAGAAGATATAAAATGAAAGTTCCTGAAAGTGGTTGCCTCTAGGAACCAGGGAGAGGGAGGGGTGTTATATGTGTGGGGATTGATGTTTCTTGTTATAAGCTTTTAAGCACTAATTGACTTTTTAATGATGCAAGTGTGTTTCTTTGATAAAATTAAAATTGAGGGAAAAGAGAAAATTGCGTAAGCACTTCTCTACTACTTAATTTATGTACCTTATGAATTGGATTTCCATAAATGGGTTTTGTCCAAGCAGGCTACTCGTGGAGATTGCAGATCATAAATAAGAATTGCTGATATTAAGGAGGTAATTAATTGGCCAGTAGCCAAGGAGAGACCCTTCATTCCTAATAAAGGAGTCCAGGCTCCAGCTTGAAGAGTCAGGATCTCTATTGTGGGCTTCGTTCTTGCCAGGATTTGAAGAGAAACCCTTTACTAATCCACACTTTGCAACACAATCCACCTGATGAGTCACTGATACTGTTGGTGAGAGCCTAAATAATCATCATTCCAACTAGAAGAATGCTCGTGCTTGCTCTCTGTTGCCATAGAAACAGTGCAGCTCCAGTCTCCCTGTTGCTTTGGTAACCCACCCCCCTTTCCTCACATCACTACTGCTGGGGTATTTTGCTGCCAAGATAATGGTCTCTATTATGGATTGAATGTTAATGGGCAGTCCTTTACCCCAGACTACACCCAGCCCCTTCTGCAGCTCCACATTTGAAGGCCTTGTCTAAGTGGCATCTCAATGAGATGGTAATAGATACTTGAATCAGATGGAGAGGAGCTGTAGTGATGGGGGTGGGAGGGGATAGAAGAAGCGTTCAGCTTCTAATCTTGAAAAGGGAGGACTCGGAACTTGGAGAGGCAAAAATGAGGAAATCATCCATTAGAGTGCCTCAGCTGTGTATGAAGTCCTAAAGCCATTTCTTCCAGTCAATAAAAGGTAATGCTAAGTAAGGTTTATTGAGGAATGAATATATGCTGGATACTGGGTTAAGTACTTTTTGCCTATTTAATCCTATTTTACAGAAGAAATGGATAAGGAATCTGTTCAATGTCACAGAGGTTCAGAATTCAAACTCAAATCATAGTCACTGCACTAAGCTACTGCTCACTTGAGAATGGAACAAGCAAGGGTGGCATCAGAGAGTGCCCTTACACTAAAAGAGCTTACTTTTCAACTGGAAAAAGACATTTAACACAAAAGGGGAAAAATTAGAAGATGACATCTTATAGACCGTGTGAAGTGCAAAGTTCTGGTGCCATGTTCACAAAGAGGCGAAAGTGGGCGAGACATTACAACGGCCTTTCCATAGGAAAAAAAGAAAGAGGGCTCCTGCAGACACTGAGAGGAATCTAGGAGACAGGAGTTGCCTGATTTAGTCTCAAACCTGATACAGCAAGAATCAGGGGCAAGTTCAGGCATCAGCCCCAGAGCAGGTGTTTAACCTGAGTCACCCTGGACTGATGATGGGTTTTCAGTTGTCAGCAAAGTAGAAATTTGGCTCCTCTCCTCTTCGTTTGAAATTCAAATTTTCTTGATACTGCCTCTTTTACTTTGAAATTCAAAAAAAAGTTGAAGTTTCATATGAAATTGTTTTAAATTTTATGGCTCTCAATTTCACAATCCAATAACCCTGTTTAGTTTACAAGATTTTTTTTAGCCACCTAAAGTCCTCATGGCATTAAGTGGAGTATAAATCTTCAGAAATAGAATTTCTATGGTGTCCTGATTTTTTAAAATCAGAATTACGATGCTTCGACTTGTCCTTCTGTATCTTCTAATTCTTCCCCCATTCTCCTCCTTTAACACTCCAGGGCATGGAAGTCATCCAACAGCTGCTGGAGGGACTGTGCAGAGTTACGACGGAGACAGTGACTCCTCCAAAGGGGTCTCGAGGGTAAAGCATCTTGATGTCTTTATCTGCAGGGTCTTTTCAAGCCCAAAGCAGTGGTTCTCAATCCTGAGCTCGTTCTAGTCATCTCCGAGAATAAACATGTGCAATTGTCAATGCCAAATCAATATATATTGGTTTAAAATGTTTATAATACAGATGTATGTTGTCAGGAAATCTTGGAGGGAGGTGAATGCCACAGAACACCTGACAGTAATATCAATTGTTGGCTAAATGATAGCTTGCACGTGAGACTGTCTAGATTCAAATCCAGCCCAACTTCTCTCTGTCTCTGTTTCTTCTCTTTCCCAGTAGCTGTGTAACCTGGGGTAAGTCATTTCATTCTCTTAAGTCTCAGCTTCCTCTTCTGCAAAATGGAAGAAAAGGAAAGTCATATTTTTGTGCAGATTAAATGAGACAATGCATGAAATAGATTATAGTGGTACCTGGAATGTAATGCTTAATAGATATTAACGTTTTTATTCTTAGAAAAACAAATCCACTAGATGTTTAAGGTCCTCAAAAAGATTCATCTCTCCTAGCGACTGGCCTTCTGTGCATTTTTTCCTGTTTCAGTTTGTGAACTTTGGAATACAGGATTTCCTAACACTTCCTGCTACTGCTCTCTTAAGCTCCTACCTGGATTTGGTCATTGAGGCCCTGATGTTTCCAGTTTTTTACCTTGCTTCATCCTTGCATCTACCTACTCAGCATCCTACATCTTGATTTCTATGGCTCTGCTTCTAGACCTAGGATAAACCCTGATCTTAGTTACTCCCTTGCTCAGGAATAGATTTCTTATATTCTTGATGGTGGACTTGGGTGAGATGGTGGATCCAGGATTATAATTAAAAAGAGTAGGGAAGGAACCTAGGGCCTTTGTAAAAAGAAATCAGATGTCTTAGCATCTGGCGAATTGGAAACTGCTGCCCCAGAATGCAGAGGATGATTTGCTCATGAACTATACTGTGTCTGGTGTAGGGGTTATATTTTAGAAAGTTCTAGCAGGAGGGTAAGTTTGTTTTGAATAGTTTTGTTGAATAACAATCCCCTCATGTATAAGAAAGCCTTTTTCTGTAACAGAGCATGCAGCCTGGAGCAATTAGGAAAAGGAGAACCCACCTAGTCACTAGAGTAACTGAATCAATTTTGGAGATTCCCTGGGGTGATAGGTGGCAGTACCTCAACATGCCCACTATGTTTGCAACACTATGGGTTGCAAAAAGAAAGAGAAAAAGCTTAAATATCACCCTCAATGAACAAATGAAATTGTTGAGGCTGGGCATATAGAATTAGAAAATTTTATAGAGAATAGGTATGCTAAATATATATATATACATATATATGTATATATGTGTGTATTTCTGTATGTGTGTGTGCATGTGTAACAAACTATACAGACAACAGAGTTTGAAAGATAATTGCCAAAATATGATAGAGCTGAAGCAGAGTGGTTTGGGAGGTGAGGTGAGGTAGTACTAAAGGTAATCATTTATGTTTGGTGCTTGAAAGGCATCAAAATATCCTGGAAAGAGTACACCAACTTGGAGCGTTCCAGCTGCAGCTCAATCCTCACCTTGCTGTGTGAACTTGGAGTAGACACTTTCCCTCCTGCATGATGAATGAATGTCGTATAGTTGGAGAAAAACAGATAATGAATGTGAAGGTGATTTGTAAACATGCAGTTGCTATAGAGTTGGCAGTTCAATAACCATTATGAGCCTATGTCTTGAGTTTCAATATATCTAGCCACTCTTTCTACTTGAAAATTCATGATCTTATTAAATAAAAATGTACTGATCCCATTATTTTACATGGAATGGTGCCACTATAATGGTGGGCTATGGGCCTGATCTCAGACCTTCTGGAGTCTGTAAAATGGAAGCTTCCATCTAGGAAACTGAAACAGCCTCCTAACTAGTCTCACTGATTCCACTCATGCATTCTCCACATAGTAGGCAGAATGAGTAATTTTTTCTTAAATATAATAATTGATACATAGAACTGTTGTATATTTCTTGTTTTTTTAAATTTCTGGCATCTATACCCAGTGTGATCTTTTAGAAATAACCAGATCATATTGGTCTTCAAGTGAAATACTTCAGTTGCCTCCTAATGAATTTATATAATAAATGCTCCAAAACCCATCATCCAACTTAAGGACTAGAACATGCACCTAGTAACTACCTTAAGTATCTCTGTGTCCCCTACCCCACCCTCTTTTCTTTTCCCAGAGGTAATCACTATCCTGAATGTCATCTTTATAGTTCCCTTTTACAAATACTCTTTCATCCCATCTATCGGATGAAATACATTATTATCTCAAATAATGTATTGCTTAGTTTTCTTGGTTTTGAGCTGTATAAAGATGGTATCTCACAGTACGTAGACTTGTGGGGTTGCTTTTCAAATTCATCATCTTTCTGAGATGCTCCATGTTGTGTGGTTTTGTCCTTTCATTTCTACCATGTATATCCAGTGTGATGTTTAAAAAATAATCAGATCATATTGCCCTCCAACTGAAATACTTTGGTGGCCTTCTGTTGCATGTGGGGTAAATTCCAAACTCTTTACCTCCACTTACAATGCTCTCCATGATTTATTCAGGTACTTACAGCCCTCAAGCAGCCTCCTTTATTCGAGGGATCTGGTTCTCTGTGCCAGACTTGGCCTGTGAATTTCAGAGCATGCTCCCTCCCACCCTCTTCCTCTGCCTCTCTCCTGTTCCTACCTGGCCTTGGTAATTCAGAGGCTTCTGCCTGCCACTCCAGGCTCTGCACTCCTTACTCCTTACACTGGCTTTCTGTTCCGACCACACTGCCCTCACTTTCTTGTTCCTCTTATATTCCCACCTCAGAGCTTTGCACAAAATGTACCTTCCACCTGGAATGCTGCTATCCCTTTGTCTTAGTCCTTTTACTGCCCCTCTACTAGGAGATCCTGCCTTCTTATCTATGTCCTCTCTCTTGACTAAGTCAAGTAGTCTGTTCAAATCTCTCATTCTCCCCTATTCATTCTCTTTAGTGTATTCAATAAAGTGTGGAACTTAATTATATTTTCTTATTTGAATGATTATTTAGTTACTGTTTGTTTTCCTTTTGGAAATCTGATGAGGTCAAACACTACCCAAGTCATTCACCACTGAACCCCTAGAACTTAGAATAGTAGTTGGCAAAAAGTAGATACTCAGAAAACATTTGTTGACTAAATACATGCTCAAATGCATAAATTAAATAATGAATAAATCTGTTAATAGAAATCCGTCTAGAACTAGCATTTGTTTTAATGAGATCCAGTGCTATCGGCAGCCAAGTGTCTCAGCCTCTTCCTATCCCAAAGGGCTCAGATGTTCCCATGTCCCCACTTCTGAATTTCAGAGAGCTGCATTTGTGTCTGTTGCATGAGTCCTGTCCCCACAAAAGGCCATAATTATGTCATGTAGCTTAAGTTGTGCTGGAGGACGCCCTTATACCAGCCCTTAGCTCCTGGAGCTCAGTGGCCTCTCTCATCTTCCCATGTGTATACCTTGAGTCGGTTTCCTCTCTCCAAGGTGCTGAATCTTCCTTTCTATTTGTGCTTCCTCTCTTTGGAAAAAGGGTGTGTGGGTATGCTGAAGGTTAATTTGGCAGAGTCTCTTACTGGAGGCTGAGATGACATTTCAGCTTTGACCTGTCAAGTCCTTGTGACTTTCCAGAAATTGATTTGGGTAATGACTTGTCATTATGAGTAATTAGCATTTGTGGAAGTCTGAGAAAACCTGCTTTTTTTTCTTTAGAAACTTTGCTACCCTTTTGACACTTCTACTGAGGTTTCACATTTGGTAAGGGGTCAGGTAAAATCATAGAAATGAAAGGTTATCCCTGAAAGAAGTGGAAGTGTTTCTATTTCTAGATCTATCTAGGTATAATTTCCAGACTAAATCAGATTGCCATTACACAGTTCAAGTTAAAGTTAGCATTTGTAAGTTAATATTTGAAGCAAATAAGAGAGATACAGTTTTCATTCCTTACTCAATATGCTTGACCATGCACCAAAGGGACCATGACTAATTACTGCTCCTAGGTATTCTTGCTGACTTATGAGATGTTGAAACTGGAATAAACCTTGTTCAGTCCTCTCATTTTACAGATGAAGAAACTGAGGCCTCTCAAAAGATAATGTGACTTTGTTTTTCAATATTTAATTTATAGTTTGGAGATTGAGCCAGGTGACCTTTAAAGTTTTTTCAAAATATGTGAAGTACAGAGCAATGTGTTATAAACAGTTCAGCACTTGTAGAGATTTTCTGGGTTCACAATAGTATTTTCCTTATTTAATTCTATTACAGCAAATTCTGGCATATTCACAAATGGGCTGTCTCCATTTAAACATAGTAACTACCTTATCTGTTTTATTATCAGGGATGCATTGTGCTGGAGTCTCAATCAAGTGCCTGGAAGCTGAACGTGAAAAACAGTGCTGCCTGGATTACAGAGATACTGGCCATAAATGCATTCGTGGGCTCTCAAGAAGCATTAGGGATGCCATGAAGGAGGGGCATTTTTACTTTGTGTCCTACCAAATTCACTTAATTATACATAGCAATGAGGAAAGTGTGGGAAACAGCAAATCTGACCTTAGTGTGCCTTTGACTAATCCAAGCTTATTGTTTGTGAGTTAATATTGTGAAATGATCCCCTGTGCATATAATGCAGTCATCTTCAAATAAAAATCTGTGGCTTCAGACCTCTCTTCCTTCTTTGCTTCTTTTCTTCTCCCTTTCTTCCTTTCTTTTCTTCTTGCTCCTTCTTTCCCTTCTTCCACTCTCTCCCTCCCTTCCTTCTTGCTTTTCTCCCTCATCTCTCTCTGTCTTTTAAATCTTTCCATTTTTATTTCTGCATATGATGCTGGGCTTCCTTCCCTGTGGCTCCCAAACTAGAAGAGCATTTATGAACCCCTGATATAATGTAGGGCTTCCCAAAGTGGAGTGATTGCAAGATGATCCATTGCTGTCAAGAATTAGATATTCTAGTTATATTTATTGTATCTACAATATGAAAAATAAGATTTTACAAATATATAATTATATTTTTACTAATGCCACAAGTGCTATAAGATAGTGGCATGAGATCACAGATGTTTGGGTTTGGATTTCTTAGATTTGATCAGAGCAATAAGAACTTCATAGAAAGTAAAAAAAAAAAAAATGTGTAGTTCTATCCCTAGATCTGAACAACTTGCTCTGTGATCTTCACCAAAACACTCAATTTTATTATTGTAGGTTTCATGCTAGATGGAAATGGGAATAAATCAAGAGTTTAACTCTCTTCTTGCAATATGCCTTTGTACTTTTCTCCAGCTGCCAAGTCAACTATGGCTTTATGAAGCCTTCCTTCTTAGCATGTTGCAAAAGCAGGTATTCATGCCAGGCACCACGTAGTGGGGCAGAGCTAGGACCAGCTTTTTCCATGTGAATACAGTAGATGACAATGATGACGACGACGATGATGATGGTGATGATGACAATGATGTGTGTGTGTGTGACTAATGTGGAGTTGTGCACATCTTTATACATCTGATAAATGTTTACCTCATGTCTCTGGTATGGCACTATGTGCCAGAGACATGAGCTACAAAGATGAATAGGAATGGGTTCCACTGTCTGGTGGTAGACACAGACAGACAGCTGCAATCGAGTGTGATAAGTTCCTCAACAGAAGTATCATGGGTGTGGCCATCACAGTGGGATTCCTAGAGGGGGTGCACAATACAATCTCCCCCAGTACACCAATGCTTTTCAAAAAATGTTGTACGTGGACCCTGGGAAACTTGCTGAATGTGCAGATTCCTGCCCCCCACCCCAGAACTATAGAGTATAGAATATCTGAGGAGGGAGACTGGGAATATGCATTTTTGGCAAGCTCCTGGATAATGAACAAATGGTCTAATGGAATATCTTTTAAAGTACCTGAAAAATCTACCATTTGAGCTGCATTTTTAGATCTTAGAGCCTTTTTTGGGTTGAAAAATCCCAATTTAAAGTGCAAATACAGGCCCCTGGAGGGAGACAGCCTGTGTCTTATTCTTTCTGAATGTGCCTCCCCACACTTGCCACCATGCCCAGCATCCTCTAGGTATTCAGTGATCAACGAGTGCATAGAAAGAGTGTGCCAAGTAGTATTTTGGGGAGTAGGAGAAGAGGGAGCAGGACAGACAGCTGTGTTTAAGCAATTGGGAGCAAGTTGAGGATCCTGGGTGACAAAATAGGGCAATTTGAATGGAGAGAAGGGCCCGAAAAGAAAAATGTGAGAGAGGTGAGGAAAAACATAGCCTGTTTCAGGATGTCCAACAGCCTTCATCAGGTGAGGCTAGAGACAATGAAGGATGGAACTTATCTTTAACTTTATATTCTATCACTTCCACCATTTTTATTAAGGTATAACATGATTTTAAAATAAGCGCATATTTTAAACTTAAGGATGAGTCTTATCAGGTTTGATATTCTGACTCCATAACCCAATAGCTGCATAACTTGGGTAAATCTTTAACTTCTCTAAAGTTTAGGTGGATGGTCTAATAAGTAGGGGTACTGATACCTGCCTGCCTCAGAGAATTATAATGATCAAATATCAGCTCCAGAAGAGCACGATTGTTGTCTGATGTTCACAGATGTGTTCCCAGCTCTTGGGACCCTGCCAGCACACTGCAGGTCCTCAAATAATGACAGATGAATGACTTCCAGTGACTTGTCTGATGAGGAAGCAGAATGTAGGAAGGCAAGTGTGCACTTCAGACACAAGCAGAGCTGGGTTTAGATCACAAGCCCTACCTCGGATTGCTGTGTGACCTCGGGCAAGTGACTGAGAATTCGTGACCCTTATTTCTGCGTAACATGGGAATGATCATATCTACCTTATAAGGTTGCTTGAGGACCCAAAGACAATACATGTAAAGTTCCTGGTACAGTGCGAGGCACTGAGATGATAGTCAAGAGCCGCTGTATTATTGGCTAGAAGCCTAAAAACCAAAGGTATAAGGAATGTAGAGGCCGAGCGCAGTGGCTCATGCCTGTAATCCCAGCACTTCGGGAGGCTGAGGTGGGCAGATCACGAGATCAGGAGATCGAGACCATCCTGGCTGACACAGTGAAACCCCGTCTCTGCTAAAAATACAAAATAAAATTAGCCGGGCGTGGTGGCACATGCCTGTAGTTCCAGCTACTTGGGAAGCTGAGGCAGGAGAATCGCTTGAACCCGGGAGGCAGAGGTTACAGTGAGCCAAGATCATGCCATTGCACTCCAGCCTGGGTGCCAGAGCAAAACTGCATCTCAAAAAAAAAAAAAAAAAAGAAGGAAAGAAATGTAGAAGACAGAGAACTACACTCAGGAGTCATGAACGGTTTTAATAACTTGATGAAAATATGACACATTTTCCAGAAAAAAATGTGCACATATGAATATATAAAATATTGCACATCATTTTAGAGTTTATCTTGAAGCTATCCATGGACCCCTAGTCATGGACTTGTTTTGAGTCATGGTTTCATTTTTTTATATAAATACAGTACATGCTCATGGTAAAAATGCAAACAAGGCAGAAAAACACAAATTTTGAAACAACGAGTTAAACTTCCACTGTCTAGTATTAACAGTTTGTAAACATGTTTCCAGACATCTGGAATGAATGTATACATGGAGCAAAAGACAGAAATACTCTTTTAAGAATTGAATTAGGACAGGCGCGGGTGGCTCACACCTGTAATCCCAGCACTTTGGGAGGCCGAGGCAGGAGGATTGCTTGAGTCCAGGAGTTTGAGACCAGCCTGGACAACATAGCAAGGCCCCATCTCTACAAAAAATATAAAAATAGTAGCCAGGTGTGGTGGTGCATGACTGTAGTCCCATCTACTTGGGAGCCTGAGGTGTGAGGATTGCCTGAGCCAGAGCGGTCAAGGCTGCAGTGAGCTGTGATTGTGCCACTGCACTCCGGTCTGGGTGACAGAATGAGAACCTGTCTCAAAAAAACAAAACAAACAAACAAACAAACAAAAGATTTGCCCTATATATACTTTAAAAAAAATAAAAATATTTAAATTTAACTGTATGAATTCAACAGATGGGAAAGAGCTGATGAGAAACTGAAGAAATTTCCTATCAAACACTTCTTATTACAAGTATTATTAGATTCTGGCCCGGCGCTGTGGCTCACGCCTGTAATCCCAGCACTTTGTGAGGCAAAGGCAGGCGGATCACCTGAGGTCAGGAGTTCAAGCCCAGCCTGGCCAACATGGTAAAACCCCATCTCTACTAAAAATGCAAAAATTAGCTGGGTGTGGTGGCACAGCCTGTAGTCCCAGATACTTGGGAGGCTGAGTCAGGAGAATTGCTCAAACCTGGGAGATGGAGGGTGCAAGTGAGCCAAGATCGCACCACTGCACTCTAGCCTGGGTGACAGAGTGAGACTCCATCTCAGAAAAAAAAAAAAAAAAAAACACGAGTATTATTAAATCCCGAAAGGATTTCTCTATGGTCAAGAAAATATATTGGGAAAGCTTTTGAATTGTTAACTCTAAAGCTGTTGTTAACTCTATTTTCTGTTTCTGTTGTTAACTCTATTTCAATTTCTGAAGTGGATTTTGACTCTAACTATGGTGGATGAGTCCCTCATCCTGCTTACGTTTTTGTGTCCCTCCTCTTGCCTCCTGATTTTTTGTTGGTTATATTATTTTCAGTTTGTCAAGGTGTTATGTCTTTATATTCCATAGTGGAACCACAAACCTCTCAATAATTTAGTGTTTATTCTATGTTGGTGAACTCTTGTCAGATATTTTGGGTATAGCACTTGTTCTGTTTTCTAGAAAGTTGGTTTTTTGCAGGAAGAGGGTAGGTATAGTAGGTGAGAGTATCATGATATAGACACCAATTATGTTCTTTTCAAAAGGTCCAGGGAATTAAAAATTAATGTAGAATTCTTGGCCGGGCACCATGGCTCATGCCTGTAATCCCAGCACTTTGGGAAGCTAAGGCAGGAGGGTTGCTTGAGGCCAGGAGTTCGAGACCAGCCTGGCAACGTAGTGAGAATGCATCTCTACAAAAAATAAAATTATAATTAGCCAGGCATGGTGGCACATGCCTGCAGTCCCAGCTACTTGGGATGCTGAGGCAGGAGGATCACTTGAGCCCAGGAGTTTGAGGCTGCAGTGAGTTGTGATTGTGTCACTGCACTCCAGCCAGGGTGACAGAGTGAGACCGTGTCTTTAAAAGAAAAGAAAAAAGAAAAAAAGGAAAAAAAGTCTAGGGCCAAGACATCCTAACCGAGATGTTAAGATGGGGTCCAATCAAATTACTTGAGGGATATGGTAAAGGGCTGGAGCATGGGCCTACTGCTCAACCATGCAAGTTGGGCCCCAGGTCCTAGGATAAGCCATTGCCACCACATTGCCTGGAGAGGACTGCCTTGTAGACTCCGTCCTCAACCTGCTCCACTGAGTCCCTTGGCCATCCTTCAAGGACAGTCACAGGGGCCCCTGCAGCACTGGATCAAGTTTACGTCTAAACCTCTTCCTTGCATGATGCTGCTATTCTTTTCAGGGTCGTGGTCAGTGGGGAAGGGAGATCGTCCGTCTGTTTCACAAATGCAGTAAAATATTTAAAAATGAGGCAGCAAGCCTAATCCAGCCTCTGCCACATAGGTGCTGAATTATGTATACTTGAAATAAAGGCAGAAGTAGCCATTTGGTGTTTTAGTAACATTTCGCCAGCCAGCCCTTTAGGTTTAGCTCAAGCTGTATCAGCTTCTCGTCAGCATGTCCGTGGGGAAGACCTGGCGTATGAAGTGAGGTAAGAGTGCCCGTGTGGGGAGAGGAGGCAGCCGGAGAGGTGGGCTGAGGTCACCGACGATGGAGCTCATGCTCTGCGTTTGAGGCTGCTGCTTCTCATCAAGAAGGGAAAATACATGCTGTACACTGAGGCATTTTTGCCGTGCAGCTGCATAAGCAGACAGCTCATTTTGCATGATTTATAGGACCTTTCTGCTTTGCTCTTTTTAACCTAGCTGACTCTGTGGGAAAGAGCCCCATGCCCATGGGAATCATAACCCAGGTGTCCCTCACAATAAGGATGTCTCTGTGGACGCAGGCATCTGGAGAGGTGTCTGAGAGATCATTGCATCCGGTGGTCTCAGTGCTGGCTGCACTTGACAATTTCTTAAGGTGTTTTTAACAATACTGATGCCTGGGCTCCACCCCTAGGAAATTACATGTTATTTCTCTGTAGAAGAGACCAGGCATGTGTATGTTTAAAAGCTCCCCCTAGGCTGGGCACAGTGTCTCATGCCTGTAATCCCAGCACTTTGGGAGGCTGAGAAGGGAGGATCGCTTGAGTCCAGGAGATCGAGATCAGCCTGGGGAACATGGCAAGACTCTGTCTCTACTAAAAATATATGAATTATCCAGGCAAGGTGGCGTGTGCCTGTAGCTCTAGCTACTTGGGAGACTGAAGCAGAAGGATGGCTTGAGGCCAGGAGGCTGAGGCTGCAGTGAGCTGTGATTTCATCACTGTACTCCAGCCTAGGTGACCTGTCTTCAAAAAAAAGATAAAACCTCCCCCAACTGATTCTAAAATGCTGCCAGAGTTGAGAACCACTGAACTATTTCAACCCTGTCATGATACAAATAGGAAAGTGCAGCTCAGAGAGAAGGGACTTGCCCAATATCATACAGTTATGTTAGCTGTTCAGTTGGAACAAGAACCCAGTGATTCTGGCTCCCAGCTCAATGCTCTCTGGAATACCATTGTGTCCCACTGTAACCAGTCCTTTGGAAACAGTAATTAATCTCTTCATGGGGCTCAGAAGAAGAGAACTTCAGCTTTTGCTACCAGAAAACTGTTTGTCTGCTCCTGCAGGGGGCATTTTGATGAAATGAACTTCCATTCAGAGTCCTACTGTGAGTTTGTCAAGAAATGAACAAATACTCTATCTTCCCCCATAAGAGAAATGATCAAAGAATGTCATTGTTTGAGAAAGAATTTGTGATTCCCTTGAGCTTTGAAGAGTTTACTTAACAAATCCCGGAAGGTCTCATTTTGTCTGACCTTTGCATGGGGTATAGTGTGCAGCTGTGGAACAGAGTGAAAAGCAAAGTAGTCCCTACATCCTGATAAATTTGGTAAGTTTTTAAAATCAGATGTTGAAAGCAGGTACTTTGTCATGGTTCCTTTTTGCCTTGCATGTCAGGAAGCTCAAAGTAAAATTATTACTTATTGTAGTACAGGTTTCTGCAATAATATTTTCAGTTTTGCTTTTTTTCAATGCCTATTTCTTTTCATTTGAATCTTGTTTATATAGGCTTAGTGTAGGCTTGGTTTTTGGTGTAAGCCACCTCAAGTCTTTTGGAAATCAGTCAGAAGTATAAATAATAAATGGTTCATAATGAGTTTGACTCAGCCATGGTCTGGATCTCAGAGATAGCAAGCCCCAACCCACAGCATCACAGCACAGGCATGAGTGTCAGCACCTTCCCTCTGAGCTCCATCCTTGCTTGCTGTAATGTTGCTATTTGAATTATTTGTTCTCTATTTGCTTCTTGGATAACATAGGAAACTGGGAGAAACTATTCTCTCCACCGAAGAGCTCAAATTCTAGTCCCTGCAGTCAAGCTTTTCAAAGGGGATTTCCCTTAACTCATCTGCACAAATGCCTTCCATGCCAGTGGAGGACAAAAATGAGGGTGTGGGACAGCCCGGGAGAGGAAAAGAGCTGCAGATAGAAGACAGGTGTTGGAGAGAGCTCTGTTCTTACAGCTCCAGATGCCGAGGCTGAGCCCTGTCAGGTCATAGTTACCCATTTATAAGGAGGACACTGCCTTCTAGAATAATGACTGTTTTTCTCATTTGGAAAGTTTTTGTGCTGATTAAGCCAAAGTAAACTTCCTCTACCTTTCTTCACTGCACTTCTTCCTTGTGAATTTAGAAGCAAGGGCATAGACCTTCTTATATTTATGGTAAAGTTTTGTGAGCAAACCCAGTCTAAGAGAGGCTCCTGGCCAGAATTTTTTCTTTTTCCTTTTTTTTTTTTTTTTTTTTTTTTTGCAGTGTCATCATGGCCGGTAATAAAAGTCAAGAAGTGTTGGGGCAAGAGCAAACTCCACACTTCAAATCCCCATTCAAAGCAGTTACTGGCTGGTCTTTACCCTCTTGGTTCCATTAATCTGGAATGACCATTAATAGCAGGCGACAGGAGCATCTGTCTTCTGGGAGGTGGAGCTGTCAGCCTAGGTAGCAAGCAGGAGAGAAAGTAAAGCCTGCGGTAGGTGTTCTTTTGTCGGTTGACTTGGTTCTCTAGTGAGGCACTCTCTCCATATTTGTCTCAAAACCATTAAAGTGACCAATATCCTCTTTAATGAGGTGGGATCTTTGCCAAGAACAGCGAATGTGATGCTTCTGCCTTCTCTTGCAATACTGGGAACATGAAGCTGCTTACTGTCACGTCAATTTCTCTCCCAATCTGGTTGACAGCAGCTTCTTTGGTGAGAAAACAAGAGCACCCCTCCCTCCTCCTGCCTCTTTTACAAAGTCCTGAAAAGCAATTAAGAGTTCGTTCCTATGGATGGATGTGTTAGTGGATGTATGACAAGGATTGTGCTCTGTTAACTAAAGGTATATCATTCCTGGGACCTCATTAAAAGTGATTTTCATGTTAACTTAGATGTTTTCTTCTTGGAGTAATGAGAATGAGAGTTCTTATTACTCAGTACATAAACTGTTTACTAAGGGTGCAGCCTAGAATAAATGACATGTACTCTGTGAGCCAACTTGCTCTCCTATACAATGGGAATAATCACAGCATCTGGCTCACAGGGATGCTGCATGGAGATGGATTAAATAAAGCAGGCATGTAAAAGGCTTGGCAAAGTGCCTGGCACATAGTAAGTGCTCAGTAAAGGGTAGTGGTTATTACCTAACATGGATGGAAACGATGCCCAAGGCACTAATCTGGGAAAGCTCCTAAGAATAGAAGCAGTCAATTTTGGCAAACCAATTCCCACAGGACTTTACAAGCTTGGTTCTCAGCCTTCCACATTCTGCAGAACAGCAGCTCTGAAAACTGATATCTGATTTGCTGTGTCCACACAGCTTAGCTGAAGACACAACATGCAGCCTTAAATAGACCTAAAGAAAACTGAGGAGTGTATTAAAATTGGCCACAGAAACAAGCAGAAATCAAGCTCTATAATTAATGTTCAGCCTTCTATAGACTGGGAAGTTTAACAGGATCATCTAAAGGTCAGGAGGGGACTCAGCTAAACCCAGAGAGAGAAAAAGAAAGAGAGAGAGAGAGAAGAAAACATCTTACTGCATGTCTACTTCCACATTAACACGAGACCTCGTGTTGGGGAATTAGAGGAATTCCAATTAAGCCCTTTCATTTTGATTTCTCATTAGATTCGTAGAATATCTGCAGAAAATTAAATCGAACGAGAGACCTCCAGCCGGGAGATTTATCCGATTTAATGTTTTGAAAGAGACTTATTATCTTGTCAGGAATAATTTGAAAATCCAAATAAGAGCAATTGAATCAGCAGAATTTAGGCCTCGAGATAACAATCACTTTGTAAGACCAACCATAGCATTTAAACAGCTCAGCCCTTCCTAACTCTGCTCCTCTCTTTCTCTGTCTTGCCTACCACCACCCACAATCTTTTGAAGACCACAACCAGAAACCACAGCAATCACGTTGAAACGAAGCCTATAACTGGGGTCTTCACCCTGTCTTTCTTTGTCTTCACTCAATGCCACTTCTAATTTGTGTGCAGACAGGCTGTAGCCTGATGACCTTGTGAAATACTTCTTCTCCCAGCCCACTGGGTGTCTTTGGCGGGCTTTATTCTCCATGAAAATAGCAGCTGACTCCTTCCTCCTCATGATCCCCTCGGATGGGTGGCTCACTGCTAGAAATAATCATATGGATTTCAAAATAGAGTTGGGATTTTTCTTTTTAATAGCCTTCTAGCTACAGGGAGCCACAATCTTGGGAGATCTGAAGGGGCATGACATTTCATTAACAACCAGATCATTCAGGTCAAGGTAGGAGCTGTGCTCCATCATGGCCTCCCTTGGAATCCTGGTTGAGGCTATGTAGATACTGGGATTTAGACCCATGACTTGTGCCTTGCTCCTGAAGGGCTGGATCTCTCTGAGCATCTCCAGTTGCTCCAGGGCTGCCAGACCCTCACAGACCTTCAGCCATCTCTGCTGAGCAAGAGATGGGGGCAGGCAATGCACATTAAACTTGCCAAATCATGGTTTCACCACCTCTAGCATTTAAACAGCAAGTCTCTATGGAGAAAATATTTGGTCAGTTCAAAGCCATTGATTCTTTCCTCCTCCTTCTGCCTTACTTCTGGATATGGGGAAAGCTTTGAGTCCTCCTGGCATGGGGCTCATAACACCTGGTCTGTATGCTCTCCTCCTCCTCCCATCTTTGCTGTTGGCTGGCTCAGCTGGTCCGACGGCTGAACTGCCATTTGCTTGGGTACCACTGCCATGGCCTCTGGTCATCAAGGTCCTACCTTTTATTTTGAGATGGAGTTTCGCTCCTGTTGCCCAGCTGAGTGCACTCCAGCCTGGGCAACACTGCAACCTCGGCTCACTGCAACCTCTGCCTCCCGGGTTCAAGCGATTCTCTTGCCTCAGCCTCCTGAGTAGCTGGGGTTACAGGCAAAATCACCACCACGCCCAGATAATTTTTGTATTTTTAGTAGAGATGGGGTTTCACCATGTTGGCCAGGCTGGTCTCGAACTCCTGACCTCAGGTGATTCACCCACTTCAGCCTCCCAAAGTTTTGGGATTATAGGCATAAGCCACCACACCCAGCCAAGGTCCCACCCCTGATGGCCCCTCCTCCTGACCCAGGCCTCCACTGCACCAGTGGTCCTCTCTGTACTTGTGATCTTCACAGGAGCATGTAGGAACTTCTGGGCCCCCAGGAGTCCACATACAGGACTGAAGGAGTTGGAAACGCTGCCACAGAGCCTCCTATCTGTCTGACTTTTCACTCTGAGATGCCACATCATTGCCCTGGGCCACCTTGCATATGGCCAGGTAAATGTAGTTTTTACCCAGGCTATGCCCACTGAAGCATGCTACTGCCCAACCCCCAGCTCCACAATGATCTTGACTCTCCTTTACCTGTCAGGATATTTCTGCCAATCCCAGGAAAGTGTCTACCGGATGAGGGAGAACGTGGCGATGCATGTCTGACATTGTCACCTGACTTCTTTCCACCCTTCACTATGGTGGAAAGGCTGTTTCATCTCATACTTTTTCTCTGGAAGCCTCTTAGTCTATTTCCCAGGGCACTGAGATTTATAGCTCAGCATTAAGAGCAGAAGGGGGCATATTATGTCTACATCCTAGAGGAAACTGTGATCTGAGCCTGTCAGGCATGGTTCTTGATGTGGGAGTCTACAATGGTTGGGAACAAAATATTATTAAAACTGAAACTTACACAGATTTAATATGCCCCAAATATCTCTACTATATTTACAGTGCACCCTACCTCCTTGGATGTGATCTGAGAGACCAACATAGACACCCCTTTGTCTACTAAGATAGGCCCTAAGGTTAAGGAAGCAAAGGTACCTACGGGTTGAGAGTTCAGGGCCCAGCTGCCATGGTACATTTTTAAATTCCTACTGTAAGAACTACTACACCCTTACAAAACTCACTAAAATAGGAGCTATCAGGCCACTACAACTCTGGACAGAGGACCAGCCTTCCAAACATTCTCTTCTGAGAAGCTACTGCAGATTTTAGACCAGTTTTGGCAGCTTATAGAGACTGCACACAAACTGTCTTTGCATCCTATAGTTCCCCTATTGATGTAAAGAGCCAAATTCCATCTCCTTTTGATGCTCTCCAAAGTGAGCATGAGATGTATGTTACACACATGTTTACCCAATCCACATGCGCTCAGCTCCCCTCATAAATATGCATAACTTTTCCTTTAAACTTGCTGAGTATATATGATACCAGCCCTGTGAGGCATAAAACCTAATCCAACATTCCCCTCTTCAAAGAGAGAGCACCTTTGGTCCACACTGGAGACTTTGTCTTCTGTGCTTGCAAATCGATATTGCCAATAAAGCACTCCTTTCTGTTCAGCCATCTTGTTGGTCTTTTGGATGACAAGGGGACGTGGTTCCCAAAGAGGAGCCTTTGTTATGGAGCAGGGACTGAGTGTGAAGATGTGCCCTGGAGAAGGTAAGAGTGAAACATACTCCTTATCCAAAGAGAGAAAGATGGACACACAGACATGGGCAGCCTCTGTGGGAGGGAGGCTGAGTCTGTCTTGGTTGCGGAGTGGAAGGGCTACTCCGAAGGAGAAAGAGGAGATCCGTTGGCTGGCATCAAGAGAGGACTTTGGGGACAGAGCAGTGATGTTTAAAGATATATTTAGCACAATTTGGTTACACAGTGTGAAACACAAACTTCCAACCTCCTGGAAATATAGCACTGCATATTTGGATCTAACAACACACCATTGTGGATTTCGGACTAATTCTTGAGTATGGAACATCTGAGTCCTGCTTCAAGGTGGGCATGGGGTGAGAACAAAGTTACGCACAGGGAGCTGGTCACACTGAAGTCCCACTTCTGTCTTCCGCTGCATTCTGCACCTAATGAACTCAGGAGGTTGAAGTCTTGCGGGCCTTCCTTCCTTCCCTTAATCACTCCTCTTTCTTTCTTCAAAGGGAGTTTGCCCACACTTTTTGTTGAGATGTTTTTATTTTTATTATCCTTCTTTTAGATACTAAGTTATTTAAATTTCTTTCCCCTTACCAGTGAGTTGCTTGACAAATATTTATTGGATGCCCATTTTGTAGCAGGCAGAATTCTGGGTCCCCAGGAGAGAGATGGACCCAGCAGGCACAGTGGCTGCCACCATGCAGCTTTATTGGGAGGGCACACATTAAAGAATTACTAGATGATTTAGGGGATAATTCCAAGTGTGTGAAGTGCTGCAGGAGAGTAGATGTGGGGGTAATTACCCCTAGATGGGGTAATTGGGAGACTCTACCACTTCCAAGGGGTCAGGAGAGAGGCTTCCTGGAGGAGGGGGAATTTGATTGAGTTGTCCTGAAGGATAAGCAGACATGAGCTGGTGAAAAAAGAGGAGGAAGAATGTTCCAGAGAAGAAGAAGAAGAAGAAGCCAAGTGCAAAAGCTTGGAGGCAAGACAGAGCACATCTATGACTGAGGGTGGCCGGCATTGGCAGAGAATAGGGAGTGAAGGAGGCAGCGATGAGAAGCGAGGCTGGAGACATTCTCAGGGTCTGTCTTGATGGAGACAGGGGGACAGAAGTGTGCTAAGTGTGCATGGGCTATGAGTCAGGAAGTCTGATGGCCTTGCCTCCTGGGTGGGTGGCCTTGGGAATGTTACTTAACCTTCCTAGATCATAGTTGACTCATCTCTAAAAACCAGGATAATTTATCTGCCTCATAGGTTTATTCAGAGGATCAAATGAGTTAATCCACAAAAATCACTTAGCACAGTGCCACGTACATCGTAAGCACATGATAAACACTACCTATAGGCCATGATGAGGAATTTGGATTATATTTGAAATGTAATGGGAAGGTTGGGCAGTGGCTCACTCTTGTAATCTCAGTGCTTTGGGAGGCCAAGATCAGAGGATTGCTTGAGGTCAGGAGTTTGAGGCTACAGTGAGTTATAATCAAGCCACTGCACACCAGCCTGGGCAACAGAGCAAGATGTTATCTCAAACAAAAAACAAACAAACAAAGGAAACAAAGAAAGGAAAAAAGAAAAGAAAAAACAAGCAATGGGAAACCACCAATGATTTTTCAGGAGGATTTCATAATCTGTCTTGTGCTTTAAAAAGCCTTGTTCTGCTAGGGTAGCAGTTCCCCTGCTGTGCCTTTTCTGTGATGCTGTTCTGGATGTTATTCCAGGAAGCTTAGCCCAGAACCTTCCAGTCCTTCCAGGATTGTGCAAGCAAGCTCCTTATTTCCCATATTAAATCCCTTTAGACTTAAAAGGTAAAGTGATTTCCATTTCCTACAAGTAACCCCCAATAGATACAGAAATTTTTAAAATACTTGAGACAAGAAATAATGATGGCTTAAACTAGCATACTGTCATTGGGGAATGAATGGAAGGAGATATATTTGAGAGATATTTAAGACATTGAATTATTAGGACTCAGTGATTGATTGAATACAAGGTTGGAGAGAAATAACAACTGACTCATAAATTATTGACTTGAGAAATTATGTGGGTGGTGATGAAAACTTCTTAAGGCTATCAAGATTGAAGCTGAAGCAGTTTTGGTAGAAAAAAATATGCACTTAATTCTAGACATATTCTGTTTAAGGCATATTTGAAGTATCCCCATGGAAATGTGACAAAGACTGTTGAATACATGAGTCTGGAGTTCAGAAGAAAGACTTGGGCTGTATATTTAGGGATCCATTTCATCGACATGGTGATTAAGGCCTTAGAAATGCATAAGGTTGCTTAGGGCAGGCGCAGAGTGAAAAAAAAATCTGCTTCCAGACAGAACTATGAGAGATAGCAACATTGAATGGGTGGTTAAAGGTAGAGCAACTGAAAGGGGAGCCAAAAAGGGGCAGCGAGGCAGGCACGAGGGATGCAAAGACAGAGAAGCCAAAAAGAGCGAACACAGCAAAGAGTGGAGGAGAAAAATCAAGTGGGGCATGCACTGAAAGATGTCCAGTGGATTTAGCAACACGGAGGTCAGAGGTGAAGTGGCAGAAGAGGAGACCAGATCAGAGTGGGTTGAGGAAAGAGCAGGAGGTGAGGAAATGGGGGAGGTGCATGTAAACAGCTCCATGTAGGGCAACATTCACCAGCACAGGTGCCAGAAATGCTCAAAATAACAGTAAGAATGGCAGGCACGTCCTCAAAGGGCTCCTTTCTCACCACATCTTGAGGTCTTCCAAAATCTCTAATCCTTCCACAGTGTGGACTCCTTATGTTCTGCATATGAAGTGGAAAGGTAAGCATAAAAGAAATTATTTTAAAGCTTCAACAACCTCATGCTGAAGTTAGGCTGTGGAAGAGAAGAGAGAGAGGGCAGTAGCTGGAAAGGAGAGAGGATTAAGGGAAGATTTGTTTTTTTAAGATGGGAGAAGCTTGAGCTTATTTTAATCCTGATGGGATGGAGCCAAGGGGGGAAACACATAAGGATTATTGATTGTGCAAGGTTCCTGGGAAGACAGAACAGCATGGGGCCCAAAGCACAGGAGGAGGCATTGGCCTTGAATAAGATCACTCAGCTTCAACACAGGAGGAAAGGAGGAGCAAAGAAGAAGGTGGTTATCTGAGGTTAAGTTCCCTAAGCAGAGCCTGATATGGGGATTTTTGTGCAAGTGATTTGTTGAGAAGGGTTCTCAAGAAAAATGTGTAAGAAAGGGTGGGGAAGCAGGATGTAGTAGGGTAAAAGTTAGACCTAGGTGTAGCTTCAGAAACCAAGCTTCAGCCTGATCCCTCAGGGGTTCTGGAGTGTGAATTGCTTCCACAGAGTTTGTCCTTGCAGCAAGCGGGCTTGATTTCTATATTCCTGTATCAGTCTGTAACTGGCCATTGACTGCCCTTCTGGAAGTGGAGTGGGGTGCATAGCCTCCCTGCAATCTCTGGGTAAGGCAGCTTATATAACCCAAGGACAATCCTCCAGAGAAGGGTGGCAACTCCTGCAGCAGCTGGGGAAAGAGTGACCATACCTGAAAAGAAGATCTGGGTGGGGCCCAAGCAGCAGATGCTATAATGTTAGTTCAGGAACATTTGCATATTTAGGCTCGAGGATAAATAATAAATGAGAAGGTAAGGGAATCTAAGATTATGGAGATGAGAAAAATTGGAAAATAATAAAAATGTGGATTGACCGGGAAAACATGGTAGGCTTCCTGGACATTCAAGGCTGGTGATCATGAATTTCTAGTGGCACCAATGAGTCCACTTGTGTAATTTTCTCCGGTGGTGCTTAGCAATCCACATACAGCCATGGAGGCGGCAAGTAATCAGAGTCATTCAGGGTTGAAGTCAGGGTAGGTGCTTGAAAGGGAAGAAGAGAAGGGACACGTAGGCACGAGTTGTGGTCCTTTGGGTCTAGCTAAAATAGGGAGAAAAATGAGAAGGGGGTAGAATGTTGGAGACAGAGGGAAAAAAAGGGGTCAATGGCCAGAGGTCTCCAAGAGGTTGGAGAGTAGTGTGCTGAGGGGTTGTTGAGTAAAACTAGCTTAAAAGATAGAATTTCATGGGCAGATAGAGAGTGCTTTGAGCCATTGATCTGACAGGATTGGCCCTGGGAAAGGACGGCTGACCTGAGCCAAATACCTGAGTCATTGATGAATGAGGCTGGAAATGACTAAGAAATAGGGAAAGAGATGTATAGGGCATTGCAGACACAGGACACATGCCTCCAAAGTTGCAAGACTGTAGGAGACTACTTTTCAAGGCATTGGGGGATCCCCTAAATCTTATAGCAGGATTTGGTCAGCAGGGCAACTTTCCCATCCAGCTCAATCATTTATCCGCACAACCTTCCTTATTCCAGACTGAATAGGTCTCTTATATATCAGGCTTCTTCAGTAAGCTTTAATAATTTGCATTTCCATTACTAATGTTCTCTAGAACTTCTCAAACTCCATCATGTTTTCTGTTTTTCCCTTGACATATGGTGAACTCAGCTGTGTGTTGTATACAAAAGAAAGTCACAGGGCTGTGGTCCAAAGTGGGCATTTCAGCCTTGTGTTTTCAGGGTCAGAGAAGCTGGAACCTTGTGTTCTCAAGGCTTGTGTTGAGCCTTGGATTCTCCGACTGAAGCATTCTGTTCTCAACATCAGTGCCAAAGCAGCATTGCTTTAGGAAGCTGTCAGAGAGAGAGCAAACCCGGTTTTCTTTGGGGAATAATTTGATGTAAAACTCTATGCGTTCTGGCGCTTTGGAGAGTAGGTAACACTACCTCCTTTCTCTTCACCTTGGGAGGGAGGCAGCATGGCTCAGTGGCTCAGTGATTGAACTTTAGGAGCTGATGCACCTCATTTCGTCCTCAGCTCTGAGATTCTAGCTCTCCAAGTGTGTCTTCTCCCTCTGTAAAATAATACTACTTTTCTAACAAGTTTTTGGTAAGGAATAGATGCATTATGATTCAGCATAGCTTCTGGCACACAGAAACTCCTTAATAAAAGCCATTACAAGAGAAAGAAGCAAAAGGAATACGCATAGGAAAGAAGGAACTTATCTATATTTGCTGATGACATGATCTTATACATAGAAAACCCTAAAGACTCCACCAAAAAAGCTATTCAAACTGATCAATCTAGCAGAGTTGCAGGATACAAAATCAACATATAAAAATCAGTAGTGTTCCTATTATATATACTAATGAACTATCAGAAAAGAAAATTAAGAACACAATTCCCTTTACAATAACAACAAAAATATTTAAATACTTAGGTGTAAATACAACCAAAGAGGTAAAATATCTGCATACTGAATCTATAAAACACTGCTTAAAAAAATGGAAGAAGACACAAATAAACGAAAAGATATCTGTGTTCATGGATTAGAAGAAGTAACATTGTGAAAATGTCCAAACTACCCAAAGTGATCTATAGATTCAATGCAATTCCTATCAAAATACTAACGTAGTTTTTCACAGAAATGAAAAAAACTCATCTGAAAAAAACTCAGATGAAAAAAACTCACCATTTTTCACAGAGATGGAAAAAAGCCACACATCTGACAAGGGATTAATATGCAAAATATGTAAGGAACTCAAATAACTCAATAGCAAGAAAACAAACATTAAAAAATAGGCAAAGGACTTGAACAGATATTTTTCAAAAGAAGGCATACAAATGACCAATAGGTACCTGAAAAAAAATGCTCACCAACACTAATCATCAGAAAAATGCAAAGTATAACCACAATGAGATATAATCTGATACCTATTAGAATGACTTTTATAAAAAAGATGAAAGATAAGTGTTGGAGAAGATGTAGAGAAAAGGGAATTCTTACATGTTGTTTGTAGGAATGTCAAGCGTTATAGAAAATGGTATGGACGTTCCTCAAAGCCCAAAGGCAAAACTACCATATAATTCACTAATCCCACTACTAAGTATATATCCAAATGAAAAGAGTCAGTATGTCAATGAGTTATCTGCACTTCTATATTTATTGCAGCATTATACACAATAACCAAGATATGGAAACAATATAAGTGCCTATAAATGGATAAATAGATAAAGAAAATGTGGTATATATATAAAATAGATAAAGAAAATGTGGTATAAATAAAATGTGGTATAAATAAAATGTGGTATATAGAATACCATTCAGCCTTTAAAAATGGGGAAATCTTGTCATTTGCAACAACATGGATGAATCTGGAGGACATTATGCTAAGTGAAATAAGCAAGGCACTGAAAGACAATACTGCGTGATCTCACTTGTATAAGGAAGCTGATAAAGTTGAACTCATAGAAGTGGAGAGTAGAATGATGGTTACCAGAGGCTGAAGGGAGGGCATTGGGAGGGAAGGATTAGGGATTTGCTGATCAAAAGAATACAACGTTTCAGATAGACAAGAGGAATAGCTTTTGAGATTTATTGCACACCAGGGTAACTATAGTCAATAATAATGTATTATGTATTTCAAAATAACTAAGACAGTACATCTCGAATGTCTCACCATAAAAAAGATAGGTAAGTAAAGTGATGGATATGTTAATTTACTTGATGTAATCATACCACATTATGTGCATATATCAAAACATCACATTATATCCCGTAAATGTATACAACTATGATTTGTCAATAAAAAAATTAGCCATTAGTGTTTTTACAACAGTCCACCTCCCTTTATAAGTAGTAAGGTATTATCGGAATACTGGGCTTTGGAGTCCAATATAGATTCAAACTCTGGCTTCTCCACTTGTTGGTTGTATGATCTTAGACAAATTACATACATTTTAGAACATAGGTTTCTTTATTAAATGAGGGCAAAGGGGGTTTGATAAGGATCAAATGAGATATGAGAAAGTGGGTGGTCAGCTACTTTTGATGCTGTTTTTGTTATTTGTTTAGAAATGTAACAATGTTAACATTGCTGAAAAGAACTAGTTAACTGTACATTTGGTACAAAATCTAAGGCTTTTCGACCAAAGCAGCTCAAGCTTTTTCAACATTGAGAGTAGATAGAGGAAAAAGAGCTTATTAATCATATGTTCAGAGTTCAGGAGGAAATGGATTTATACAATGTGAAGTCTCTATTTTTGTTGGGTATAAAAGCTACAAGAACTTTCAGTCCATCCAGCTTGTCCATCCTTGACACATAGGGAGCTGTAGCCCTGGAAGATGATGGGGCTGCCTTAGCGCTGGAGTCATACATGCACTGTGATAGTTCACAATTTAAAGGTGTGTCGCGACCACATAAGCCTTGCCAATAAGTGACTGCTAACCCAGCTCTGCAAGAAAAAGAGGCAATTTACATCTGCTAAGGAGGAAATGACATGGATATCACTAAGTCAAAGAAATCTTCTCACCTAAGGCATTGGACATTGAACAAGTTGTTGGCCAGTGAATTTGTAATTGCCTGGTGGGTTCATCTTGCCTGCTGCCCAGAAAAGCCAATACACAGAGAACAGCAGGTTTCTGCAATAGAGAAAGAGTTTAATAAACACAGAGCCAGCTAAGTGGAAGGACAGGAGTTTATTGTGATTCAAATTAGCCTCCTTGAAAATTCAGGTGCTAGGGTTTTTTAAGATAGTTTGGTGGGCAGGGAGCTAGGGAATGGAGAGTGATTGAGTCGGGCATGAAGTCACAGGGAGTCAAAGCTTATCTTCTTGTGCTGAGTCAGTTCCTGGATGAGGAGACCACAGGGCCAGATAAGCCAGTTTACTAGCCTGGGTGGCACCAATTGGTCCATCAATATGCAATGAGTGAAAAACACCTCAAACACCAATCTCGGGTTTTACAATAGTGATGTTTTCTATAGGAGCAAATGGGGAGGTTAGTAGTCTTGTGATCTCTGGCTGACTCCTGAGTCATAATTTCTAATCTTGTGGCTAATTTGTTGGTTTTAGAAAGGTGGTCTGAACCCCAAGCAAGGAGAGGGTTTGTTTTGGGAAGAGGTTGTTATTACCTTTGTTTCAAAGTTATACTATAAACTAAGTTCCTCCCATAGTTAGCTCAATCTACACTCAGGAATGAACAAAGGCAGCCTAGAGGTTAGAAGCAAGATGGAGTTGGTTAGATCAGATTTCTTTCACTGTCACAATTTTCCTATGTCAGATTTTTCTGTCTCAATTTTTGCAAAGGTAGGTTTAAATTTCAGTGCATGTTTGTCTATTAGTTCCTTGGGACCGTTCTCCCTACCTGATAGGTGTGCTACAGGCATGCTAGGCTTTCAGCATGGAGACCCATAGAGATTTCTGATCCAAGGGGAGAGTCTAATTGAATTTCATCCCAGAATGTAAGGATGGAAGAGATATCTTCACAGTCAGTTCAATTCTCACCTTGAATCTTTTGTTGGCCTGAGTTGCATCTCAATGGAAGAATCACCACAAAACAAATCATATTTATAGATTCCCTGGCAGGAAATCTCCCCTTTGAAGGCTCTAATTGTTTTATTTTTCTTCACCCACAATAGGCTGTGTCACTCAAATTAGTCCACACACACTGCATGTCCAAATCATCTCCACGCCTCATTGTACTCTACCACCACAATGTTTATTCATTAGCACCTGCTTCTCTGAGTGTCAACGACACTTGTTTTGCTCAAAGTAGTTCCCTGTCAGCCTTTTATCAAATAATCTCCAACCCTCCATTAATAATTCATTGGGAAAAGGTGGGAGATGGTATTCTCTGTGGCATGACAAATGTGCCAGTGATTTCATTTGAATTACAGCAATCGAGCGTCTACCTTTGCAATCAATGATTTTTCTTCCTTCCTTAGATGATAATAATTTTTTATTATAAGTAGTGTTCAACAAACTTGATAACAGTCCCTGGTGATTTTCTATAACAGCAGCCATATGGAACTGTAGTTTCAAAGTCCCTCTGATCTCATTCAGTTTTATGCTGTTGGATTAAATGTCAAAGTTGTCTTTGTACCATCTGCAAGATTTCTTCTATTCTGAATACTCTTACTTTGCACTCAGTGATCTAGTGAATCATTCTGTACATTTATCACTAGTATTAAATTTCTAACTTAAAGGAGGCTGTTCAACATAATTTATTTTGTTGCCTCCAGTTTTGACAGTATGGTAGTAAAATCAATTCCCAAGTGTCAAGAGCTATAAAGGTGGGTCAACAAGGGAGAAAGTTTAACGTAAAAAAGCATCACCCATATTCTTTAGGGTCGTGACTAATAAAAACATCTCATAGTGTCCCAAAACACATTGGTTCATGTTTTCTCTTTTTTTTTTCATCAACACAACAGAGTTGAGAGTAATATGCCTAAAGAGGTTCAGGATAAAGAGCATTGTTGAAGATAGCAGAAATTAAAAACAATTCAAATATCTACCTATAGAGGAAAGGTTAAACATATATAAGGGTATAATAAGAAATATATGTGGTCTTTGTCCCCAGTTCCTGGCATGGAATTCCTAAAACTCTTAGAATTTCCTGAGTGATATCAGTGCTTTTTGTTATTCATAAGGAACATCTTTTTTTTTTTTTTTTTTTTTTTTTTGAGATGGAGTCTCACTCTTTGGCCCATGCTGGAGTGCAGTGGCACAATCGCAGCTCACTGCAACCTCCTCCTCCTGGGTTCAAGGTATTCTCCTGCCTCCGCCTCCCAAGTAACTGGGATTACAGGCGCATGCCACCACGTCCAGCTAATTTTTTATATTTTTAGTAGAGGCAGAGTTTCACCATGTTGGCCAGGCTGGTCTCAAACTCCTGACCTCAGGTTATCCACCTGCCTTGACTTCCCAAAGTGCTGGGATTACAGGCATGAGCCACTATGCCTGGCAGGAACCTCTTTTGATTACCATAGAATTTATGCTAATGAGATGACTTAGGATGGGGCCCCTTTATAGCCTCAAGATGGGCACCCCCACCTCCAGGAAGGGGACAGAGGTGCAGGAGAGTAAACTCTAAAAAAGTTATTGAACAATTAAATTGGATGAGCTTCCATGTTAGCGAACACATGGAGATGCTAGAAGGTGTCCACGTTCTCCTCTCCCAACACCTTGCCCATGCATTTCTTCCATTTGGCTGTTCCTGAGTTGTATCCTTTATAATAAACTGGAAAACATAAGCAAAGTGACTTCCTGAGTTCTGGGGGCCATTCTAGCAAATGATCAAACCTGAGGAGTGGTTGTGGGCCCTCCTGATTTATAACTGGTTGGTCAGAAGTACAGGAGGCCCAGACTTGCGATTGGTATCTGAATGAGGGCAGTTTGGTGGGACTGAGCCCTTAACCTTTGGGGTCTACACTAATTCCAGGTGGTTATTGTTGGAATTGAATTAAACTGTAGGACATCCACTTGGTGTCTGCAGAGAGTTAAAGAGTTGCTTGGTGTGGAGAAAACCCACCCCTTTGTGTTAGAAGTGTTGTGGGTGCCTACTTTGGTGTCAGAAGTGTTGTGACTAGAAGAATAATTTTCTTTCAGAAACAGAAGAATTTTTGTTAGCAAAAAATATAATATGCAGAGAAGAAAATAATAGATATGAATCTTTATGCAACAAACAACTAATCAAGAAGATATGTGCAGAAGAAATGTTTAGTAATATCTGAAGAATTTGACAGAACCATATTAGTATTGGAAGACTTTGATACATCTCCTTTGAAATTTGACAGCTCAATTAAACGAAACATTAAAAAGATATAAATGAGAAGAGTAACACAATTAACAACCTTGAAATATATCTGATACCCTATAAATAGGGAATACTCATTCTTGCTTTTCTTTTCTGTTTATACCCACAAACCATTTACAAAAATTGGCCCTTTACTCAATTACAAACAAATAAAAATTAAACAAAAGCCTTAATTATTCAAACCATAAACTTTTTAGGCCACATTTTCAGACCACAATGCAGTAAAAACGTAAATTAATGAACTTACAACCTTCCCCTGCTGCTCCCCCAAAAAAATTCCCACTTGGAATTTTTTTTTAAATACTATCTTTAAAATAACTTTTTTTGCTCAAAGAGAAAATTGTAACTGAAATCAAGTTTTGGTTTTCAGACCAGAAAGCAGTAAAAACATAAATTAATGAAATTATAACCTTCCCCTGCTGTCCCCTCAAAAAATTCCCACTTGGAAATTTTTTAAAAATACTATCTTTAAAATAACTTTTTTTGTTCAAAGAGAAAATTGTAACTGAAATCAAAACTTGTTTGGGATTAATAACACATAAGCTCTTAGTTTCAACACCTTCAGAATGATCTTTTGGAGGTAGAATCAGAATCGTTGCCTCCCTGTGTAAAACACCTCGGTGGATTTCCACAGCAATCAGCATAAAGAGCCACAGTGATCAAGGACTGCTATGGCCTGTTCCCACCTAGCTCTAGCTCTCCAACCTCCTTGCTTTCTCTCCCCTCTATCATTCCCCTTCAGCCACACCGCCTTTTTTTCATCCAGCAGAGTGCCAAGGTAGTTCCTGTCTTAACCTTTCCTCTGCTTCAGACCAGTGCTGTCCAACAGATCTTCCTATGGGGATGGAAATATTCCATGCCAGGCACATCCCATACAGCAGCCCCTCACCACATGAGGCTGCAGAGCACCTGAAATGTGACTATGACAACTGAGGAATTGAGTTTTAAATTTAATTTTAATTTGAATGTATAAAATTTAATCAATTCAATTTGGTTATCTAGTTGCTACCACTTTGGATAGTGCAGCTATAAACCATTGCCTGGCTGTTTCCTTTCATTTATAATTCAACATAAATGTTGTCTACTTTAAAAAGCTTTGTTGAATCACCTGCCTAAAGCAGTTTCCCAAGTCACTCTCAATCCCATTACCTATTTCGTTTTCTTCATTGCACTTATTATACCTGTTTATTGTCTTCCTCTCATTTCCTCTGGAATGGAAGCTCTTTCAGGGTAAGAATCTTGTCCTTCTCATAATTGTATTTTAAAGATAAATAATAGATGCTCAATAATTAAGCATTGGCTGACTAAATAAAGTTAATTCATAGAAAAATTCAAACTTTAAATGTTTTTATAATTAGAAAACTTTAAGAACAAACTACTCAGTATTCAACTTAAGAAACCAGAGGAAGAAGAACAAAGTAAGTCCCTCCCTCCACCAAAGAAAAAAATGTTTGAGGAGAGAATCAATAAGACCAGTAGTCAATTAATACACAGGTGTTATAGTAGTCAATTAATGTACATGTGGTATAGTAATATACAGTTGAATAGTAGAAATTCATGACATTCTTGATCTTGAGTGGAGGCTGAGGCTGAAAATATTGTTTTAATTTGGGTCAATCTATGGATGGATCACTTCTGGTTTGTTTACATGGGCTTCTAGGGTTATTGTGAGACTCCCCCTACCGTCATGGCACAGGCCATGCTTCTCCAGCCTATCCATAGATGCCCCGTCAGAAGGGATCCAGATCTCTGGGCTGGGGGACTGTGGTTCCCATCTGTGTGACATGGCTATGTCCTTTAGCCCTTCACCTGTCCACACTACCCAGCAGGAGCTGAGCCTGTACTCTAAATGTGAATTCTGCCTGGTTATTGGGAAACATCAAAGAACTTCCATAAAGGATGGCTTTGGGGATTCCAGGATAAACTATTTGAAACTTAATGGGGTCTGAGCATCTTTCAATTTTCTTCTAGTTCATGGGTCATCTTTAGAACAGGAAAGCTTATCTAAACACAGGCCAAAAGTCACTCACTCATTCATTCAGCAAATACTTTTTAAGTTCCTGCATTGTACTGGGTGTTGTGCTAGTTGCTGGCATGGAAAGAATAGTGGTAATTTTTTTTCACAGTATTATTTGTAATCATATATTTTTCATATCACATATTTTACAGTATCATATCATCTCTTTACTTCCAGGATGAATAGTGGTAATTTATAAAGTATTTCACCATTTACAAAACACTGTTGTGGGTAAGTAGTATCTTAGGACAAGTATTCTATTCAATTAACAGATTCTAATTGAGTATTTGTCACTTTATTCATTTACCAAACAGTATAAGACATTGTCCCTATTTTGAGAAGCTGAAGAAGCTAATAGCCTTATTGAAAATAGAAGATTAACATTCTAACTGTAATTCAATAGATTATGTAGTGTGGTGGAAAGATCATAACCTCAGGGGATAAACTTCTGTGACAGATTCCAGCTCCTCCACCTCCCAGTTGTGAGGCCTTGAACAAATTTCTGGAGTTTGGCCTTTCTGAGCCTCTATTTTCTTCCTCTACAAAACAAGGAAAATATCTTCCTTGTAGGATTATTGAAGTTGGAGGAAAAGCATCTCTTAGCACAGGCTCTGACACACTATCTACTATTGTGGTTATACTAATAAGAGCTACAAGTTAACTTGTATAACCACAATAGTAGATAGTGAAAATGCATATTAAAATAAGCATAAAGCTTTGGAAGACTGAGCAGATAACGCCAGTTGAGTGGTTGGAGATGAGGTAGACTTTTTCACCTACCAGATAGGCAAATATTAAAACCTTTTGATAATACCCATTTTTGTAAAGGTTGTAGGTAAACGGTGCTTACAAATAATCTTGGTGGAATGTAAAAAGTACAACTTATTTTAAAGACAATTTGGCCATGTCTGGCAAAAAAAAGGTACATATCTTTTTTCTTAGCAATTCTTCTAGAAATTTACTGAACTTGTTGGTGTATACAAAATCATGTACAGGGATGGTTTATAATGACATGCATAGAGTACTGGTTAAACAAACTATGGTACCCAATACAAGGAGATTCCAAGTGGCCATTAAAAAGGCTGAAGTAGGTCTATATCTACAGTTAAGAAATGCTCCACAAAATATATTATTAAATGAAACTAGAAAGTTGCAGAACTATGTGTATGGTATGCTTCCATTGTTAAAAACATGTACCAATGGACATGCATATAAAAATCACTGGAAGGACATACAAGATATTATTAACTCTAGTTTAGTCTAAACAGGGCTGGGTATTTAGAATGAGAAGAAAACTGTTTCCATTGTTCATTATTTTATATTATTTGAAGTAGTAGAAACTGTACCTCTTTTTAAAAGTAAATAAATATTATTGAAACAAGTGAATCTATACAACATCTATTATGGGAGGTCAGAGAAAAGAGTGATTAGAGAGGTGATCCGAAGTTTCAAACAGAGTCCATCCAGGGAAAATGAAGCCATACCAGGTAGCCAAATAAAGAGAATTTATTTTGGGGGACTCATTACAAAGATATGGCCATGTTGGAAGGCCTGGGAAACCAAACAGGGTTAGTGAGGCATCCTAGAGATCAGTGACAGCAAAGGCTATTACCAGAGCACAGAAGGTAGAGTTGGCCGCAAAGGAGGGAAGTCACTCCTCAGAGATGCCACTCTTCGGAGATGTCTTCTGGATCTCACGTCTTAATGGATGAACCTGTCTGGAAGCCAGTTAACAAGAATGCCTGGGAATGGAGTTTGCAGGGACGAGCTCCCTGCATATGGAGCAGAACAGAAGAAAGGTGGCAATGAATCAAGAGCAAAAGGTAAATGACTGGCATGTTCTGTGATGCTTGGTAGTCCTCTACAAAGGTGAAAATGGAATGGAGCTTTCAACAGTGGAGGATGTTTAGAGTAAGTTAAAAGGAGATGAGGGTGCCGGAAATGAAGACGAGCATGAAGCTTTAAGAGTTGAGGAAGCAATCCCAGATGGAATAGTTGGAGATGAGATTGGTTTAGGAAGGTGGATCCGCATCGAGTGTGGTTTTGTAAACCACGAATTTATGGAGAATCATAATGAAGTAGTAGTGTTTTAGGCTAACTAGCCAGGCATCTACGCAGAGGACAGGTTGAAAGGGGCTAAAATTGGAGTTGGGGATGTCTTTAGAAAGGCACTTCCTAACAATTGAGCACTTCCGAACAATTGTACCCAATTAATATTGGATATAGAAAGCCTGAATAAAATCAATCTGATCTAATGTGTTTTATTTCTCTTTTAAAATTTGGAAGCAGAAGAAACTTCATGCTAACAGAGCATTATATTTCCCAAAAATAAATCCATATCTTCTTTTTATTTTCTAAAGTAATTTTTCTTTGATAAGTCACAGGAATATGGGCTGTGCTAAACTAATTCATAGCAAAGAAAAAAAAAGTTTGGAGGCTACATTCTGGATAATCGTGGTCAAAACATTTCCCTTGAACTATTCTAATAATTTAGTGTGAGGTCAGTGTCTTTCTGAATTAGTCATATAATATCTTCAGTTTTTCACTTTATTTTGTAAGAAACAGTTCTAGCTTCCAGACCCGGGGTCCTACCTGGGTTTCTTTATTGAGATCATCTTTGTTTTGTCTGCCTCACACCCTGTCTTCTTTTGAGGATCCCACCTTCTGTCTTGGGTGATAACTGTTTGTGGTCTCAGTTCTCTGCTCCTATGGCCACATGTGTGAGCCCACACTCACACCAATTACAGTCCCTTCCTCAGATATTTTTGAGCTGGAGCTGGGGTGAAGATGTGGTTTTTCAGTGTGCAATGAGACTCAATTTCACCCATGTTGTTTACCATGGATCAGAGAGAATGAAACTCACATGTTAAAAGAGGCAGCGGAAAAAAGCAAAAACAAAAGGCCTTGTCCCTGGTTCCAGTTGTTGGTAGGACCTGGCTGCATCTCTGCTCTTACCACAGTTATGTGAACCAATACTTTCCCCTTTTTGAGCAAGATGATTTGAATTGGGTTTCTGTCACTTGAAATCATAAGAACCTTGTCATGTATAACCTTGCAAGTATATACAAACTTTTGGGGATAGTGGGTCCATAGCTTTCTTCAAGTTCTTACAGGGGCCAGGAACCCAAGGCAGGTTAAGATTTTTTCTTCTAGACATTCTGGTGGGCTGTTAGCTTTTTTTGTGGTCCTTAAGCTCTGTAGACCTAAAATAAAATCCTAAGTCCCCATTGATTGAACGAATCCCTCTTTTTGCCAAGAAGACACCAAAAGAACCTTAAAAATTGACTTTCTAGCCATAATGGGACTGGAGGTCAGATGTGTCTTGTTATACCCCCTCTCTTTTGCAGACAGAACAACTGACCAGCATTATTATTAACGCAGAGATCATAAGACTGACAGAACAGACTTTTTGTGGTAATGTAGCAAATTACAAATGTGACCTAAGGCCCCAGCAGGCAAGGGTTAAGTCCTGCACCCCTACACTTAAAGAATAAACTATGTTCTAACTGATACAAGGTTTTTCTTTTTCTCTAAAAGCTAAATAAGTGCTGGCCCTGAGATAAGCCATATTAAAACAATTCGCAGCTCCATCAGATGCTGATTGACTCCCAGGCCCTGTTCAACCAGCCATAACTGTAGCTTTCATTGGACAAGAGGCTGATTTCCATCACTTTCTGCAGATGAGAAGACCACTGACCATGGACTGGTTCTGGTCGGTTTACAGATTGCGCACTTGCGTGCCTTCATGTCCTGAAAAGACCTTTTGACATACAAGGCCTAATTGTAATACATTTAAATGTTAAGTCTCCGCTCTAGAGCAAACATGGGCCGTATGTTACATGCATGCTTGTTCAATATGCAAGTGTCAGGACTATGAATATTCATGATACTCATAGCTCCTCCCATAATCTGTTGAATATGTATGTTTAACCAACCTCTTCAGCACAAAGATCCCATCCCAACCCCTCCTCCTTTGAAGTGCCAGACTGTGGGCTCTTTGCCAAAGACTCGCTTCCCAGCCTATGGGATGGCCACCTTGCAGGCTGTAACCCTTTATAAGAAATAAAGTCTATTTCTCTCCTTTTCTACTGGAGTTTCATTCTTGTTGCCCAGGCTGGAGTGCAATGGTGCTATCTCGGCTCACTGCAACCTCCACCTTCCGGGTTCAAGTTATTCTTCTGCCTCAGCCTCCCGAGTAGCAGGGATTATGGGCGCCTGCCACCACGCCTGGCTAATTTTTTGTATTTTTAGGAGAGACAGGGTTTCGCCATATTGGCCAGTCTGGTCTCCAACTCCTGACCTCAGGTGATCCACTCGCCTCAGCCTCCCAAAGTGCTGGGATTACAGGCTTGTTTTTTCTTTTTTTCTTTCTTTCTTTTAATTAACACTACTAACCTATGATATGCACCAAATCCAGAGATCATCATTTCTGGTGGATCTTAGAGACTGTTCTGGAAGGGGCCTTTTCCTGGAAGAAAGAGCTTTAAGAAGTGTGAAGAGGTCTCTGTTGGCAGGCAATGATGGTGGATGGATTGTATGAAAGGTTCTCATTACCACAAATAGTCTGTTTTGCTAGTATTATGATCTCTATGTTAACATTAGTGCTGGTTAGTTGTTCCATCTGCAGAAGAAAGGGGGTATAACAAGACACATCTGACCTCCAGTCCCATGATGGCTGGAAAGTCAATTTTTAAGGTTCTTCTGGGAACACTGGGAATCCACTAAAGCATGGATTCTGGAATTAGCCTGTTTGGATTTGAATCCCAGCTCTTCCTCCAGCTGACTTTGTAACCTTAGATGAGTTACTTAACTTCTCTGTGCTTTAGTTCTCCCATCTGCAAAACAGAGAAGCATATAACCATCAGCTATACCAGATTGCCCTCTTGCCAGCTAAAAAACAGAAAGACCAAGGCTCTTTCCCAATAGTTCCAGTGAAAGACCCAGAAATTAGTTTGATTGGCCAGCCATGGATCATGTGCCCATTCATGAGCCAATCAGAAGGATGGGACACTCTGATTGGTTAGCTCTGAGTCGTGTGACCATCTGTGGAATTCGGAGAGGGGCTCATTATAAGCTGCATAATTTGAAAATGGAGAAGGTACTGTTCTCCGAAGGACATCAGGCATCTGTGAGCAGCATCAAAGAAAATGGACATTGGGCAGACACAAACAGTGGTTATTTACTAATGGCTCCACTGTGGTGACTGTAAGCCTCCTGAGGTTGGGGACCACAATCTTCAGCTTTTCTGAGCAGTCTTAGGCTCTGTGAGCCTGCAGTAAACACTCAGTAAATGACTTTTGCTTCATCCTGGCTAGTCCCAAGCCTAGTTCACATTGAAAACTTCTTGACTGTAAATGCTATGATTCTATCTTACTTTTTAGGCAGAAAAGGCTGGAGCAATACTTATGGCCAGAAATATAACATACACACTTTAAACATCCCTTTTCTGACTTAGCTCAAAGTTGCAAATGGCATTTCAATAGCCTCAGACGGAGCAGCACACCTCGAAAATGTCTTTGGAAACTCTCAGTTGGGGATAAGGGTCTTTAAAACATACGAGGGATCACCATGCCCAGTGGTATTACTTTAAATGTGCTCTCACGTGGACACCATGGAGACCTCTGACCTGCCTCTGGAGTCTGGTGAGTGCTAAGTGTCTCTGGGGATGTTTGTGGGGACCCTGCTGCAGCAGATTTATGGCCTTGACCGGCCTTGGATGGAGGCCTCCCAGGATGCAATTGGTGGTTCTCCTCAGCTAATATGCTGTGGGGATGAAGTGTTTGCCTGCCTGTAAATCTGCTCAGCCCAAATGCCGAGACAGTTCTTTAAAGGCAAGGATAATCTGACCAATATAAAAACGCAGATGGTGCCCGCCTTGTTAAATGTCACAAAACAAGGGAATTATGATAATAACAAGAACGAGGAGAAAATCTCCCTTTGTCTTCTTGCCAGCAGCTCAGAGGCCGTTCCAACGGGGAAGTGCTGCTGGGCAGGCTCAGGAAGGGGGATTAGAGACCAGATGCCTCCGATCCCACCGTGAGTGGTGAATTTGGGGTAACCACCCTTTAGAAGGTTTTGGTCTCCTTTGGAAAGTACAAGAATACCATTGGGGAAAAAAAGCACATTTTAAGATCCTAGCAGGTCATCTTTTGTTGGAATAAAGAGAGACAGAGAGAGAGGAAGGAAAGGAAAAGGAAAAGGAGAGAGAGAGAGAGAGATTGAGAGAGAGAGAGAGAGAAAATGTGTGTACTGTGCCTGGCACTATGCAGATGACGACCTCATCATCTCCTGTTGCTAGTAAGGAAGATGTGGAGAAGGCGGTACCTCCTGGAGAAGGCTTGTCACCATGAAGGAGTGGGAGCTAATCAGTGCATAAATGGCTTTGAAATACAGGGACAGCTGGTGGAGGAAGAGGAAGTGAAGGAGACTGTTGGGGCCAAGGAAAAACTTCATCCTCTAAAGTTTTGCTGAAAAATCACTGATAAGAAGCAGGTTAATAGGAGAAAAGGCATACGAATGTACTTGATCATACTTTTATGTGACACAGGAGCCTTCAGAATGATGACCCAAAGATACAGGGGAAATTGTTCATTTTTATGATTAGGTTCTACAAAGTACTAACAACCATGTGAAAATACAATTGGACAAAGATGGCCTGATCTAACACCAGTAGACTGAGCAGGGAAGCCCAGCAAGGCTTGTCTGTTTGTATTCTTCTTGCCTTTCTGAGCAGCATTCCATCCTTCTGGGTACGGACCTACTTTGTTTGACTGTAGGTCAAATCATTTCATTATGGCCAGCTTTTCTTTTTTTCCTTTGAGACAGAGTCTTGCTCTGTTGCCCAGGCTGGAGTGCAGGGGCGCAATCTCGGCTCACTGCAACCTCTGCCTCCCAGGTTCAAGTGATTCTCCTGCCTCAGCCTCCTAAGTAGTTGGGATTACAGACGTGCACCACCACACCCAGCTACTTTTTGTATTTTGTAGAGATGGGGTTTCTCCATGTTGGCCAGGCTGGTCTCGAACTCCTGACCTCAGGTTATCTGCCCACCTCGGCCTCCCAAAGTGCTGGGATTACAGGCGTGAGCCACTGTGCCAGCCAGCCTTTTTTTTTTTTTTTCCCACAGAAAAGGCCAAAGGAAAGTTAGAGTAATAGTTTAATATTATTTTAATATTTTTTGGCTGGCTTCGGGGAAAAGGGGTTCTGGTTTCTATGACTTGCCTTGGGGAAGAGGAATTCTAGTTTCTATGGGTAGCCTTGGGAGAAAATGGGACTGAGAGACAGGAAGGTAGGAGAATGAGAAAAACTTTTGCTTCTGAGGCTTTCATTTTGGGATATTGTTTTCTGAGTCCCAGCAGCATGATAATGAATGCCTTCTGTTACATCCTCCCAGCACCATTGATGTTTCTGCTGGAAACTTCTTCAGCTCCTCCCTTTACCCAGATTGTTCCCATGGGATCGGTCATTATCTTCTATGCCCCTCCCCTAGCCATAGTTGTTTGGCCAGAGGTGGGCACCTGACTTAAGCTGGGCCAATGATAGCATCCCTACCATCCTGGTCATGGCTGATTGATCCAGGCATGCATTTCTGATCCACTTGACTCAGTAAGCCCCTTCCCTAGGAATTTATATTGGAACCAAAGAATCTGGCAATCCAGTGTCTCTCTGGTGGATGAAGTTAATATGAAACTGCTGGCAGGCACATTCTCTGCCTTGTAGAGAAAGCCTGTCTGCAGAGGGAAGGAGGTGGAGCTGATGTGTGGAAAGAAGCAGGGGCACAGGATGAGGCAGGAGTTTGATGGCATTTAAGGCCTGGGCTCCATTAGTTCCTGAGGCCTGTCACTGCCTGTCTTGTGGCTGACCGCTCAACCAATCCTTGGATTCTCTTAAACCTTTATTGCTTTCGCAGTTTCCAGTGCTTGTTACTTATGACTCAAGGAGCCCTAACAGCACAGGCACTTAACATGATGATCCTAAGACAGAAAGTAGAGGGTGGATGCCAGGGGTTAGAGAAGGGGGAATGGGGAATTGCTGTTTAATGGGGACGGAATTTCAGTTTTGCAAGAAGAGCTCTGGAGATTGGTTGCACAGCAGTGTGAATGCACCTAACACCACAGAACTGTACACTTACAAATGGTTAAGAAGGTACATTTTATGTTATGTGTATTTTACCCCAATACTTTAAAAATGCTCCCGAGAAGAACAAAACAAAAGCACCTCTCTCCCAAATCTCTGAATCAAGGGTCAGCTTTGCTGCTAGTTCACCGCCAATTATTTTCTTGACATCAGCTCTGTGTCTGAGCCTGACATCAGCTTTGGGTCTAACTCCAATCTGACTCTCCCCTGCCCTTGTAGATTCCATTGTTAGTTGTCCCTGCCTTGTGTGACCTCATTTTAATAGCGTGGAGTCTCTTAGGCCAAGCTGTAACAAGTAACCCAGAAAATAAATTGGATCCATCAGAACCAGACTCATTCAGTTCCCTCCAAAGTCATGTATAAATAATGTGGGGTCCTCAGCTCCACTGCCAACCAGCTCAGATAGCTAGCAGGTGCCTGAGCAGATGCACATGTGTGGGAGGGAAGTCTTTGGTCTGGATATGAGTCCCACTAAGAGCAAGAGAAAGGCTTTAATCACAGCTCAATTTTAACATCCTTTTGTGTAGCTGAAATTGGGGGGAGTGGCTTCTAATGAACACAATCTGGTCCTGATCCATGCAATGCATTCTCCCCCAGCGGCAGACTCCTCAGCAAGTTGGCTGCATGAAGATGATGAGGGCGATAGGACAGCACATCTTCCTGCTTTGGGGAGCTTTTCACCAAGAGCTGAGCCAGAGGCAAAGCAATGAACAAAGGCAGGATTTCAATAAGGAAAACTCAAGAGCTGAATTGTGTTGGAAAGACCTTGCAAAACCAAATGCCTAGCTTTGTCCTCCAGACCTCAAAATATTTTGAATTTGTGTATAATATTCTTATCCACAAACTGACAAATCCTTTGCTTTTCCAAATATGCTATTAAAAATATACAAATCTTCAAAATTCATTCAAAGGGAATTGACTTGTAGAGGTGAAAATCCCCCAAAAGAGGTGGATAGAAAGAGATTTTTATAACATATTGTGGGGAAGGGAGTTTGAGTTTTAAAAGACATGGAAAAGCAATGGGGAGGAGGGCATGAGACCAGCCTGCTGAAACATATTTCTTTTTCTAAGCTAAATGCAGAAGGCGTTTTAAAGTGCAAAGTGTAAATTTTTAAAAGTCCTTTGGCTTTAAATATATGCATGTGGGTATCTGTGAGAATGCCCTGACAAGCCAGCTCCTCTGCCTGTGCCTCACATTCGCATTCTGGGCAGCAGCAAAATGATTTGATTTTACCCAATAAGAGAAGCTACTAATAAAAACAGAATTGAAATAAATCACCAGCATGAGAATGCTGGCTGCTGGACTTTGAAGGAAGGCAAGATTCATGAAACTGTGCAGCATGAAAAAAAAATTACAGGCTGGGCACGGTGGCTCACACCTGTAATCCTAGTACTTTGGGAAGTCAAGGCGGGTTGTTTGCATGAGCTCAGGAGTTTGAGACCAGCCTGGGCAACACAGTGCAACCCCATCTCTACTAAAATACAAAAAACGAGCCAGGTATGGCAGCATGCGCCTGTAATCCCAGCTACTCAGGAGGCTGAGACAGGAGAATTGCTTGAACCCGGGAGGCAGAGGTTGCGGTGAGCTGAGATCGCGCCACTGCAGTCCAGCCTCGGTAACAGAGAAGAATTTTATCTCAAAAAAAAAAAAAAAATTACAATAGTTCCCTTCTGAACATCTTGATTGGAAGGCTATGGTAAAACTACCAGCTCTCTCTGCTGGAGCCAACTGTCTGCTGAGTGTCAACTGTGCTTGCCACTTGGTGTTGCTTGGGTCCAGATGAGCCCCTACTCTACTCTCGCTTTTCGTATCTTTTTCTTCTATTTCAAAAGACACACACAGGCACTGGAGTTTATCTGTAACTACCTCCAAGAAAATGTGATTCACCTTTGCAAGATGGCCAATAGCCCTGAAAGAAGTTGTTTAAGGCTCAGAAAAATTGACAGAAATATATATTCTATATTTACAAACTCTTTAGAAATGGACTTGGACAAAGTTATGGAATAGACAAAGTCAAATCCCATTGGCGTCACCCTGCCATGATCACCTTGGTGTACTTTCCTGCAGCTCACTCTGGCACCCTGTGAGCTATGGACCTCCTAAACCTCTTTTCCATTCTGCAGATCCCTCTCCTTTCTAGGGAATACAAGGTGATAATGGTTTAATCGCCAGATAATGAACCTCACTTCGTTGCCTTTCAAAGGAAGAAATCTCTAATTTAGTTAGAACATGCATTTTTTGAAAGTTCTTGCAGTCCAGTTGGCCATATTGGTAAGTATTTAAAACACAGCAGGAATCCTGTGAGAGGGAGTTGGAGGCAGTTGGGTGTCATGGCACCATCTCTGTCTGTGGGCTGCTGCTGGGTCTCAATCTTGGTATTTGACTAACTTCTTTTTCTCCAGAATATACCAGTCTACTTTTTTGCTCATGGGTTTGCTGTAAACAAAAGTAACCACTTGATATTTAAATAAGGCAATCATTATTACTATATTAGTCTGTTATTGCATTGCTATAAAGAAATACCTGAGACTGGGTAATGTATACGAAAAAGGTTTAATGGCTTACAGTTCCACAGGCTGTATAAGAAGCATGATGCTGGCATCTGCTTGGCTTTTGGGGAGGCCTCAGGAAGCTTACAGTCATTGTGGAAGGCGAAAGGGGAGCAAGCATGAGTTACATGGCAGGAGCAGGAGCAAGAGAAAAAGAGGGAGGAGGTGCCACACACTTTTAAACAACCAGATCCCAGGAGAGCTCACACACTATCATGAGAACAACATCAAAGACATGGTGCTAAACCATTCATGAGAAATCCACCCCCATGACCCAATCACTACCCATTAGGCCCCACCTCCAAACATTGGAGATTACAAATTGACATGAGATTTGATGGGGACACAGTTCCAAACCATGTCAACTAACTTTAACCAAAATGACAGTACTGCAGCAAAACTAGTGTGCCCACCAACCAAGATGGTGCCCAGCTTGTGGGGGTCTCACTGCCCTCTTCCCACTTTACATTTCCTAATGTTACCTGTGTGGCTCAGGTGTGTGTGGAGCCAGCCTACCGAATGCGGCTGGGGAAAAGGCATTCTGGCCCTGTCATTTTGAAGTGAAAGAGACAAACAGATCTGTATCACAAGCCCTGACAATTCTAACCTTTTTAGGGAGTTTGATTTTATATGACAAACTGTAAAGCTGTCATCCAGAATGAGCCCTGATTGTTCATTCATTGGTCAGGTTAAGCGTGTGCGATGGTGGTTCTTTCAATCACTAGTCACAAGAAAGAGTCAGCTCTTGTTTGGTTTTCAGGTAGGTAGGAAGGTCCAGGATTGCACCAAGCACACACACTCACCCACATATGCACACACACAAGCATGGACACACAGACACACTTGATGGGATCGATGCGATTGGCAGCTGCTGTTGCTACAGTATTTGGTATAACAAAAAGATTTGGAGAAGAGCAGATTGTTAAATTTAACAAATAAAAAAAACAACCAAAGAAGTTACTCAGTGAATTACATATCTGCTGTACATAAGATACTTTCCCAGTATTTCTCTGAACCAAGATCCAGGTCTACTTCCTTCGGTTAAACAGGCAGAATGCGTGTGCTAACTTAGGCCCTGAGGGGCATCACATGCCGGGCTTGTGTGTGTGCGTTATACATGAGTCCTAAGCCTTCTAAACAGACTTCATGGGCTACTAGAAGAAAATAAAGTGCATTTTAGGTAAATGCCATCAAGTGTGTTTGTGTGTGCATGCTTGTGTGTGTGCATATGTGTGGTTTTATGTTGGGAAGACTATAGAAACTGATCAAGGCCAGGCATGGTGGCTCACGCCTATAATCCCAGCAGTTTGGGAGGCCCAGGTGGGAGGATTGCTTGAGCCCAGAAGTTTGAAACCAGCCTTGGCAACAAAGCGAGACCCCATCTCTACAAATAACTAAAATTAGCTGGTCATACTGGCACATGCCTGTGGTCTCAGCTACACATGAAGCTGAGGCAGAAGGACCACTTGAGCCCAAGAGGTCAAGGCTGTAATGAGTCATATTTGTGCCACTGCACTCCAGCTTGGGCAACAGAGCAAGATCCTGTCAAAAAATAATAATAACAACCAGCAACAACAACAAAAAAAACCTGATGCAAAGCAGATTGATGGCAACATGGAGATGTCCTGTTCCCTGGCAATGCTGAGTCACTCACCTACCATTCCCCAAAAGGCGCCATGCCGTTCCACACTCCTCTGTTTTTGCAGTCATGTCTGGACTACCCGGAATGTCCTCTCCTGTTCATCATTCACGGCTCAGCTCAGGCATCCCTTTCGAAGCTGTCCCTGACTGTATCAGGCAGTTAACCATGTCCTTCTTGGCGTTCACTGTACCTTGTATCCTTCTCTGATAGAATGTCAACCTTTGTAACCAGTATCTATTTATTGTTTTCTCTCCTTTGCTGGGTCAGTGAGAGCAGGGAGTATGCCAGACAAGAGAGCTTCCTGCGGCCACAAGCCTGCACTGTGTGGGGCATGAAGGCACTCAGCTGTGGGGAAAACATTAATGCAGGATGGCTACTGCACCCCAGGCACCCATCTATGGAATGCCATTTGTGTGCATTGAGCATTTGACTGTAATATAACAAGTGACCATGATCTTTCTGGCCTTCTTAGGAGAATTTCTGAGGGCTTCACAGCAAAATCTCAAAACAAGGGAGAGAATCTGTTTACTTCCAATTTCATTTGAAGGATATTCTGATGTTCCAGAAGTTTTTTTATTTTTATTTTTGAAAATGAAAGACTCCATTCCAGGTATGATTGATTTTCTTGATGCCATTTGCTTATGAGACAGAAAATTTTAATTTTGCAGCTCATCTTGGTTCTTGCCATACCTCCATTTACTCGTCTGGCTAATGTTTATTGGGCATCTGAACTTCAACTCCTAAATTATTTCATGCACTTGAACATGACACCAAAATCTTTAATCAGACAATGTGTTGTAATGTGGGATTTAGAAATTTTGGAAATAAGGTCACTATATTAACCATATGTGGTAACCCTTGTCCTCAGCTTAATTTTTTCTCTAAGAAGCCCTGGGACTCCACTCATAGAGTGACGAGCAAGCTGTAGGCTCTGTCCTCTCCATGCAGTGAGAAAGGCAAATATGGTGGGCTCTGACAAAGAAAAAGGAAGCAGGCAACAGTCACTGAGTGTTTATTACATGCTTGACATAAGGAAGACAAGAAGAAAGCAAAGTAACCCTGACTGGAGGGAGATAGGTACAAACAACAAAAGACAGCTCACTCCCTCTCAAGCATCTCCAAAACTCCTTCTAGAGGATCGGGGCTGAGGAAGCCCCTGAAAATGTAGATTAAAAGATTCAGTCCCTGTCCTCAAAGGGCTGAAGGTCTAAGGGCCATATACACATAACTCACCACCAAACAGTGCCATAGGCTGTGGCCATGGCGATTAGGAATTGCCCAGTGAAGCAAATCCTGAGCCCACTGGAGGTCAGGGTAGACTTTCAGAAGGGATGATGGGAGGAACTGGGGCAATTAACTGCTATTGACACATAACAGTCTAATTATATTGAGGTCTGACATCAAAATAAATAGAATCAATAGCAAGTTGGAAAAAGGGAGGAGTTTGAAGATTTACCACCCCTATTCATTTCTATGTTACATCTCAAACCAAAATGGCTCTGAATGGAAACATAGCAACATAAAGGATTTTCTTTGTTGCCTTCTTTCCTATTCGCTTACTCATTCATTCAACAAACTGTTTTGAAGTCCTAGTTTCCAGGCAGCATTCTAAGTACTAAGGATATAGAGGTGCACAAGATGACATCGCTGCTTTCAAGGGGATTAATTAAAATTTTATTTTATTTTATTTTTTGAGATAAGGTGTTGTTCTGTCACCCAGGCTGGAGTGCAGTGGTGTAATCATAGCTCACTGCAGGCTTGAACTCCTGGGCTCAAGCCATCCTCCCACCTCAACCTCCTGAATAGCTGGGATTATGGGCATGTGCCATCACACTCAGCTAATTTTTTATTTTTATTTTTTTACCAGGGGCAGGGTCTCATTGTGTTGCCCAGATTGGTTTCAAACTCAAGTGATCCTCCTGCCTTGGCCTCCCAAAGTGTTAGGATTACAGGGGTGAGCAACTGCATCTGGCCTCAAGGAGCTTTTATTACAATAGGGAAGCAAATAAATAAGATTACACCAGATTCCTAAAATTTATACCTGATGAAGGCATAAAGTGATTAGGAGGAGCTTCTTAACACATTCTGATCAGGGAAGTCCCCTGGAAAAGGTGATTTCTGAGCAGAGACCTAAAAGATAAAGACTGAGCCATATGAAGAGTTGGTGGGTAGAGGAGAAGAGAATCTTCTAGGCTGATAGAGTTGAGAAGTCTCCATTGAACAAATGTTCCTCCAGGCCTCAATCCACTTAGGGCCTGCTTGTTAAAAGGATTTGACCATTGGTCTGGACATGCTGGGTTATGATACAATAACAGCAACTCCAAATCTCAGTGGTTTATAATGAGGGGGGGTTGCATTGCATTCATGGCTCTTGGAAGAGCAGAGGTGAGGTGTGTGTGGGGGTGGGCTTTGCTTCAGGTGTCCTCACCCCAGAACCCAGGCTGATGGAGCAGCTGGATCTTGTGGCAGAGTTAATAAAAGAAAGAGAAAACATGATCAGCCACACACATCAGCTGGTGTCAGCTCTTACAACTTCCATCTAGAAGAGATCATAGACATTCCCTTGGCTGACGAGTGCTACCTGTGTACCCCTAACTGCAAGGGGGGAGTGAAGTACAATCCTACATCGTACCAGGAGAATGGAAAATTTTAGTGAGCAGTGCTAATGACTAGCTCATATGCGAAAGGTGAAGAATTTGCTTCTCCCTTAGCTGGTACATGAAATCAAGAATTTCAGATTTGGAAGTTTGGTCACAGCCTGAGCTCTCTGCACAAAGGAAGAAAATTGGCTCTTGCTGATAATGTATGTGTCTTAGTCTGTTGGGGCTTTGTATTCGTTCGTTTTCACTTTGCTATAAAGAACTACCTGCAACTGGGTAACTTATAAGTAAAAGAGATTTAATTGACTCACAGTTCTGCATGGCTGGGGAGGTCTCAGGAAACTTCCAATCATGGCAGAAGGCAAAGGAGAAGCAAGGCATGTCTTACATGCTGGTAGGAGAGAGGGAGAGAGAGAAGGGGGATGCACTGTACACTTATCCAACAACCAGTTCTCATGAGAACTCTATCAGGAGAACAGCAAGGGGGAAATCCTCCTCCATAACTCAATCACCTCCCATCAGGCCACTTCTCCAACAGGTGGGGATTAAAATTCAACATGATGTTTGGGTGAGGACACAGAGCCAAACCATACCAAGCTTCCATAACAAAATAGAATAGAATAGACAGAGTGGCTGGAAGGACAGGAATTTATTTCTTATAGTTCTGGAGGCTGGGAAGTCCAAGATCAAGGTTCTGACACATCCCATGCTTGGCAAGGGCCTGCTTCCTGGCTTGTAGATGGCAGCCTTCTTGCTGTGTACTTGTGAAGGGAGAGCTCTTGTGTCTTCTTTTCTTATAAGATAAACTTATGTCATCATGAGGGCACCACCCTCATGGACTTATCATTACCTAATAACCTCCCAAAGGCCCTGCCTCCAAACACCATTACCCTGGGGTTTCTGCACCAACATATGAATTTAGGAGTGAGGCACGAATGTTCAATCTCCAGTAGTCCCTCCTATCATGTGGCCTTTCAGAGCCGGCTTTATTTCTGAACACTCTAATCACCCTGCAGTGGAGGAACGGTAGACAATAAGATCTCCAAAGATTCTGCCAACCAAATAAATGTACCTTAATTTCCATTACTTTAGGACCCTAGGAGCCACAGCAGGAGACAGGTCCCAGGAGCCAAAGTAACTATAAAATTGTCTGGAAGTTCAAAGAAACAAAGGATCAATGAGGGATGAAGTAAATTCACACTGAGGGATGGCTTGTCCCGAGCCTGGAGGAAGTGTTGGTTGGATGAGCGGAGAGAGACAAACTTGGTATTACAGATCACGCAGCTGCTGTGCTTCCTCAGCAATAAAACCACAAAAGAGACATGCTTAATCTCCCTGAATCTCAGTTCCCTAAAGCACATGCCTGAAAATGCTCAGAGACCCATCAAGAAAAGCTACTGGGCTCCTATGTACCTGGACTGGGGCCACAAAAAACCCTCAGAAGGCAATCGAGAAATCAGGACTTTGATTTTTAATGACGGTGGGAAAACGCCAGGAGAAGGATGGGCAGAAAAAGAAAGATGAAAGATTTTAAGCATCTCTGATGAAAGAGCCTGAGTGAGGTGCATGTGAAAAGAGGTGGATGAGAGACACAGAAAGCAAAAGTAATGAGGCAGTGCCAGTGGAGGTGGGGAAGAGAGCAGGCATCAAAAGAGGAGGGTGTCCTGTGAAGTGCAAAGGTGGGGAAGTGCGTGCCAGAGACCAGCTATGCAGGGCTCCCACTGGCTGGCTGCTCCCTCCTTGGAGAGAGGAGAGATTGGCTCATCTCTATGACTTGTACGGCTCGGGCCTCTGAGTGGGCAGAAGGGATAGGTGCAGGATTTGGCTAATGACTGTCTGGTCTTCACCATTTCTCTGTATATTCTGGAGAGCAAGGGTTAAGGAGAGCTGCTTTATTTTGCCTACCCAGGATCCATTTCTTCCTCCTCTGCTCACAGCAGATTTCCATCTGGGAGCCCCGCTTACCAATGCTTTGCTTCCTTCCACCATTACTCCAAAGCTGGGCACATTACCCAGGTTTTGCCCATGAGATACAGGATCAACTAAGTGGTTGGCTTGGGAGTTGACATGGGACCCAAACTGGACCAATCATGCCAACATCATCAACTCCAAGACTTGGCTAGAATGATGGAAGATAGGTCCTCTTTTTCTCCTGTGGCTAAGCTAAGTAGGATGTCATTCTGAAGCTCCTACTGCGTGGGGAGAGTGTGAGAATGCAACAATAGGAGGAACCTAGGCTGGGCTTAGCTTGGGGGGCAGGGGGCGGGGTTGAGGGCCTGGATTCAGCAGCGCTTGAGGCTGGACATATCCTTGGGCATCTCCGAATTATGGATCCCCACATTCCTGTTGTTCCTCAAGAATGCCTGAGCTGGATTTCTGTCACTGAAAGCGTCTTAATACAGTTTCCACCTCTTCCGGTGGCAAGCTCACTCTCTGCCCAGGTTTCTTTGAGTATACTAGTTTGATTTCTTCCCGTGGCCACTGCCCAAATCCAGGGCCTTGATGTGTGGTTTGAATCCTAGCTCTTCTATTTCCTAAATGTAAGGCTTTGAGTAAGTTACTCAAACTCTCTGTTTCCTCATCTGTAAAATGGGGACAGCACTATCTCATCAGGTTGTCTGGGAAACTAAATGAGCCCATTGATGTCAATTGCTTAGAAATGTGTCTAGCACATAGTAAGCACTCAAATAAGCATTAGCTAGCTGGTGCCATGTCTTATCCTGCATGCCGACCCAGGAGGAGATGCAAAACAGTTGCCACCGCCAAATGGTCTCCCCCGCTGAGCCTGCACTTAGAATGCTGGGTTGACACAAACTTGGCTTTCCTCCCACACCTCCTGTTACTTTTAAAGCATGCAAAGGGCAAAGTGAGTAAGCGTTGATATGTGGGCCAGGATCCCAGGGTGCAGCCAGCCATGGCCCCAGGGAGGTGGGGGGGGGGATCTGCCCTGCCTTTCTGGCAGCAGGAAAGGCGTGGGCTCTGAAGGGGCACCACAGCCTGCAGGGCAGAGGCTGTCAGTCAACGGGAAGAGTTTTCCGAGGCTGGGCATTGAGCAGCTTCAAAGAGGACAGAACATAAGTACCTTTATTCTTTGAAACTTCTCTGAGATGCCTGGAGCCATATTCAAAAGTTATTTGTGGGTCTATTGGCTGCATAGTAATTGACTTACGCACCCCTGAGAATTCAGTCTCACTATGGTTTTCCGCCTCTTTATCTTAATTTTTGAAATCTTAAATTGTCCTTATAAAAAAAAAAAAAAAGACAGGCTGGGCGTGGTGGGTCATGCCTGTAATCCCAGCACTTTGGGAGGCCAAGGCAAGTAGATTGCTTGAGCCCAGGAATTCAAGACCAGCTTGGGCAACATGGTGAAACCCCATCTCTACTAAAAATATGAAAATAACTAGCTGGGCATGGTGGTGTACTCCTGTAGTCCCAGCTACTTGGGAGGCTGAGGCGAAAGGATCACCTGAGCCTAGGAGGTCGAGGCTGCAGTGAGCCAAGATCACGCCAATGCACTCCAACTTGGGTGACAGAGCAAGGCCCTGTTTCAAAAAAAAAAAAAGACAAAAGGCAAACTTTTGGGGGAGAATAAGTTAAGAAACTCTGTTGTCTCAAACAGTCTACTTGCTGGGACTATTCCTGCAGTAATGAGACCATTTCTCTTTGACATATGTCAGGGTAGCCCTCCAAATGCCCAGGATTCATTTCAATTCCCCTCATGTCAGAACACATGAGTCCTTTCTTTATGGACCCTCCACTCGCCCTGTTACCATAGAAACCACTGCCTGTGTCAGCACCTTGGAGAGGGTAGGAAGGAGGCATGAGCCGCCGTCATAGCAACACGCATCTCCACAGCAGCAGCCCACGCTCCGTGCCATCTTGTCTCCGAAGAGGAGGAATGGTTGTTGGGGATACCCGAATACTTTCCCCAGTCTGAGAAGAGAGAGCTCAATAACTTGACCCTTGCCAGTAATTCTGGCAGCTCTGCCTGGGATGGAAGAATCAGAAAGTTCATTTTCAAAGTGTTAAGATGACCATATAGGCCAGAATGCATCGGAAGCCATAAGACCAGCAAGGCCACCTGTCATTGTTGAAAGGGTTCAGGTGTTCATACTGATGTTTATGCTAACATTGTTCTCACATGACTAATACAGCATTGCAGTTAAGAGCATAAGCCCAGGAACCTGACTCCCTGGATTGGAATTCTGGCTTTGCCACTAACTGGCTGTGTCACTGTATGAGTCCATTCTCACATGGCTATAAAGACATACCTGAGACTGGGTGATTTACAAAGAAGTGAGGTTTCTTTCTAAGTTGGCATACAGTTCCATAGGTTGTGCAGGAAGCACGGCAGCATCTTCTTCTGGGGAGCCCTCAGGAAACTTACAATCATGGCGGCAGGCAACGGGGAGCCAGGTGTCTTATATGGTGGAGCAGGAGCAAGGGGCCGGGGGAGGGTGACACACACTTTTAAAACAACCAGATGTCGTGATAACTCACTCTTTCACTATCTTGAGAACAGCAGTGAGGGGATGGTGCTAACCTATTCATGAGAACTCCACCCCCATAAGCCAATCACCTCCCATCAGGGCCAACCTCCAACACTAGGGATTACAATTTGACATGAGATTTGGGTGGGGACACAGATCCAAACCACATCAGTTACCTTGGATAAGTCAACTTTGTGTCTCGATTTTCTTTTTTTTTTTTTTTTTTTCATTATACTTTAAGTTTTAGGGTACATGTGCACATTGTGCAGGTTAGTTACGTATGTATACATGTGCCATGCTGGTGTGCTGCACCCACTAACTCGTCATCTAGCATTAGGTATATCTCCCAATGCTATCCCTCCCCCCTCCCCCCACCTCACCACAGTCCCCAGAGTGTGATATTCCCCTTCCTGTGTCCATGTGATCTCATTGTTCAATTCCCACCTATGAGTGTGAATATGCAGTGTTTGGTTTTTTGTTCTTGCGATAGTTTACTGAGAATGATGATTTCCAATTTCATCCATGTCCCTACAAAGGACATGAACTCATCATTTTTTATGGCTGCATAGTATTCCATGGTGTATATGTGCCACATTTTCTTAATCCAGTCTATCATCGTTGGACATTTGGGTTGGTTCCAAGTCTTTGCTATTGTGAATAATGCCGCAATAAACATACGTGTGCATGTGTCTTTATAGCAGCATGATTTATAGTCATTTGGGTATATACCCAGTAATGAGATGGCTGGGTCAAATGGTATTTCTAGTTCTAGATCCCTGAGGAATCGCCACACTGACTTCCACAATGGTTGAACTAGTTTACACTCCCACCAACAGTGTAAAAGTGTTCCTATTTCTCCACATCCTCTCCAGCACCTGTTGTTTCCTGACTTTTTAATGATTGCCATTCTAACTGGTGTGAGATGGCATCTCATTGTGGTTTTGATTTGCATTTCTCTGATGGCCAGTGATGATGAGCATTTTTTCATGTGTTTTTTGTCTGCATAAATGTCTTCTTTTGAGAAGTGTCTGTTCATGTCCTTCGCTCACTTTTTGATGGGGTTGTTTGTTTTTTTCTTGTAAATTTGTTTGAGTTCATTGTAGATTCTGGATATTAGCCCTTTGTCAGATGAGTAGGTTGCAAAAATTTTCTCCCATTTTGTAGGTTGCCTGTTCACTCTGATGGCGGTTTCTTTTGCTGTGCAGAAGCTCTTTAGTTTAATTAGATCCCATTTGTCAATTTTGTCTTTTGTTGCCATTGCTTTTGGTGTTTTGGACATGAAGTCCTTGCCCATGCCTATGTCCTGAATGGTAATGCCTAGGTTTTCTTCTAGGGTTTTTATGGTTTTAGGACTAACGTTTAAATCTTTAATCCATCTTGAATTGATTTTTGTATAAGGTGTAAGGAAGGGATCCAGTTTCAGCTTTCTAAATATGGCTAGCCAGTTTTCCCAGCACCATTTATTAAATAGGGAATCCTTTCCCCATTGCTTGTTTTTCTCAGTTTTGTCAAAGATCAGATAGTTGTAGGTATGTGGCATTATTTCTGAGGGCTCTGTTCTGTTCCATTGATCTATATCTCTGTTTTGGTACCAGTACCATGCTGTTTTGGTTACTGTAGCCTTGTAGTATAGTTTGAAGTCAGGTAGTGTGATGCCTCCAGCTTTGTTCTTTTGGCTTAGGATCGACTTGGCGATGCGGGCTCTTTTTTGGTTCCATATAAACTTTAAAGTAGTTTTTTCCAATTCTGTGAAGAAAGTCATTGGTAGCTTGATGGGGATGGCATTGAATCTGTAAATTACCTTGGGCAGTATGGCCATTTTCACGATATTGATTCTTCCTACCCATGAGCATGGAATGTTCTTCCATTTGTTTGTATCCTCTTTTATTTCCTTGAGCAGTGGTTTGTAGTTCTCCTTGAAGAGGTCCTTTACATCCCTTGTAAGTTGGATTCCTAGGTATTTTATTCTCTTTGAAGCAATTGTGAATGGGAGTTCACTCATGATTTGGCTCTCTGTCTGTTGTTGGTGTATAAGAATGCTTGTGATTTTTGTACATTGATTTTGTATCCTGAGACTTTGCTGAAGTTGCTTATCAGCTTAAGGAGATTTTGGGCTGAGACAATGGGGTTTTCTAGATATACAATCATGTCGTCTGCAAACAGGGACAATTTGACTTCCTCTTTTCCTAATTGAATACCCTTTATTTCCTTCTCCTGCCTGATTGCCCTGGCCAGAACTTCCAACACTATGTTGAATAGGAGTGGTGAGAGAGGGCATCCCTGTCTTGTGCCAGTTTTCAAAGGGAATGCTTCCAGTTTTTGCCCATTCAGTATGATATTGGCTGTGGGTTTGTCATAGATAGCTCTTATTATTTTGAGATATGTCCCATCAATACCTAATTTATTGAGAGTTTTTAGCATGAAGGGTTGTTGAATTTTGTCAAAGGCTTTTTCTGCATCTATTGAGATAATCATGTGGTTTTTGTCTTTGGCTCTGTTTATATGCTGGATTACATTTATTGATTTGCGTATATTGAACCAGCCTTGCATCCCAGGGATGAAGCCCACTTGATCATGGTTGATAAGCTTTTTGATGTGCTGCTGGATTCAGTTTGCCAGTATTTTATTGAAGATTTTGGCATCAATGTTCATCAAGGATATTGGTCTAAAATTCTCTTTTTTGGTTGTGTCTCTGCCCGGCTTTGGTATCAGAATGATGCTGGCCTCATAAAATGAGTTAGGGAGGATTCCCTCTTTTTCTATTGATTGGAATAGTTTCAGAAGGAATGGTACCAGTTCCTCCTTGTACCTCTGGTAGAATTCGGCTGTGAATCCATCTGGTCCTGGACTCTTTTTGGTTGGTAAACTATTGATTATTGCCACAATTTCAGCTCCTGTTATTGGTCTATTCAGAGATTCAACTTCTTCCTGGCTTAGTCTTGGGAGAGTGTATGTGTCGAGGAATTTATCCATTTCTTCTAGATTTTCTAGTTTATTTGGGTAGAGGTGTTTGTAGTATTCTCTGATGGTAGTTTGTATTTCTGTGGGATCAGTGGTGATATCCCCTTTATCATTTTTTATTGTGGCTATTTGATTCTTCTCTCTTTTTTTCTTTATTAGTCTTGCTAGCGGTCTATCAATTTTGTTGATCCTTTCAAAAAACCAGCTCCTGGATTCATTGATTTTTTGAAGGGTTTTTTGTGTCTCTATTTCCTTCAGTTCTGCTCTGATTTTAGTTATTTCTTGCCTTCTGCTAGCTTTTGAATGTGTTTGCTCTTGCTTTTCTAGTTCTTTTAATTGTGATGTTAGGATGTCAATTCTGGATCTTTCCTGCTTTCTCTTGTGGGCATTTAGTGCTATAAATTTCCCTCTACACACTGCTTTGAATGCGTCCCAGAGATTCTGGTATGTTGTGTCTTTGTTCTCATTGGTTTCAAAGAACATCTTTATTTCTGCCTTCATTTCGTTATGTACCCAGTAGTCATTCAGGAGCAGGTTGTTCAGTTTCCATGTAGTTGAGTGGCTTTGAGTGAGATTCTTAATCCTGAGTTCTAGTTTGATTGCACTGTGGTCTGAGAGATAGTTTGTTATAATTTCTGTTCTTTTACATTTGCTGAGGAGAGCTTTACTTCCAACTATGTGGTCAATTTTGGAATAGGTGTGGTGTGGTGCTGAAAAAAATGTATATTCTGTTGATTTGGGGTGGAGAGTTCTGCAGATGTCTATTAGGTCCACTTGGTGCAGAGCTGAGTTCAATTCCTGGGTATCCTTGTTGACTTTCTGTCTCGTTGATCTGTCTAATGTTGACAGTGGGGTGTTAAAGTCTCCCATTATTAATGTGTGGGAGTCTAAGTCTCTTTGTAGGTCACTCAGGACTTGCTTTATGAATCTGGGTGCTCCTGTATTGGGTGCATATATATTTAGGATAGTTAGCTCTTCTTGTTGAATTGATCCCTTTACCATTATGTAATGGCCTTCTTTGTCTCTTTTAATCTTTGTTGGTTTAAAGACTGTTTTATCAGAGACTAGGATTGCAACCCCTGCCTTTTTTTGTTTTCCATTTGCTTGGTAGATCTTCCTCCATCCTTTTATTTTGAGCCTATGTGTGTCTCTGCACGTGAGATGGGTTTCCTGAATACAGCACACTGATGGGTCTTGACTCTTTATCCAACTTGCCAGTCTGTGTCTTTTAATTGGAGAATTTAGTCCATTTACATTTAAAGTTAATATTGTTATGTGTGAATTTGATCCTGTCATTATGATATTAGCTGGCGATTTTGCTCGTTAGTTGATGCAGTTTCTTCCTAGTCTCGACGGTCTTTACATTTTGGCATGATTTTGCAGCAGCTGGTACCGGTTGTTCCTTTCCATGTTTAGCGCTTCCTTCAGGAGCTCTTTTAGGGCAGGCCTGGTGGTGACAAAATCTCTCAGCATTTGCTTGTCTGTAAAGGATTTTATTTCTCCTTCACTTATGAAGCTTAGTTTGGCTGGATATGAAATTCTGGGTTGAAAATTCTTTTCTTTAAGAATGTTGAATATTGGCCCCCACTCTCTTCTGGCTTGTAGGGTTTCTGCCGAGAGATTCGCTGTTAGTCTGATGGGCTTCCCTTTGAGGGTAACCCGACCTTTCTCTCTGGCTGCCCTTAACATTTTTTCCTTCATTTCAACTTTGGTGAATCTGACAATTATGTGTCTTGGAGTTGCTCTTCTCGGGGAGTATCTTTGTGGCGTTCTCTGTATTTCCTGAATCTGAACGTTGGCCTGCCTTGCTAGATTGGGGAAGTTCTCCTGGATAATATCCTGCAGAGTGTTTTCCAACTTGGTTCCATTCTCCCTGTCACTTTCAGGTACACCAATCAGACGTAGATTTGGTCTTTTCACATAGTCCCATATTTCTTGGAGGCTTTGCTCATTTCTTTTTATTCTTTTTTCTCTAAACTTCCCTTCTCGCTTCATTTCATTCATTTCATCTTCCATTGCTGATACCCTTTCTTCCAGTTGATCGCATCGGCTCCTGAGGCTTCTGCATTCTTCACGTAGTTCTTGAGCCTTGGTTTTCAGCTCCATCAGCTCCTTTAACCACTTCTCTGTATTGGTTATTCTAGTTATACATTCTTCTAAATTTTTTTCAAAGTTTTCAACTTCTTTGCCTTTGGTTTGAATGTCCTCCCGTAGCTCAGAGTAATTTGATCGTCTGAAGCCTTCTCTCAGCTCATCAAAGTCATTCTCCATCCAGCTTTGTTCTGTTGCTGGTGAGGAACTGCGTTCCTTTGGAGGAGGAGAGACGCTCTGCGTTTTAGAGTTTCCAGTTTTTCTGTTCTGTTTTTTCCCCATCTTTGTGGTTTTATCTACTTTTGGTCTTTGATGATGGTGATGTACAGATGGGTTTTCGGTGTGGATGTCCTTTCTGTTTGTTAGTTTTCCTCCTAACAGACAGGACCCTCAGCTGCAGGTCTGTTGGAATACCCTGCCGTGTGGGGTGTCAGTGTGCCCCTGCTGGGGAGTGCCTCCCAATTAGGCTGCTCGGGGGTCAGGGGTCAGGGACCCACTTGAGGAGGCAGTGTGCCAGTTCTCAGATCTCCAGCTGCGTGCTGGGAGAACCACTGCTTTCTTCAAAGCTGTCAGGCAGGGACATTTAAGTCTGCAGAGGTTACTGCTGTCTTTTTGTTTGTCTGTGCCCTGCCCCCAGAGGTGGAGCCTACAGTGGCAGGCAGGCCTCCTGGAGCTGTGGTGGGCTCCACCCAGTTCGAGCTTCCCGGCTGCTTTGTTTACCTAAGCAAGCCTGGGCAATGGTGGGCGCCCCTCCCCCAGCCTCGCTGCTGCCTTGCAGTTTGATCTCAGACTGCTGTGCTAGCAATCAGCGAGACTCCATGGGCGTAGGACCCTCCGAGCCAGGTGTGGGATATAGTCTCGTGGTGCGCCGTTTTTTAAGCCAGTCTGAAAAGCGCAATATTCGGGTGGGAGTGACCCGATTTTCCAGGTGCGTCTGTCACCCCTTTCTTTGACTCGGAAAGGGAACCCCCTGACCCCTTGCGCTTCCCAGGTAAGGCAATGCCTCGCCCTGCTTCGGCTCGCGCACGGTGCGCGCACCCACTGGCCTGCGCCCACTGTCTGGCACTCCCTAGTGAGATGAACCCGGTACCTCAGATGGAAATGCAGAAATCACCCGTCTTCTGCGTCGCTCACGCTGGGAGCTGTAGACCGGAGCTGTTCCTATTCGGCCATCTTGGCTCCTCCCCGAGAATCCTCCATTCTTATAAGTGGGAAACAGGCCTCTACCTTCCACTAAATAAGCCAGAATCTCGATTTTCTTATCTGTAAAATGATGATAATCATAATCGTCCCTGCCTTACAGTGTTATTGTGAGAACCAAGTCACCAAATTGATGAAAAGCTCTAAATCCCATCCTACAGTTACCCCCTAGTAGATGTTAACTGTTATGATGATCACTAACAATAGTGAGAACGAATGAGTGCTAGTTTATGCCAAGCACTGTGCTAAGCACTTCACTTGAAGTGTGGGCTTTAGTTCTTGCAGTAACCCCAAGAGGAGGTGCCGTTGTTGTTCTGTACTAGTGTGCAGATGAGGAGCTGGGTAAAAGCACCCCTAAGGGAGCAAAAATTGGCTCCTGGTTGGGGGGGGGTAAATGCAAGAAAATCACCCTTTTTATGGATAAAGCACAGAAAGACATATAGTCCATAAACGACTGTACAGTGGAGCTGCGCTATTAACATTTAATGAGCAGGGGGAGGTGGAAGGCAATAGGGGAAAAATGTCTGCAAAACCTCTTTAGAAAGGTGATGATGAAAACAGGGTTGAGAAATCGGAAATCAGATGGAAGGTTTGGGAAGCCAAATTGCAGGCAGATCCATCCCCAGCCCATACTGCGTGCAAGTAATCAAGGCTAGAACTTCTAAACTCGCATCCTTTCACCCAACCCCAAGATCAAGAACCGGCAGGGAGAACCAAACCTTCCCATGGTGACCTTGGAAGAAATGAGCCCAACATCTAGGAAATTACTTTGAACTTAGAAGAAAGGTTCCATGCAGACCCAGAGGGTGGTTGTTATTCTTGACACCAATGGTGCAGTCCCAGATTGTCCTGGGAATCAAGTCCCAAGCTTTTCTTTGGCCTGTGAAAGGACAGGGGAGCACAGGCCTGGGGGACAGAGCCTGTAGATGCCTACCCTGATCTCTGTGAGAAGCTGAGAGCCAGCTAATGGCACGGGTGAGTTTAGGTCTTGGTTAGCCCTCGGATGTCTGGGGAAAGGCTGACAGGGCTAAATCCTCCTGGAAACACTTCCCAAAGGACTGAAAGCTTTTCCATCCCTATCGCCTTAGCTGCTAACCTCTGGGCACTGAGCTTCTAATTGGAGGAAGGGGTACCGTGAGGGCTGGCAGGCTGCAGCCGTAAGATGGGAAACTCCACTGGAGCTGCAATGATGGTCGCAGAATGACTAATTCCTGCCACCCCACCCCCATGTATGTGAACAAAACCATTCAGCAAAAGTAAAAATCAACCAGGAACTTACTTACAGGCAACATTTTACAATATACTAAGTCATTTTATATCCATCATAGCCATGAGACATCATTGCCATCAATATTATTATAATTAGAAAAGTCAGGGAAGAGGGACAGCAGAACCTCAGCTCAAAACAGCTAGGGGTTTTTCTCCAGAGGGACCCGGTAGACTAGAGACTTTCAAACTGTTTTTGGTTGTGACTAAACTTGGAGATACATTTTACATTGTAAACAGGTACGTGCACATGTGTATATGTCAAACTAAATAAAAGTGTTCTGAAATAATACTTGTCCTTCATGTGAACCATGTGCTTCAATGTTTTCTATGATAGTTGAGGGTAGACTATTTTTAAGGTGCTCATGATCCCCTAAAACGATTTCATGGGTCACAAGTCATCATGGGTCACAAGTCTAGATTCAAACCACACTGTCAATGAATACCAGTTACTCCCTAAGACAGTGAGACCCAGGAGGAAAGAATCTGGATTCTGTGGTCAGAACTCTGTGGTCCAAGCTCCAAAATTAACAGTCACTGCTGTGGAGATTTCAGCCAAGTTCTTCACTTCTCTAATCCAGATGTTCCTCACTAGCCAGTTGGGAATAATGTGTGTAGGACCCAGCCCCAAAGACTGCTTTGAATGTGCAGTGAAATAATGCCTATGAGGCACTCATCACATGCTTGACATACAGAAAGCAGCCACTGCATTGTTATTGTCATCACTATTACTGTTGCTATTGTGGTTGTGTTGCCTTTAATGAATATAGAAGGTGGCACGTGCACCAAATTGTGGTCATTTGGGAACTCAAGGCTGGATAAAGCAGAGGTAGAAATAAAGCCCGGCCCAAAGAGAGAGGAAGATGTGTCCCAGTAAAAAGCAAGAACAAGGAAAGCATCCTAGATGAAGAGAGACATGATGAGGAGCCCCAGGGTGGATGAACGGAAGGGGTTGTTATCCCCACCACAAGGCTGTGTGTGTGTGTGTGTGTGTGTGTGTGTGTGTGTGTGTGTGTGTGTGTGAAAGAAAGAGAATGAGAGAGGAGAGAGAGCAGAGAGAGAGGTGGGTGTGTGGGAAATATTTGGCTTCAGAAATCCTCACATACAAAATATTTTTCTTTTGTTGCAGGAGTCCCAGGCCTGTTTGTTTGTAGATGGCAGCAAGTTGCAAAACAAATTCCAGAAGAGACTGCTATGGCCCAGGCAAACCTGGAAGCTTGTAATGCACTAATCGAAAATTATACACTTCATTTTCTGACTGCCAACTCCTGTCCAAAGATTATCTTAAATACAGTTCTGGGTGCACAGCTTGCCTGACTCCTGACTCACAGGCTGTGTTTAGTGAGCAGCCGAAATTGTTGGTGAACCTGCAAAAATAGCCAGTTCGACCTGCAAATCACTGCGTTCAGGCCAGAAGCTGCATGCCAGGCCCTCGCCTCTGCCCTCACCCCACAGGACAGATAGTCCAGGTGCTCCTAGGAGCCAGGCTGTCAGAGAGTGTGAGTGTGCATGCATGGGTGTGCATGTGTGAATGAATGTGTGTACATGTGCTCTCACATGCCCACGTGGAGAGCAGCAAAAACAAATGGCTCCCAGGAGCAGTGAAGGAGGAGGCTGTTTTTCACTGAGTGAGGTGGTTGCTGCTTGTACCTGAGACCCAGGACTGGAAAGGAAGAACCAAAAATCCCGATGATCATCGTCATCATAGTAATATAAAAAGGACCAGCATTTGTTGAGTAATTACTTGGAGCCAGGCACTGTGCTAAACTCTTTAATTGAAAAAACACATTTACTCTTCCCAACAACTGTATGAGACAGCTGTTACTATCACACCCACTTTACAGAAGAGGAATCTGGGGCTCAGAGAAGTGAAGCAGCCAGCCCAAGGTCAAGCGCCTGGTCAGTGGCCGAGCAAGGATTTGGACAATTTGACTGAAAGCATCGTCTTCAGGGAGGCAGCCGACAGATGCGTTTTCCATCTGGGAGAAGGTGGTTTTTCTGAACTGGGCTCAGAGCTGTTCCAGGTTCCATCCTGAGATGCAAAGAGGTTGCTGACACCTTCAGGCAGGTTCCAGTGGTGGGGCAGGCAAGGAGGAGAGCTAGCACAGCTTGCTTGAATGCTGTCCTTCCAATAAGCACAAAGAGGGCAATATCTGAGCTGGAATGGCTCTTTGGCTTCTCAGATAGGGACAAAATTGAGACCCAGGAAGGGAAAGTCACTTGCTCAGGGGCACACAGCAAGTAAGTGGCTAAGCCGAGATGAGAATCTACGTTGACAGACTCCCAGTCTAGAATGTTCCCAGCAACATAATAAACATGGATTAAGTATGTATCATCCACAAGAAACTGTGCTAAGTATGTGGTATTAGCTCAGTTATTTCTCACAACAATCTGTTATGTCCTATTATGATCCCTATTTTACAGAGGGGGAAGAGATGGCACAGAGAGGTTGAGCAACTTTCTCGAGATGGCACAGCCAGGAAATGCGCTATGTCCTTCATAGCCAAAGTAGGAGCTATTGTCCTACCCTGTTACCCTCCCATCTCATTTGTCCACAACTGCCTGTTCTCTCCCTACCCCTACCTGCTTCCTGAAGAAACCACATGGTTCTCTCCTGGCCTTGATCTCAAGGAGTTTGGTCTGGACTGGGTGTAGAAGGAAGCCCAGAAGACTCTAAACAGATGCAGTTGTCCCCATTCCTCATCAAGCTGTGTATGGCCGGCCACCCAGTGACCTCAAAGCCAATGTCAACCGGATCTGATAGGCTCAGCTACATGTGTAGCTGGGCGTAGCTCTGGGACTCATCTGTAAGACGTGACTAACAGCTTCACACCCTCCAAAGCATTCCATTTTGAATCAGGTGTCACCTGAGATGGAAAAGGCTTTTGTTTAATTTGGGTTATCTGGGTGGCAGTTGTATTTTTTTTTTAACTTCACTCTACCCTTTTTTATAGCTGTAGATAATCTTTCTTTCTGTAGACAGGCCGAGAAATGTAACCATATTTATGGGTCAGGCTTTGCACACAGTCATCATTCAGAGAGTGGAGACAGAGCAGTAACTCTCTGGGCAGGGATGGCACCCTTGTGGGCTCTATTTTTTCTCCCCAGAGCTCATGGAGTGGAGGGTGGGTGAAGGCGACACCTTCAAGAGGAGAATAGAAAATGAGATTTTAGCCCAGGTACAAGGAGAGCAAAAACAGAATGAGAAGGAGTGTGTGGAGGCTGAGGACAGACCTGGGAGAGGTGTTTAATGACGTCTCACCTGCCTCAGTGTTTGACCTGCCCAGTGCAGGAGACAGAAGCAAAAGGTTCCTTCAGGCCTCAGGCTCTGGAGACAGACACTTGAGCTAGAATCACGATGATTAACTTACTAGCCATGCTACTCTGAGCAAGTGACTTAGCTTCTCTAGCTCTCCATTTCCTCAGCTACAAAATGAAGATGTTAAAAACGCACCATGGGATTATTACAAAGATATGTAACTTGAGCATTGTGCCTGGTGCACCAGGAGTATTCAAAAATGTTAGGTGTTATTTGCATGCACGTGGATGAGATTCAGAACATCATGCTGAGTGAAAGAAGCCAGACACAAAGCAGGGCATTGGTTTCAAATTACAGAAGAGACAAAACTAGACTATGGTAAAAGAAATCACAACAGTGGTTATCACTGAGGTGGGAGATGGGGAGGCGTTGACTAGGAAGGGGTGCAAAGGATCTCCCTTGGGTGATGGTACTGTTCTGTCTCGATAGAGATGTGCATGCATTGAACTGCATGCTTAAGATCTGTAAATGTTACTATATATAAATTATACTCCCATAAAAAATTATCAGAGAAAAACAGAATTATTATTCTATTTATGCTTAACATTTTGTGTCCCAGTATAACGTCCTTTTTTTGTTTTAAATAAACAACAGGAAAAAAAATTTATTTCTCACAGTTCTAGAGGCTGAGAAGTCCAAGATCAAGGTACCAGCATTTGGCATCTGGTGAGGGCCTTCTTGCTGTGTACTCCAGAGGGAAGGAGTGCTATGTCCTTACATGGCAGAAGGCAGAAGGCAAGAGAGCCAGGCCTGCATGAAGCCTCTTTTAGAGGGGGCTTAATTTCATTCATGAGGAGATCATCATGACCTAATCACCTCTTAAGGGCTCTACTTCTTAATATCTTTACATTGGCAATTAAGTTTCAACACCTGAATTTTGGAGGGGACACATTCAAACCATAGTACACAGTGTGCTCAGAGAGTAGGGAACATGAAGGGAGAGGCTAGCAGGCCTGTGTTGTCCTGGAGGCAATGTGGCACTTTACAAGGTATGTGGATAAATAATGCTCAGAGTTGCATCTCAGAAAAGTAATGTAGGAGCACAGAGGATTGATTGGAAAGGGAAAGACTGGGGTATGTAACAGTCCAGGGAAAAGATGGTGATGGCCTGGACAGAGTGTTTTCCTTGCTTCCCATGCGGCTAACACAGCCCTCTTCTGATCACCTGGGCACATCCCTGGCACGTATCTAATCAAACTCACACTCACATAACCAGAACAGAGTGCAACTTGAATTCTCAGACTTCCTACACTGGACTTCCAGATCCTAAAAGGGAGACCTGAAGCATGCCCCATACTCACAAATGTGTTGTTGAATGAGCATGAACAAGTGAAGAGATAAGTGAATGCATGTCACGCACACATGCACAGGGAAGCACAGATAAGAGACGCATCCAAAGAGTAAGGTGACCTAGAGGTATGTTACAGACCAAGTCTGGGTCTATGCACAGACCTGCCTGATTCCAACAAGACCAATAGTGTCTAGCATTTAGTGGGAACCTACTCTACACATGTATACAAATTCCACTTAAATTCCCCCAGAGTAGGTGTATATTTTATTTCTGATAGAAAATTGGAGAGCATCTCCTAACCCCACATTTCACTGAGGCAGAAATCAGTCCAAGGCTCATATCTAATACATGAATAAATGAGCTCATTCATTCTTTGCTCACAAGTAACTGGGACTAGAGGAGCATGCCATCACACCTGGCTAATTAAAAAAAAATTTTTTTTTAGAGACAGGGTCTCACTATGCTGTCCAGGCTGGTCCCAAACTCCTGGCTTCAACTGATCCTCCTGTCTCAGTCTTTCCTTTTTAAAGGCAACCTCAATTAGTTTCAAAAATCCTCCTCTTATCTGTTTTGTTATTAAAGAAAATCCAATTTCTTAATGAGGAATCCTTCAGTGGTGGACACCAAGCTAGATTAAACATAAAGAGGGATGCATTGACTCTCTTAGCTGGAAAGTCCAGGGATAGTTTGGCTTCAGGAACAGCTGGATTCAGAGGCTCTCTTCGTCTCCCAACCTACTTTCCATCACATCGTCCTCATCCTCGGGGAGCTTTCCTGTGCGTGGTGGCCAGAGGGCTGTTGTGGCTCTGGACTTACCAACCAGCAGGTCAGCACAAGAGTGGGGGCCTCTTTGTGGGCCACTTCTGTAAAACCCTCGGGTTGATTGATGAGTCTTATTGGATGGGGAATGAGAGAAGGGTTTTCCAAAGAGCCATCAGTCAAAAATGGTGTAGTTTCAGGAGGCATTTTTATTGTTGTGACTGCTGATCTTGTTATCAAACCCTCCAACCAGTACAAGTAAATGAATAGACTGAATTGAATTGAGAACCAACCCAAGCAAAATTGAATAAATTTCAAACCATCAGTGGTCTTTTTAGGTGAGACAATACTTGAACTGTCCTAAGCTCCAAGCTAAGAATTAAAGGACATTGTTTCTTATTGGTGTCTCTGCTGCCTCGTTTCTCTGTCCTGATATCTCTTCTCCAGTCATGCACTACCTTCAGGTGTTTGGAGACCCTCATTTGGGGGCCAAAATAACATTGCAGTTTTGACACCAGGTAAGTTTTACTCTCTTTTCCTTCTAAGACAAGACACATATTACATACCCTAAGGATATTTTCACCCTTAAAAAGTCTCTCTAGGTTCAATACTGATTGTCTTCCCCCTACTCACTGAGTATAGTTGTTTTTACTCCTCCTGATGAGTGTGACAAGTGTGTGACCTTGGGATGTCATTAACTTCTCTAAAAAGGGGAAGACTTTATCTTTCCAGCATGCCTCATGGGATCATAAGATCCAGAGAAGCTAATGCAAGTGAAGATATTTTGAAAATCACAAGTCCTTGGAGTAAGAGTTACAAGAAGGAATTTCAAATGTACAGACAGAAAGACCCTCATCTTGACCCTTAGCCCCCTGCAGGCTGCCAAGGTGGGTTTTGTTGGCTATGGCCCTGAAGGAGAAACTTGCTGAAGGAGAAACTTGCTGTCCTTATAAGCCCCAACCCAAGACTGAGCAGAAAGATGTTCATTTAACTCTGTTGGGGCCAGGGTGGGGGGTGGGTTGTGGCCTTGAAAACCCTGCCACTCCCCATGCCCTCTGTCCAGCTCCTACAAGGTCCTTTAACATATCCAGGACAAAATTTAAACTGTATGTACCCTCTGACTCAGAAAATCTCCCTTACTAAAGTATTCATTTGTGCATTCTGAGACACATGTAAAAGAGGGCTCATTGTATCACATTTGTAATAAAAACACCACACAATGCATTTATTAAGCATTTATAATGAAGGAGAGTGTTAAATACATTAAGCATTTATTAAGAAGGAGAGTGTTAAATATATTAAGGTACGTCTGAATTATGAAATGCTTGGCAGTCCCCAAAAAAGAATGAAGCTTTGGTCTAAGCTCTGATATGGAGCAGGGCCATACAATGTTTATTTTGTTTCATGGAAAAAGTAGGTTTCATAAGAAATCCTTCATTTATTCATTCAACATCAATAAACATGATTGGCCATCTACTAATGCCAGGCCCTCTCCCAAGAATGCAACAGCGAATGACACAGACACAGTCCTTGTTCTCAAGGGGCCTATATTTGGTGTAAAAAACTCCTGGTGCCACATTCTCAGAAAATGGCTGCTTGCAGTGACTACCCCAGAATGAGATTCAAGGAAGGGCATAGAGGCACGGGGGAAGGAGGAGGGTGGCGTTTTCACTTCGTCCATTATACATTTCTATGCTGTTTGAATTATTTTTACAATGTGCATTTATCAGTTTGTAATTTTTGTAAAACCAATAGAGGAAACAAAATAAATGAATTGTGTGCACATGTGAGCACACACCATCCATAAACAGCCAGGCTGGGAGAAGACCAGGAGAGGGCAGGAGAGAATCCGCATGAGAGACCGATTCCCTGTGACCAGCAGCTGGAAGGGAATTGCTCCTGGAGGGAGCAAGTTGCTAAAGTGCTCCTTCCTCTGAGTGCTGGGACTCAGGCCCCTGGGGCCCTGCATACAGAGGAGGCAGAAACCAGCTCTCATGCCCTGTGCCCATTTTGCAATAGGAGGTAGGTTCTGCCCAAATCTGAGAGGGAAACCCTCACCTGGACTCCATCATCTTGTCCTGGCCCCATCCCTGCTTCTTCCAGGCACAGGACAACCTGTGCCCCTTGCAAAACACAGAGGTCAAGGGCTAGCAATACAGCTCATGGGCCATGGAACCCCAGGCAACTCCCTTCACCTCTCTGGGCCTCAGCATTCTCATCTATAAAATGAAGAGGCTGATGATGATAGTTGTGGTGAGGATTCAGTGAGTTAAAACATGGCAAGTCCTTAGAGGAGTGCCCAGCACACAGCAAGAGTTCAAGAAGTGTTTGGCATCCTCAGAGCTGTTGTTGTTAGTATTGCCTCCCACCAGAACTATCCTCCAACGCCATAAACAGAACAAGGTTTCTAGCTGTTTCCGCTGGGCCCCAGTGGCTTTGGGATATCATTCTCATCCAGTAAATCGGCCCTCTGCATTGGGCATCTCAGATCCAGAGGGCCTTGAAGATCCCACAGTCCAATCTCCCACTTTACAGATGCAACCACTGAGGCCCAGGGAGACCAAACTTGAGCTCCTGAAGCTCACTGCGAATATAGTGGGGAAGGTGTATGTGGGTGGATTCATCCCTCTGCCTCTGTGTTGAAAGGGGTGTTGGTAGAAAGAGAAGCTCTGAGCAAGTACTTAGTTTGATTTCTGCACCAAAGCAATCTTGCTGGGACAGGTGGATTCTAAACACCATATCCTGTAGTGTAATAACAATGCTATTAAAATTTTCCTGTGATTTAGTAATATTGTCCTGTGAATATGCTTAAATGCAAATTTCTTGCTGTTACATGAATTTACATGTATTTTATGCACTTTTAAAAACTTTTTATTTTGAAATAATTTCAGACTTAATGAGTTACAAAGATAGCAGAGTTTCTACCTACCCTTCATCCAACCTCCCCTAACATTAACGTCTTGCGTAACCACAGTACAAAGATCAAAACTAAGAAATCAACATTGATGCAATATTGGTAACTAAATTACGGACTTTTTTTTGGATTTTCTTTTCCTCTTCCAGGATCCAGTGTAGGATACCATGTGGCACGCAGTCCTTGTGGCTCCTTAATCTCTAATGTGCACTTCACATAGGCCAACCTTTTAGGACACAGGGCAAGGCAGAAAAAAAAAACGAGTCAGTCCGCAGGGGTAAATGGATATAGCCTGGCTTACCGCCCAACCTAAACTGTGTGCACTACCCTCCCAAGCCTGTCATTTTGCCATTTCTCCTCCGCCACATCATACATTTACCATAATCAGATACGGTCTTGTTTATTTATTGCTTGTTTATTGTTTACCTTCCCCCAGTATAATGGGATTTCCATGGCAAAGGGACCTGGACCATCCCATCCACTACTGTATTCATAGTCCCTGTTCACATAGTACACATAGTAGCTATTCAATAAATATTTATACATGAATAAATAAATGAATCAATCAATATTTAGAGGCCAAACCCCGTGTTGAGAAAAAACCCACAGCAGTTTTTTCTCCCTTCAGAATGCTTCTGTGGCTGGGATAATTTGTGCCATTCTAGAGTGAGAATTTCTCATGTCAGCCTCCCGCCAGCACCTCTGGTTCACCTGGCACCGCTCCTCCTCATACTCCCCATCAGCCTGGCTGAGCTGACTCCTGGAACTGCAGTGGGATTCACCTGTTGGTGCTTCTGCCATCTTTCTCAAGCTCCCATCTTCAATATCCAGCCCCGCCTGCTGCCCCTGGTGCCTCTCTGGTGTCAGCCGCCCTTCCTACCCTTGTCATTCCTCTCTGCAGGCAGGTGCACCTTGACTCCCAGGGCTCACCTATTTCTCTAGACTTATACTGTCCAACGTAGTAGCCACTGGCTAAATGTGGCTGCTAAGCACTTGCACTGTGGCCAGTCGAATTGAGATGTGCTGTGAGTGCAAAGTACACACCTGATTTCAAAGAGTTAGTAGGAAAAAGGAATATAAAAATCTTGATCACTTGATTATCATTTTAGTATTAAAATGATAACATTTGGGATGTATTGGGTTAAACAAAATATATCATTAAAATTAATTTCACCTGTTTGTTTTTACTTTTTAAAGATAGCTACTCGAAAACTTAAAATCACATATGTGACTCACATTATATTTCTATTGGACAGCTCTGCTGCAGACAGAATGTCTCCACAACCATCCATTTCATTTGCTATAAAAGCCACAGAACTGGCACTGAGCCTGGCATGTAGTAGATGCTCAATAAATACCTGTTGAATAAAGGAGCATTTCCTACTGAGAGTCTTTTCCCCAGGAAGATCGTGAGTTCTTGGAGAACAAGATAGAGACCCTTCTGTCTCTTCCACAGGCTAAGCATAGAGTGAAAGTTGTGTAGGGTACACTTTTGCTGAATGAAGGTGATTTGGGAGGTTGAAGCGTCACTGAGGCTCCAGAAATAAAACCTAGCAGGGCCTGATGTGGGATACAGGTAGGGAAGTCAAAGTGCCAGATTGGAAAATAAATGGTGCTACTTTTCTAATACAAATAACCTGCTCAAGAGTCTTTAGAAGAAGACAGGACTCTTAAAGAAGAAACACAGGACCCTGGCAACCTGTTTTGCTCAGCTAAGAAGGTTGCTACATGCCAGTTTTCTTGACAGGAAGATGCTAGGATCTGCTGGCTCTGCACATTTTTACCTGACCATGGGGGAGAATATGTAACCTTTTCTGCTACAGGAGGCTGTGAAAGGAAGAGATATCTGCCTCTCCCCAGAGGCAATGCTTGAGCCAGACACTGTCATGAGCACTTGAAGACTGTTCTTTCATAAATCGCTTTATGCCTCTGTGGGGTAGGTTATCATCAACTCTGTTTTACTGATGAGAAAAAGGAAGCTCAGAGAGGTGAAGTAACTTAGCTGAAGTTTCAGAGGGATGGTAGCAGAGTCAGCACCAGAACCATGTTCTTGACACTTTATCCAGTGCTCAGTCAATTGTATCACACTGCCTGCATATCTAAAATGAAGGATGGGGAAAGGGAGGCAGAGAGGGAGAGGGCGGAGATGGGTGGAGAGGGAGGGTTAGGCAGAGAGAGAAAGGAAGAGAGCTCTGGGGTCTGTAATTAGTTCGTTCGTTTAGGTCTTTGATGATAGAATTTTTCAAAGCAGTGTAGGTGGACTCTCTTTCTGAGCATAGTTGTGTGATGGAAGTCCAGTTATAGAATTCTAAAATCAACACCCATAGCTGCCTCTGTCTCTATCCAATCACTGGCTGAGTCCCCGAGGACAGTATTTCCCAGTTCCATGTGTGCCTCCTCCCTCTGTAAGATGGAGAATTGAGATGCTGGGAACCTTCATGTCACCCAGTACACATAAAACAACTCCACCACTAGCTGTTTGACCTTGGGCAGGGCACTGTATCAGTCAGTTATAGCTGTGTAACAAATTGCCCCTAAATATATGCCCACTCACATATGTGCACATTGCTAGAGTGCTCCCACTTCACTGGTCTCAGCCCAGGCCCCAGACTGAAGGGTCATTGGCCACCCAGGGCATATTCTTCTCATGTTATGGCCAGAGTGCAAGTGGGTAATACCCACCACTCAAACATACCTCAAGAATCCACTATCATTGGCCAAAGCAAGACATGGCCCAGCCCAAAGTCAAGGAGTGGGGAAGTTTATTCCTCCCATAAAGATTGATTGAATAATGTAGGTGAGAGGAAACATTTTTCAAGAATAATCTAATGTGCCATGTTCATTCACTGATCTGGGCCTCAATGACTGTTGGTTTCAATGACTATTTGGTCAAGGAGTGGAAACACATACCATGCTTAAAAGACAATACTGGGTATGTTCTTGATTTTTGAAGTAAGGATATAGCAGATATCTATTACATCCTAGTTCATTATTTCCTTGATTTGAGTATTCCAAAAGTCAAACTGTATCTCTAAATGGAACAACTACATTTGATCTGATGCAATCAGCCCATGTATAAATCCCATTTCTCATTACCAAGCTGGCAGTATTTCCATTGCATGACTATAGAAATGTACCTATAGCAGTGAGAGCAGGTTTTTTCCAATTGTAGTTTTCTCCCTGCATGAATTATTAATGACAAAGGGTCTCCTTATAAATCTACTCACTTTTCTGTGGCCTTCCCAAATTTCAGAGCTTGCTACTTTTCTAATTTGCCCTTAAATGCAGCAAACCCTCTTTCCTAAGAGGGTTGCAAGAAGGATTGTTGCATTTAAGGGCAATTTAGTTGGGTGTGTTTATCAACAAAGTAATTATAACTATTTAGGCACCAGTTATGCACAAGGCACTGTGGCAGGAAAGTGAAAACAGACTGAAGGGTGAGAGACAGCTTATATTCAAATGCTGCTTACAGTCTGGTTGGAAAGTTGAGATACTCACTCACATTGACATAGACTAGCCATTTCACTGAAAATATCACCTTAAATTTCACAGCTGAGACTATGGCATAGCATGTTTTTGAGCATGTTTCTCAAACCTGACCTCTATAGCTTGGTTCTCAGGGGCAAATTTGAAATGTCAGTTTTCTGAAATGATAGCTCTCAGATCTCTGATCAACAATATGTAGGCTGCTCTAGCACTCCTTTCAGCTGAATTTCTCATCTCGTAAAGGATATTTTTTAATCAGTTTATGGGGGAAGGCTAATTTTGTTTGATAAAAGAAAAATGGAGGCACTCGATGATACACATTCATCTTGCTTTCAGTTCATGTTTCATGACGGATTTCCATCGCATCTGACGCTCTCACATTAACAAATCTTCGGATACATCATTTTGGAGTTAAGACAATAATTTGCCTGCAAATTTGACAAAAAATTTGGTAATGCTGAAGATCCATCATACAGATATAATTTGCTACTCTTGTGATCATTTTCAGTAAAATGATCCAATTAGATGCCACATAGCCTGTCATTAGGTTCTCTCCCTCAGCCAGCTGAAAAGGGAAAATAGAGTCATGTTATCAGTAAATAGCTAAAAGTTTGCTTTGTGCAACTTGAAGTCTGATTCTGACAATGTATTCCAGGGACATCAAGCTCCAAACCCTATTTACTCAACAAATACATGTTAAGCACGAGCACTCTGCAAGACACTGTGCTAGGTATGAAGAGGAGGAGGATCTACACCAAAAGTGTAAGACTTTTGGATCCAGACTCATGTTGACACAAATGACTAAGGTGAGTACAGGAAAGCTGGGCAAATGGGAGGCTGCGTGCCCCGCCTACTCAAGTCCAGTCACCTGTTACCTGGTGCAAAAGCATGAATGACGGGTGGAGCCAGATCATCTGAACTTTTACAAGAAGTCAGAAACCTGGGCATTTGGTGAAATCTTATTATTTGAAGCACCTGTCTATTGGCCTATGGGCTGCTAATTTAGACCTCTACACAGTAGGATTCTGGCCTTCAAGACACTTCTGGTCTAGCAGAGAAGGCAACAGTGGACACTGGCCACTTTGACACAAGGCAGAGTAAGATTAGTGCTGTGATAGACACAGCCCCAAAACAAAGAAGCAATATGGAAAGAGAGACTTCAATGCTAAGTCTCAGCAAGGGCCTTCTCACATGAGACACCTCTAGGCCCCGTGCACTATTTCCTTCGAAGACCCCACCCCAAGACATAGTAATCATATTAAAATACATCCAGTGCCCAAATTAACTAAATGTTTTGTTCTCAAAAACATTTTTATGATTTTGTTTTTTAAATATTGTTATTTGGATTCTGCAATTTTCGTATTTTGGAGTTGATTATTCCTACCTCCTTCACTGCAGGTCCCAAACATTGGCACAGGCTCCTGAAAATCCTATGAGGCCTAATTGCCTTGATAAATGACAATGTTTCCCCCAGCAGAGGGGAAGCTGAAGGGTTTTACAGAAAGAATAAACAGGAGAGAAGGTTCAGGATCAGTCTGGAAAGGATGAAGCCTTCAGCTCTTGACAAAGGCAGGTCAGAGAGGGGTCTGGAAAGATAGGTAGTAAACAAATTTTGGAAACTAGATGTGGATTTTAGAGTCTTCTCCAGGCCATGAGGAGCCACTGATAGTTTCTGAGAGAAGCCCGACCTGTCTAGAATATTGTTAGATGGGACTTGTCTGGAAAAACTTCAAGGAGGTAAATCTAAAACTTGGCTTTGACAAACAAAACTCAGGGCTGAGCTTGGTGTAGAACTCACATACTGTCTGCATTGACTCTACTCTTCTTTCTCTTGATTTTTTTTCTGGCCACTTTTCTTTTCAAGACTCCTTTCCCTGCCTCCAAGATCCCCAGAACCACATTCTACCCCTGCTGCCTGGTCTTCAGCAGTCCTGGTGCTGGTGTGGCTCTCTCTGGCCTTCTTAGTCCACTTTTCATTCATTATTAAATGTGCTTTCTCCCAAACACACTTCCGTATGGTTCACAATATAACTTCTCTTTCTACCATAGAAAGGAATTACTTTATAGAACTGTAATGCTGAAAAAGACATTACAGGCCAACCACCCTTTATTTCCCTTAAGTTTACAGGAAAGGAAATTGGCTTAGAGAGGTAAAATGACTTGCCTAAGGTCACCAGAATCAGAGCCAGAGTTGAAACAAGAATCCGTGTCATCTGATTCAAACAATTCTGCTTCTCTGCACCAGGCCACATCCTGTGGGCATAACCTGAAAGTTAAATGGACAACTATGCAAAGGTATGACCATTCAGACACTAAAAAGAGACACAACTATTCTCTGAATTAAGATTGGTGTCCTTGGCAAAAAGAAAAAAAAATTACATCCCATGTTTATAAATTCCAAGAATAAATATTATGAAAATAATTATACTACCAAACGCAATCTACAGATTCAATGCAATCCCTATCAAAATACTAACGATATTCTTTACAGAAATAGCAAACACTATTCTAAAATTCATACGGAAACAGAAAAGATCCCAAATAGCCAAAGCAATCCTGAGCAAAAAGAACAAAGCTGGAGGCATCACATTACCTGACTTCAAAATTCACCCCAAAGCTATGGTAACCAAAACAGTGTGATATTGGTATAAAAACAGACACATAGACCAATGGAGCAGAATAGAGAACCCAGAAATAAATCCATGTATTTACAGCCAATTGATTTTCAACAAAGGTGCTAAGAACATCCACTGGGGAAAGGGCAGTCTTTTCAATAAATGATACCAGGAAAACTGGACATCTAGATGCAGAATAATGAAACTAGACTCCTTTCTCTCACTATATACAAAAAGCAAATCAAAATGGACTAAACTTAAATGTAAGACTTGAAACTATGAACTAACTAGAAGAAAACACAGAGAAAATGTTCTAGGACATTGGTCTGGGCAAAGGTCTTATGAAAAAGACCTCAAGAGCACAGGCAACAAAAGAAAAAATAGATGAGTGGGATTACATTAAACTAAAAAAGCTTCTTCACAGCAAAGGAAACAATCAACAGTGTGAAGGGACAACAGTAGAATGGGAGATGATATTCACAAATGATTCATCTGACAAGGGATTAAAATCCAGAACTCAAACAACTCAATAGAAAAAACAAATAATCTGATTTAAAAATGGGCAAATGAGCTGAATAGACTTCTATCAATAGAAGACATACAAATGGCCAACAGATGTGTTAAAAAATGCTCAACATCACTAATAGTCAGGTAAATGCAAACCAAAACCACTATGAGACATCATCTCACCCCAATTAGAATGGCCATTCTCAAAAACACAAACAAATAACAAATGCTGCTGAGGATACAGACAAAAAGGAACTCTTACACGGTGTTGGTGGGAATGTAAATTAGTTAGCACAGCTATTATGGAAATGGTATGCAGGGTCCTCACACACTAAAAATAGAACTATTATATGATCCAGCAGTCCTATTTCTAGGTGTATATCCAAAGGAAAGGAAATCAGTACGTCAAGGAGTTCTCTGCACTCCCATGTTTGTTACAGCACTGCTGACAGTGGCCAAGATATAGAATCGACCTAAGTGCCCATCAACAGGTGAATGAATAATGTGGTATATATACACAATGGAATACTATTCAGCCATAAAAATAATGAAATCCTGTCATTCATGGCAACACAGGTGAACCTTTATTCACGATGTTAAGTGAAACAAACCAGGAAAGACAAATGCTGCATATTCTCACTCCTTTGCGGAAGCCAAAAAAGTTGATCTCGTAAAAGTAGAGAGTAGAATACTGGTTACCAGAGGTTGGGAAGTGGCAGAGGTGTAGCTAAACATTGGTTAACAGATACAAAATTACAGCTAGATAGGAGAAAAAGTTCTAGTGTTCTATAGCGTTGTCGTGTGACTATAGTTAACAACAGTTTATTGTTTTCTTTCAAATAACTACAAGAGCAGATTCTGAATGTTCCAAACACAAAAAAGATTAATATTTGAAGTGACAGAGATACTAATTACCTTGATTTGATCATTACATATTGTATACATGTATTGAAATGTCATACTCTACCCCATAAATATATACAATTATTATGTATCAGTTAAAAAATAATAATAAAAGAGGGAAAAGATTGCTGTCCTTCAACCTAAAAATACTTCTGGGCATGGGACCCCATGGTTTGTGGACAGACCAGGTTGTCCTGGTGCCAATTAGACATCCATGGAATACACAGTGTGTGATTTACTTTCCCTTTTCAACTAAGAGTGAATGAAATAAAATTTGGGGCTGGTGAGCCACCCTTTTTGTAATCCTCTGAGAGAAAATGTGAGAAAACGTCTGGCCTGGAAATAACCATTTTTAAAGCCCTTTTTAAAAGCCCACTCTTGGAAAAATAGTGATGTCAACCAGCCACTTCCTAGCCTTCTATGCTTTTTCCCACCATTTTAATGAAGAGGGCTTCCCAGACATCATGAATTTTGCATGAAATCCTCATTTCTCTTTAAAGAGATTTAGTGCCAAAACCTTCTGTGACAACCAAAACCCATGTTTGAGTTATATTGTTAATGTCAATATAACTCACAGTGATGTGTTGTGTTGTGGAGACAGTGGGCAAAATAGCCATAAATTCCATCCTAAGTGTACCATCTCCCCAACGTTTCTGGCATTGTCTGCTGGACTGTCATGACATCTCTTCCTACAGACCCCCAGGAAGGGCAACATCACTTCCTGGCTCCGAAGCCTCAACCTGATGCTTTAATAATAGATCCTGATTGTCCTATCAAAACTACAATCCCTTCGACATTCATTTAATCTCTTCCTTTTGAGGTCATTTCCTAAAACATGAAAATCACTGCTCAGTTTTGTCCTTTTCCTTCCTATTTTTGAAGATGTCATTGTTTCTGCTGAGACCAGCACCAAGGGCGCTAGATGATAAAGGCAGCTTGCAGGGAAGGTTTCCTTGGGCACAGGGCCCTAGATTCTCACCCTGAATTGGATTTCAGGTAGTCCCACTCGGAGAAGTTGTTAGCTCACTTCCCGGCTGCCTCTTCATTTCTTTGCAATGCCAACAAACCTACTGCAAACACAATGAAAATTCTTCCCTCGTTTGAATCTGTGCTTACAATCTCTAATTAAGTAATAACTTTCATAGCACTCTGCTTCTCCAAGCCTGAACGGTATTTCCATTACCTCCTCTACTGAAGTCAAAATTACAGACCTGTCATTTTTGGATTTTTCTAAAAAACGCAAGCATTAAATTATACCTACATTCACCCATTAGTAATTTCTCTTCGTGGTGGGTGTTTAAATCTATTATAATGACTCTACTATCTCTTCAACTTTCTATCCCTCTCAGAATATTGATGAATTCTACCTCATTCTGGACTGCCTGTCTAATTTTGTCTTTTAATTTCTTGATGAAACATGAATTTGATTTTATAAAGTTCTTTTTTCTTTCTCTTTGGGAAAGGAAAAGAGAAACATCTTTCTGATGTGGAGTTACTATTCCTCTTTAAGGGTGAAAAACTGATAGAAGAGGAATTACCTTTTAGGTTTCAAATTGTCTTTGAGCAGAAGTGACTCTTCAGTCGCAGACAGATTGGGTCCCTTGTTCTGGGGTGTGTAATCATTTTTTGCCACTCACTCACACTTTGATGAAAATACAAGTTTTGTGTGCTTTATATGTATTGATTCTTTTAATCCTCATAGCATCCTTACAAGGTAGTGTATTAGGCAGTTCTTGCATTGCTATAAAGATATACCTGAGCCTGAGTAATTTGTAAAGAAAAGAGGTTTAATTGGCTCGTGATTCCGCGGCTTTACAAGAAGCATGGTGCTGGCATCTGCTCAGCTTCTGGGGGGGCTTCAGGAAAGTTACAATCATGGCAGAAGGTGAAGGGGGAGCAGGCATGTCACATGGCCAAGCAGGAGCAAGAAAGAGAGTGGGGAGAGGTGCCACACACTTTCTTTTCTTTTTTTTTTTTAGATGGAGTCTCAGTCTGTTGTCCAGGCTAGAGTGCGATGGCACCATCCCGGCTCACTGCAACCTCTGCATCCTGGGTTCAAATGATTCTCCTCCCTCCTGCCTCAGCCTCCCGGGTAGCTGAGATTACAGGTGCCCACCACCATGCCCAGCTAATTTTTATATTTTTAGTAGAGACGGGGTTTCACCATGTTGGCCAGGCTGGCCTCAAACTCCTGATCTCAGGTGATCCACCTGCCTCGGCCTCCCAAAGTACTGGGATTACAGGTGTGAGCTACCGTGCCCGGCCTTTTTTTTTTTTTAGACAGAGTCTCACACTGTCACCCAGGCTGGAGTCCAGTGGTGTGATCTCTGCTCACTGAAAACTCCACCTCCTGGATTCAAACAATTCTCCTGTCTCAGCCTCCCGAGTAGCTTGGATTGTAGGTGTGCGCCACCACATCCAGCCATGCCACACACTTTCAAACCACCAGATCACGTGTGAATTCAGAGCTAAAGCTCACTTATTACTGAGGGATGGCCCAAGCCTTTCATGAGGACTCTGGCCCCATAATCCAAACACCTCCCACAAGGCTCCACCTCCAATATTGAGGATTACATTTCAACATGCGATTTGGGTGGAGACAAATATCCGAACTATATCAGATAGGTTCTATTATTGTTCCCACTTTATAGATGAGGACACTGAGACAGAGAGGCTAATGAACCTTCTGAAGATTGCACAGTGAGCCAGTGTCAGATGCAGATTGAACCCAAGTTGTAGTTTGGCTCCAAAGTCCACATCTGTCAAGCTTTTTTGAGTCACAAGTAACAGAAGCTCAACTCAAAATAGGCAGAAAGGAGGATTTGTTTCCAAACCTTGAAAAGAACGGGAAGTCTCTCTGAAACTATTGAAGCTGGAAACTTGAGTGACCTCGGGACTTTATCTGTGATCTCTTTGTGTCCCCCAGAACCCTGAGGCTGGCTTCTTCCTGAAGGCTGAAGTCAGGGTCACCAATTACTCTTTAGCTGACCCTCCCAGCCTTACATTGAAAATGAGGCTCTTGCTCCCAAGCTCCAATTAACAAAGAAATAGAAAAAGAAAGAGAAAAACAGGAAAGAACAGGTTGCATGCCCAGGGGCTGGATCAACCACTATGGCCAGGAGGATGAAGTATTAGGATTGGTTCAGCCTGGGTTAATTGCCTGTCCTTAAATAAGTTATTGTGGAGGAGATAAAGTAGCCTCCAGCAAATCACATTTTAAAGTCATGAAATTTAAATAATAATAATAATAATAATAATAATTATTATTATTATTATTATTCCCTAAAAGATGGAGGATGGCACAGCTTTGCCACTGGAGTAATTACTGCAAGCTGAACAGCCACCCTGAAGAAATAGAAAACTCAGAGAAAAACAAAGGGTAAGATAATGACTGTTCCTGAAGCAAATGAACAGGTGCACAGATTCGGCGACACCAGACCTTCAGGTCAACTGTCAGCCAGTGCTGAGGACTGGGATCCCCCTGCAGGTGGGACAGCGACAGTCCACTTTGCCAAAGTTCCCATACGGCCTGCTTTGCTCATTTATGTCACCTGCCTGGCCCCCACAGGCATCTGAGTTTGAGACCTGTGGCTTAGTGTGTTGCCAAATAGCACAGTCAATCATTGGGAAGACCAACTAGAGCGTCCGTTTCCTCCTTCACATTTGGCCAACAGCCAGTGAATGCTTCGAAGACAAAATAGCCAAGACAAAGGATCCAGTCATTAAAAACAGAGTTTTCTTGACAGAATGGCTTATGGCATTTGACAGAATTTTTCAAGGCGCAGAAAAACACATTTGACAGCATGTGTTTTAAGCAGAGATGCGTATATGACACGTAAAAAGTCAATCACTGCCAGCCTTTATGTGGGGAGAGATCGGGAAGGGAGCGAGAGGGGCTTCATTTCTTCCTCCTTCCTTCTTTCCACCCAGAGCCTCAGTCTGCCCTCTGTAGATGGTTGTATGAAATAGGCAAACCCATTTCTCTCCTGTGCCCATTAATTTCCAGACGTTCCCTTTGTGCTAGTGCCCAGCGGCTCCTGGAAAGCCTCAGGCTCCACAAACTCCAAGCTTTTCCCACTGTGGCCTGAGAGATTCTTTCCTGCATAAGGCAGGAGATGATTTTTGGCAAGAGGCCTGCTGAAAGCTTTCTAGAACTCAAAGAAAAGATTGTGTTTGTAAAGTAGCCTCTGGAAAATCATGAAGTCATGAAATAAGAAAAACCCAACAATTTCCTAAAAAATAGGGGATGGCACAGCTTTGCCACTGGAGTAATTACTGCAAGCTGAATAGCAACCCTGAAGAAATAGAAAACTCAGAAAAATAAAGGGCAAGATAATGATTGTTCCTGAGGCAAATGAATAGGTGCACAGATTTGGTGACACCAGACCTGCAGGTGAACAGTCAGCTAGGTGAGGACTGGGTCTCCCTGTAGGTGGGATGGGGACCGTCTGTTGGGACAGGGGGGGTGGTGGTGCAAACACAGGATGAGAGTTTTAAATTACACAGTCAGTCTTTATTTTTCTCCACATCTGAAGCTGCCAAAATATAAACAGCCACTGTAAAGAGGAGAGGGCAGTGACCCTGAGCTGGGAAGTGGAAGGCGAGGAAGCAGGAGGTGGTCACTGAGGAAAAGACATCATGCCAGTCAAGCAAAAATGGCTCTCTCCATTCCCATTTCACTGAGTGCCCATGAGAAGATGAGTCTCTTGCCTCTTTTTATGGGATTATTGGTTCCATTATGGTATTTGAGGTGGAGAGCAGACTTGGCTGCCAGTGACTGTCTGTTTCCTTCAGCTGTCCCTTTCAGAATAACAACCCATATTTATGCAGTGAATTCAGTTTTCCTGACCGTTTTTGCTGCCCTTCTGGGCATCATTGTTCTCCCTATGCCTTGTGTAATCATCCCACTACAATTCTAAATGATTTCAGTGTTTATTTGTATGTTTTCCCCTCATTTTGTTGAGAAAGAAGAAAACAGTTTGTTGCTCCCTTGTTGCACCCCTACAAAATCTTAGCTTCAGCTTGTATTAGACTAAGATCATCTTGCTCAACTCCTCATTGTGCTGATTTTCTAAAGGCAAAAAGTATTGCCTATATCAAATCCAGCTATTGGCCAAAGGTAAGTGAGAATGAGTTTCAACTTTCTTTTTTTAAAAAAATTTATATAACTTGTGCTCAAGGTAATCCTTAATCTAACAGCAATTGTCTCTCACACCAGATTAATTCATCCATTCATCCACTATCCATCCATTGACCCACCATAAATCCATCCATCCATCTATCCATTAATTCCACCATCCATCTATTCATCATCCATCCATTCATCCATTAATCCATCATCCATCCACCCATTCACCATCAATCCATTCACCATCCATCCATCAATTCATCCATCCTTCTATCCACTGATTCCACCATCCATCCATTGATCCACCATTCATCCATTGATCCACCATCCAGCCATCCATTCACCACCCATCCATCCATCTATCCATTGATTCCACCATCTTTCCATTGATCCCCCATCCATCCATCCATCCACCATCCATCCAACCACCCATTCACCATCCATCCATCCACCCATTCACCATCCATCCATCCAGCCATCCATTCACCATCCATCATCCATCCATCCATTCATCATCCATCCATCCATTCATCATCCATCCATCCATCCATCCATTCACCATCCATCCATCTATTCATCACCCACCCATCATCCATTCATTGATATACGTCCATCCATTCACCATCCATCATCCATCCATTGATCCACCATACACCCATTTATCCACCATCCATTCATTCACCATTCAATCATTCATCATCCATTTACCATCCATCCATCCAACATCCATTGATCCACCATACATCCATTTATCCACCATCCATTCATTCACCATTCAATCATTTATCATCCATTTACCATCCATCCATCCATCCATCCAACAACCAAACATCATCCATCCATCCATCCATACATTTCATGCATTCGGCATTTTGTTGAGTGACTGCTGTGTGCCACTCATGAACAGAATCTTTGCTTTTTTCAACTGCAAGTAATATTTATTCAGGTAAAAATATCAGATCAAAACACCGTCTCTTTGACATTTACATTCATCCCAGTGACAATATGGGATCAGCTGCATCACAAAACATAGCTACTCTGCCGAAATCAGTTTTTAAAACAACCAAAGAAGCAATTTGACTAGGCAATCATTAAGTGTATAACTGGGCTTAATTAGATTTTTCTGCAGAGTATTATGCTGAAATCTTTAAAAGTAATTTTTACTTGTGGAGGTAAAGTATGACTATGTGTCTTTTAAAAAGAAGAACAAAAGGAAGGAAAAGAGAGAGAGATAGAGGATAGAGGTGAGAACATCACAAATGTCTCTTTGCTAAGATCCTTTTTCTCCCTAGGCCTAACCATGTTCCCGTCCTTTTGCCTAAGGCCACCATTGTTATGCGGCAGGATATAAAGACCTTTTTATATGCATTTATATGCTTATTTACAGTGTAATTTATATTAAAATACACACAAAATAATGCCCCATATTTCTCCATGGGTAATTATATATACATGCATTCCCTGATATTTTTCTGGCAAGCAATTTCAGAAGTTTCCCATGGTTTTAGTAGGAATGGACAGAGAATGTGGATCATTTGTTCCCTGCTTTACAGCTTAAATCTAAAGTCCCTGGTTAAACATCAGTGCTTTGGTGGCAGCAATGTCTGGGCTTGGGGCAGAATGATGGCATAAATTTTTAGAAATGTATTTTTTCCAGATCAATTAAAATTTAAAACCGCCCGCTTTTATAGAGGGTACCACATTATCAATTTTCTCCAGTGTTTTTTCTTAGTAAGGGCTGGGAATTAGGAAAAGCAGTGTATTACCACTCTGACTTTCACAGACCTAGCCTTTTCCCAAAACCCACTTGCTCTTCGTTCACTCTCCCTGAATTAAGAGTAGAGAAATTGCCACCTGGGGAAAAATATCTTGAAGAAGCAAGAGTCTTAAAGCATGGGGCTGTCACTATATCAAGCCCAAACTGGAGGTGGTCGTGGCATAAAAACAGGGCCTTAAGTCACAATGTTAGGCTTGCTGTCACTCTAACAGGAAACTTTCTGTGCAGCTGCTCCGCCGCATCATTAATTCATTGCCTGTTTCCTTTATGCTGCACTCTGGCAGCACCGATCATAATACATTCATTTGCTTTTAACACAGAGATTTCATTCTTACCCCTTCTGCCCCAACTTTATCCCCAGCTCTGCTCCCCAGCATAGATCAGTGAACCCCAAATGTCATACTGTAACAATGACACCACCATCCATTAGTAGACGGAGGAACTCCCAAATTGGAAATGTTTAAACTTAAAAAATATGTGTCTGAGTTATAAGTCAGCAGGATTTCTAGATATATTCAAATAGTCTACGTAAACATGAATAATTATGCATGTTACCTAAGAATCCATGTTAAATTATTCATTCATATAGCAGATTTTCCAATTAACCCAGAGTTCTCTTCTATTGGATGAATGCTTTTTTTGAGAGTAATGATTATATTTTTAATAGTTTGTGTTTATTATAAAGATTTTAAGCAATGCCAAATCTATGAGGAAGAAAGTAAAAGAGTTACCCTGAATCTAGCCCCCAGAAATAGATATCATTAAATAATGTGACACTTTAAAAGTTGCAAGAATATCACTCCAAACACCTCTTTCTCTCTTGCATATATACAGATAGGAGGGCAGATGAATCAACTAAAATACATTTCTCTGAAGTAGGTGATGCATACTATTTTAAAAAATAAATGTAATTTAATTTTACTTGAATTTAGAAAAAAATGGTTATTAAACTGAAAATATTTATGAATTTCAAGTAAAATTTTCTAAACCACCAGAGGTATTAATTGCTAAAAGATTGCTCTTAGCTTAAAATGCTAATGAGCTGGGCATGGTGGATCATACCTGTAATCCCAGCACTTTGGGAGGCTGATTTGGATTGATTGCTTGAGCCCAGGAGTTCGAGACTAGCCTGAGCAACATGGAGAAACTCTAACTCTACAAAATACAATAAAATTAGCCAGACAGGGTGGTGCATGCCTGTAGTCCCAGCTAGTCGGGAGGCCGAGATGGGAGGATCCCTTGAGCTTGGGAGGTCAAGGCTGCAGTGAGCCATGATGGCACCACTGTACTCCAGCCTGGGCAACAGAGCAAAATCTCGTCTCAAAAAATAATAAAAATAAAAATAAATAATACGTTAATGACAATGAAAACTGGAAAAGGTTGAAGTCACATTTTTAGCTATGTATATCAATTTAAAATAATATTTATACACTTTATTCTATGGAAGATATGGAAATTAGCACTACCTCTCTGTATTTTTGTTAGTTTTTTTAAGTTTTCAAGATTTACGACATTCACAGGTTAGTCTGTGATTATAATTTCCAACTTACTTAGTCCTGGTTGATATTTGTGTGGCTCCAATGCTCAGAACCTGCCCCTTTCCTGTGGTTTCTCCACCATTAGTTCTTTATCTGGACTCCTCTTTTAAGTGGCTGAATTTTGTTGTTGGGTGATTTTTTCAAAAGGACTCAGGAGTGTTGCTTTTCCATGGTTCTCTCCTGTGGAGAATCTCTGCTACTGTGACATCAGAAGGACATGGTATTGGAAGGCAATAGATTGGGAAGGTGCGTAACATCCAGCCCCTGTGACCAGAGAGGACAGATGTGCTGCCAGCTTCTTAGCCTGCTGGGTTGCAGGGGTCCAAATGTAGCTGCATTTAGGAGGAGGAGAAGGAGGTGGAGGATGGGGAGAGAGAGGGAAGAGGAGGGGAAGCAGGAGGAGGGAGTGGAGAGGGAGGGAATGGAGGAGTAGGGGGAAGAGAGAAAGGGGAGGAGGGAGAGGGAAAGAAGGAGGAGAAGCAGGAGGAGGGAGAGGAAGGGGAGAAAGAGGAGGAAGAAGAGGAGAAGGGAAAGGAACAGGAGGAAGGAAAGGGGAAGGAGGACGAAGGGAAGGAGAGAAAAGAGGAGGGAGAGTGGGACCATGTGTTAGGGTGGGCACTGACTCCGCAGGAGAAAAGGATCCCCTGGACTGGTCCTTCGTGGGTGCCAGAAAAAGGCTGCCCACCAGAAGTTCACCCCCACATTCGTCCCAGCTCTTGGAGCAGCTGCACATAGAATGCAAAGGAGAAGGACAAAAGCCCCCATGAAATCCCAGAGGCCAGGAAGTGAGCACAAACAGTCCTGCCAGGGAACTAACGAGGAAATCCTGCCACCTGAAAGCCAAACCCTCTGTGGAATAAAGCAGGGTGAAACTAACAAATAAATCAGAGTCAAAGCAATGAAAAGGCGGTGAGGGTGGGAGGAAATGAAAAGCTGGTGAACAGGCACAGCTGGCCCATTCAGAGCAAGCTTCATATCTTTCAATTGCAGGACGTGCTTTGCTCTTCAAGAATGTCCACACCTGTTTCCTCATTCAGCCTCTCAGCAACTCTGTGGAGTTGTCAGGACTCACCCCATTTCACAGAAGAAGGCACCAGGCTGGGAGATGCAGGGCTGGTGGTACCTACTAATCCAGGGGGATTTTTCGATGTGATGCTGCCTCTATTACAGTCAAAAGACAATAAAAGAAAAAAAGGCAAACAAGATGAAACTGGAGAGTTTAGACACCTTTCACTGTGTGCTTCTTTTGGTTGCCTTTTGCAAGGTGGAGGCTGGGGCCAGCTAGGTAGTGGCCCCCCATCATCTCTGGTTACCTGGCATCCATCCCTTTCCCTAATAGCCTGCCACTTTCCCACTGAGGAATTACCTCCTTTCCCTCCCCACTGTGGGTAATCTTGGTGCAAAATAATTTTAGATGTTCACTTTTACTGCAGAGATGAAGGGAGCCAAACCCATCCCAGGACAGTTGGGAGAGGTGTCTTCCCCACAGACTTTGAATGCTGAGGAAATGCTAAAAGCAAAAATGCAAATGGTCATTCATCATAGCAATGGTGCAGGTTGTAGGGACCATGGCATCCTGTTTTGTGGTAGAACAGCTCCTGCCTGTTATATCTTCATTTATATAAAGAGACTAAAGTTGCTTTCTGTCACACATAGCCCAGAAGCCTAACTGATGCAAAGAGGTTTGGCAGACTCATAATCTTTCCAAAGCTCCAGCCCCATACTTAGTCATTAAGGCCCTAATGGACAGCCAAGGAATTAGGAAGGGGGCAGAGAGGAATAGATCATCCCTTCCTCCCTGGGCTGTGCAGCTACAGAAGAGCAGATCCTGAATTTGGCAGGTGCACAGCAGTCATCAGTGAATCACATGAGAAGCTCTTGGAGCCTCCAGGATGGTGGATTGGTGGCTGCTAAGATTTTAATGTAGCATCCATCCAAAATTCACGTTGGAACTTAAATCCCAAAGTGATGGTGGGAGATGATTAGGCATGAGGGCTCCATCCTTGTGAATGGGATTAATGCCTTTATAAAGAGGCTTCAGAGAGCTGGCTGGTCATCCTGTCCCTTCCGCCAAGTGAGGACACAGCATTCATCCTCTCTGGAGAACACAGCAACAAGGAAGCAGAGAGAGCACTGAATCTGCCGGCACCTTGGCTTCAGACTTCCTAGCTTTTGGAGATGGATGAAGAAATAAACTTTTATCATTTATGAATTACTCCATCTGTGGTATTTTCCTATGGCAGCAGGAACAGACTAAGGCCAAGCCTGGAGGATCCTGGGTCTAAAGGCTGCATTAAGCTGGGGTTGCCTCGGGACACAGGCTTTGTATAGGAACATTCTGGAGATGCATCTCTACCACAAAGCTCATTGAAGATGTCATTTCCTCCTGCAAAAACTTCCCTGCACCAGCAGAGTGGCAGGCTCCCTGTAGAAAGGCTACCCTCCAATTCTCACTGCTACTGCGGCAAAGAGATGCTTGGAAGCACCTGCCTGGGAAATGTCTGAGAGTTAAGTGTGAAGCTTTCACCCTTGCACTCTGTATGGGGGCAGAATGTCCACTCCTGGGGCTGCCCATCAGCGTGCATCTTCCACTTGATGGCAGAGCTTTGCTTCCAGAGTGCTCACCAGAGCAGCCCGGCAGGCAAGCCTCTGTAAACCCCACCTTGGAGCCCACTTCCAAGGGACTCTTTCCTGCTGCTGACTCAAACTTTCCCTCTGTAGGTGGAGGGTGGCTGTCTCCCTGATGTTGCTTCTCTCCACCTTTTACTCTTTTTATTAGAGTAGGTAGTTAGGAAGACATAAGCAGGGCAGAAGGGAGCCCCTCCACCAGGAATGTCAGCTGACCATCAGGTGATGGTCGGGTAGTTATTAAATGGTCTCTCTAAAATAATCATTAGTCACAGCCAGCATCAGGGAAAGGCAGTCTCCCAATAGATAGAAAACACCTGAAACTGATGATCAGCAACTTCCTGATAAGATCTTAGGAGTTGGGCGAGTGGACTCAAGCATGCGCATTAACAGGCAGATGGTGGAGATTACCCAGTATATGACCTTCCTCTAGGAACACTCATCTGGTAAGGGAAGGATGCCTCAAGTGAGCATGTACACTTCAGTAAACATACTGTGCATGTGGCCCCTCCCAAGTGCTGGCAGGCCACTGTGCATGTGGACAGCCCACTCCAAGGGAAGAATCAGAGGACAAGAGCTGCAAGACCCCCAAAGCATGCCAGTGTATGAAACCCCAAGTCAAAGGTCAAACCGCACACTTGATCTCTCAAGTCACCCGCTTGGCCCTCTTCCAAGTGTACTTTACTTCCTTTAATTCCTGCTCTAAATCTTTTTAAATAAACTTTCATGTCTGCTCTAAAACTTGCCTCAGTCCCTCACTCTGCCTTATGCCCCTCAGACAAATTCTTTCCTCTGAGGAGACAAGAACCGAGTTGCTGCAGACCTGTATTCACTACTGCTAATACTCTTACAGCAGAAGAAACGGAACATGGTTGCTCATTGTGGAAGTTGGTGGTAAGTGAAAGAGTCTAGTAGAAACCAAAAAGTTTTTATTTTACTTTATTCATTCGCTCCTTCTTAAGAAGGCTGCTTGCAAAACAGAGATGAGAAAGCACAATGGGTAGGGCCACAGCAAGAGAAGAAGCAAACCCTTCCCTCTGTTACTGGTGGAGGGTGTCCAGGTTCTTGGCATACTGAATTGGACAAAACGTACAAACAAAGCAAAGAAGGAATGAAGGGATTTATTGACAATGAAAGTACACTCCACAGTGTGGGAGCGGGTCTGAGCATAGGGGCTCAAAGGCTCTGTTACAGAATGTTTGAGAGTTTAGATACCCTCGACTTGGGGTATGCCCTATGTAAATGAAGAGGATGAAGTAAAGTTACAAAGTCATTCACTTACTGTATGCTCTATGGAGAGGATATTTCCTGTTATAGCTGAAGTGTGGGGTTGGGGGGATAGAAGCTGTCCTCCTGCATGCTGAATTGCTTCTGGGTGGGGTCACAGGAGTGGGATCGGTGGGTCGGCTTGGAGCCATAGGTGTCAGACATTCAAAAAATCTGACAAGCTATCTCAAAAGGCCAATCTACAATAGTGGTGTTATCTGCAGGAATGGCTGGCAATCTATGTCTGCACCTTAGCAGAATCAGGCTCCTTTCCACCCCCATAGCCCCATGGCCTTTCATTAGCTTTATAGAGGGAGTCAAGTTTGGGGGAAGGGCTATTATCATTTAAACTATAACCTAAATGTCTTCCAAAGTTAGCTAGCCCAAAAGCCCAGCAATAATTAAGGGAAAGGCAAGATGGAGGGTGAGTTAGATCATATCTCTTTTACTGCCATAATTTTCTTACTGTTATAATTCTTGCAAAGGTGGTTTCCATCTGAGTGGGCCAGAATGCTGCAGGTCAAGATGCTCGCTTATGGGTTCCTCTGTTTTCAGTCTTTTCTTTTTAGAATGGAATCTGCATCCTTGCTCATGTCACTGCTGAATCTCCAGGGCCGAGGGATGTCCCTGACATGGGGGGCTTGGTAACTGGTGGAAAGGAAGGACAGAGGGGCCGAGGAGTGCAATGTGGCAGCATTTCTTGTTCCTTCCTTTCAGCATCAGGAATAAAATGTGGAACACAAGGGACCTTAGTGATGCACTCCAAGGGCCTCATTTCATGATGAAGATGGCCACCCCACTCACCATAGATAGTTAGTTGGAGATAGAGATGGCGTTCACACTTGAGACACCCAGGTGATTCTATCCAGACCACAAAAGTAAAAGTTCCCTCAATTACTCATTTTTTCAGGCAACTTTGGAAATATAGGGTCCTGTTTGAGTGCCAGACTTTAAGGGGGACTTATTCAAATATCCATTCAAAATTATTCAGTTAAATATGTTTTTGAATGAAATAATATTAAAGAATTATTTTTGACAACATGGATGAGCTGAAGGACAATGACAAAGGGGTCTGGAAGCCATGTCATTCCAAGAACTGGCTGAAACACCTGAAGTCAGGAGAACGGAGAGAATGGGCCACTGTGCAGGGGTCCTCACACATGTATCTCTCCTCCCCATGGACACATAACACACAGTGAGCACCCCACACACATTTGTTGAGTGTGTTAATTGCTTTGCTTGGAGAAGAGAGGGCTGACAATACACACTGCTTCAGAAAGCTCTGTGACAGCTGATGAGAAGGAAAGTTTTGGAGAGTTGGCTGTCTTTCAGGGGAAGTGAAAGGGATCGGTCAGAGCTGAAGGACAAGAGCACTTCTCATTCTTGATTATGCTCTTGAATTATTTGGAGATCTGGTTGAAAGGCAGATTCTGATTCAATAGGTCTGCAGTGAAGCTGAGATTCTGCATTACCAATGGGCTTGCAGGCAGTGTGGATGCTGCTGTTCATGGACCACCCTTTCACGTCAATAATCATTTCGGATTGCTTCCATTTCTAAGAGTCCCTAAGTGCTGAGCCTTCCATAAAAAAGACAAGGTTGAGAAATCTGGTAGGGTGTGATTTCCAGATGTAGGAGAGTGAAAATGGCTCCCTTCACCCCTCTATGTTCCTTGGCTGGGCTGCTAATTAAATTGACATAAGACAGATTAACAAGACAAAAACTATATTCAATTACATATGATGCACAGAGTCCCACAGACATATGTGACTTGAAGAAGGGCCAGATGATTGAAGCTTATATAATATCCTGAGCTATAGAAAGGAATAGGGTTTTGGGGTTTCTAAGGGTTGGTGGAGAAAAGCCATGGGAGGGTGAAGGGAAGAAATACGTGTTGAATAAAGCTTGTGTTTTCGTGCAGCTAAGCGATCTCTCAGATGGTAAAAGTTGTCTCAGAGCAGCCCTCAGAAGAATAGGTGAGAGTCTGGGTGTGGCACCAAACTCCAATCTTATCTCCTGTGGTCCAAGATAATCTTCACTGGTTGCTAAGATTCCCAGGGAGAAGATTTATGACAGTTGAGTTCCTTTTGGAGGATCAGTCTTTAGGCGCATCAAGGGAGCTCAGAGAAAGCCCAAATCTTCTGTTCCCCAAGTGCCTTCAGTTCAAAGTAATCAGAAATACCAAGGCATCAGATTTGGAGGTGGCATTTCCTGAACTCCTTCACAGACATACAAATTCATCTTTATATTTATGTAAATCCAGAGATCTCTGTGCTGGGAACTGATCAAAAGAAGGGGAGGTATTTCTCTTTGTATTTTCACACAAGAAGAAAAAGCATTCCTGGTGGCTATGATTCTACTAAAATACTCAGCATATGTTTACTGCATTTCACAACAAATCTGCTCAGTTTGATGCATTTAAAACCTGTCAAATGCTTTACAGGCAGAAAATACATAACTCATGCAGAATCCATAAGACACTTAAAGCCCCGTGCTGTTACTCTCAGCAAAATGAAGTCTTTCATACTCCCACAGCCTCTCCATTCAGTTTATTTCTCTGGTTATCAGCTTTTCTTCCAGATTTTCACATTCCTCATGAGGCCGCTCCCCCATCTGGCCCTGGAGAGCCAAAGGAATTTGCCCTCCAGCCCCTTGAGCTGACTACACCGGCCTTGCCAGAGAGCCAGAGCCACGGGGCAGCAGTCTTGAGCTCACTGAACTGACAGCTTCTGGTTAGGGAAATGCAAGTCCACAGGGAAGCGAGGAGTAGGGAATCATATTTGTTGAGCACCTATTGTGTGCCAGATAATGAACCAGACTCATTCCACCCATTTCCTCTAATGCTTATTGCACCATCACTAGAGAACTATGGAGGTTAAAGAGGGAAAAAGAAGTCTCCTCATATTCATGGGCTTCAGAGACAAGTAAGCATGTCCCAGACTACTCTCCTATTGCTTGACAGACAGGTCCTGATTTTGACTCTGTGTTCTGAAATCCTCTACCATCTTTGGGGAGCAAGACACAAAAGCTTGCCCAGATCAGGGCTGCCTGGCCACATGAGGAGAATCTAGTAGTGATAGTTCCAAGTTGTTTGTTTTTCTTCCAGCGTTGTCTACTCCCGGGGGAAGGCTGCAGACAGTGAATGCAGAAGTCCTGCCTGGATTCTGCCCTCACAAAAAGTGCACATCCTCTCCTGGAGCCTGAAGCGCCAAACTATGGGTGCCAGAGTCCAGGCCAAAATGGTGTGGCTTGAAGACCCTATTATTAATGCTGCTGATTTCAGTCCTATTTCCAATCAAGGAGGAATGGGCTTTTGTTTTGTATTTTTTTTTTTCAGATTGAAAAGCGCTAAACTGATAAGCAATGATGCATGGCCTTCATGGTCAATTGCCCACACTAGCAAAAAACGTTCAAGATAAGAACGACAAAAATAATAAGGAGAGTAACAATGCCACCATGACCTTTTAGCAAGATGGAGGAAATCACTCTTCAGCAGGGATTCATTTTTCTAGTTTTCTTGTTTTTTTAGCCACAGGAAATAAAGCGTGCACCCTACCCTTTAATTCACTGTTTCCCCCATTCATTTTCTATTTCCTGGTAAATTAAGTAGATGCAATTTATAGGCCTTTCTTATGTTCCCAGCTCCTGTGGACCCTGATTCTAAAAGCCTCTCTGCCCTATCCCTACTACTCCCTCCACATTTCTAACCCAGCTCTTCCAAAGAGAGTATATATAGGTACTGTGGAAGCAGAGTAAGATATCCTGCATATAGTAGGTGCTCAATAAGTGCTGAGAGGAATTAAATTGAAGCACTGACAGTTCTTTATCTGGGTCTTAGTCTCATGGAGAATTACAGAATCTGAGAAATGTGCTATCATACCTTGCCTCCTCAATCTAGTTTGTTCTCTTCCACTTTTGTTACCGGAGACTTGGAACTGAGAATGCAACACCCATCCATCCTTGGAAGCCTTCTCCAGAGACAAGCGCTCGTTCTCCCTGGGAACTGTGTAGGAGATGCAGCAGGGAGCCTAGCCCAGCCTGTGCCCGTCCTAGTAGCCTGCACCTGTCAACGCAAGGTCTACGGATCAAACGGAGGGGACTTTCTGATGGAGCCATCCTGGCAGGGCCACTGTGTAAGAAAGAAGTCACATACTTGCAAAATGAGGGTAGTGGCCAAGCGCACTCCCCAAATCCTCTGAAATAACAAAATTATTCATGAACTGAAATAATCACTGCTTTGTATCTTTCCGTTTTCCCTCTTCGTAAACAGCTCTGCTCTTGGTACTCCTGCCTAACCACAGCAGCCCCTAGTGGCAACAAGCTGGAACACGCAAGACTGTTCCGAAAATGTCTCCAGCCCTTCACCGGAGCCGAAAGCATCCCCCACCTCCGCCCTCCCCGCTCACCTTCATGGATCTGATTTTTATTTCTTAGGGGCTGAGGTTAGCCTCTTGGTTTTTCAGCACACACGAATGCACACAAGCGTATGCATATACTGACACTGCGTGGGGTGAGGCAAGACACGCCGGTCAACGGGCCCCTGGGGTGGGGAGAATGCAGGAGGGCTGGTAGGAGCTGGAGGAGCTCTCTTCACACCCCCAAGTCCTCTGGTCCAGGGTGCCCGTGAAACCAGGGCCCAGCTCTGACTCGATTTTTGTCGAGAAGAATCAGCCATCAAAGAGTGAGAGGTGGGATGCCTCACTCAGGGGTTCACCTCTCTGCTCCTATCACATCCCCAGAAGCAGCTGCCACTAGCCAAGGTGAGAAAATCATAATGGCACCCTTGAGAGAGAGCCCTTTATGAAGCAGCTAAATATCCTCTCTTTCCAGGGAATGACTTAACAAAACCTCAAATGACACGCTTGGATGTCAGCTGAAACAACTTTTCTCAAAAAAACCTAAATGCAAAAAAAAAGCTTATTTGAAACAACATCCAGAGGGAGTCCTTGTACACCTAAGCCCAGGTAATGGATTTACGCCCGGACTGCTTTCCCCCGCAGGGAATCTAGTCCCTCCACGATCTCACTTCCCAGAACCAAAGGCTAGTGGAGCACCAGGCCTATTTTGGAAGGGCTGGGAAGGGAGGGGAAAATGGATTTGTAGATGTCTAGTGAGTGCTGAGACTGCTGGGTGCTTCCTTCACCAACCTGAACTCACTTCAGACTCACACAGAAAAAAACATCACGTTAAGAATTCCTCTGGGAGGGAATTGACTCTTAAGAATAGAACTGTTTAACTCTTGATCCTGCCTTTAATTGACTCTGCAAATGTTTAAATGGATTCAAATACAACTGAAACGGAGTTGGGTGATTTTGACATCAATTAATATACTCCGATGAAGTTAGCAGAGGGGACTTTGAGTTAAGTGCAAGGAAAAAAGGGAGGGGGGTGGGAAATACGGCCCTTATACTTTCTGTTTTAAATTATGATAGAGCATACAGGGCTATTCCCCCAGGGCTTATTACAAAGACTCAGAAGATGTTAAATCCACTGGGAAAAGCCCAAAGCTCTGGCTCCTAAAGGGAAATGTGAGTTAGTCAATGCAGACACCGTAGATGATTTATTGGTTATTGTGTGTGTTTTTATGTGTGATATTGGGCTCTGTGCTGTGTGCCTCTCAGCTGTTTGAGGGACAGATGTCAGGAGGAGTAGTCCAGGCACTCACGGGTTAACTCAAGCCCTGATCCCAAGGGACCCAGGCATTTTAAGAGCAGAGCCTCCTCCAGTCATGGCCTGCCCTTACTTCTAAAACCTTGAATGTGAAAAAAGACTGTCCCCCTTCCATCTGATGCGGGTGGCTGAATGTTTTCTTCAGCCAAGTCCCAAAATGAGGCACACGTTAGCTGTTTCCACCCCCTCACCTTTCAGCAGCCTGCGTCCACTGAAACGGCTTTTGGGGAGCTCACTGGAGTCCTCTCCACATCCAGATTCCCTAGCCTCTTTCCCGGTGTCCTGTGGGGTCAGGACCCTGTCTGAGCTGCGGTCCTTGCTGAGCTCCTGAGACGTGGCTTCTGCTCAAGTCTCCTCTCCTCCTCGGCTCTTCCTCGAGCCCTTCCAGCCAATCCCCTGAAAGTGTTGATGCCCTTTCTGGTTTAGGACCACTCCTTATACCAAACCAGTGTTCACTTCCCCTTCATTCATCCTACGAGTATCTACTGAGAGCCTACCATCTACCAGGCATTCTTCCAGCACTGGGGATACAACCGTGAATTTAACAGACAAAAGTCTCTTTTCTTATGGCCTTAGAGTCTAGTGCCAGGGTTGGCAACACTTTTCTGTGAAGGACCAAATAGTAAATATTTCGGACTTACAGGCCATATGGTCTCCATGGTAACTACAGCTCTGTGGCTGCAGCTGTAAAGCAGCCATAGACAAAACATAAACAAATGGGCATGGCTGTGTTCCAATAAAACTTTATTTACAAAAAAAAAAAAAAAAAACAAGTTGTAGGAAGGCGGAGGGCTTTGGCCTGCTGGGAAAGACATGTTCTCTTTCTGCTGAGATTTTTCTTTTTCTTCTTCTTCTTCTTCTTTTTTTTTTTTTTTTTTTTTTTTTTTTGAGACTGAGTCTTGCTCTGTCGCCCAGACTCCAGTACGGTGGCACGATCTTGGCTCACTGCAGCCTCCGCCTCCCGGGTTCAAGGGATTCTTCCGCCTCAGCCTCCTGAGTAGCTGGGATTACAGGTGTGTGCCACCACGCCCAGCTAATTTTTGTATTTTTAGTAGAGACGGGGTTTCACCATGTTTGGCCGGGCTGGTCTCAAACTCCTGGTCTCAACTGATCCACCCGCCTCGGACTCCCACAGTGCTGGGATTATAGGCGTAAGCCACCCGTGCTTGGCCTCTGCTGAGATTTCTAAACTGACAGAATGAAGCTCAGGGGCCATCTTTGCTGCGACACAGGGAGAAGGTGCCTGAGAATTAAGCCATCCTGGGAAGGCAGAGTGGAGAATCCTCATGGCATTCATGACATTTTTTTTTTTTTTTTTTTTTGAGACGGAGTCTCGCTCTGTCACCCAGCCTAGAGTGCAGTGGCGCAATCTCGGCTCACGGCAAGCTCCGCCTCCTGGGTTCAGGCCATTCTCCTGCCTCAGCCTCCCGAGTAGCTGGGACTACAGGCGCCCGGCGCCACGCCCGGCTAGTTTTTTGTATTTTTACTGGATACGGGGTTTCACCGTGTTAGCCAGGATGGTCTCGATCTCCTGACCTCGTGATCCGCCCGCCTCGACCTCCCAAAGTGCTGGGATTACAGGCGTGATCCACCGCGCCCGGCCTCATGACATCTTTTGACCCCCTGGATTCAACCAGGTAATCATATATAAAACGATGTATACTTTCGTCTGTACCTTTGGTTATTTTGAATCAATAAACATTTCTCCCTCCCCGCCCCCCCCCTTTTTTTTTGGCTTAAGCCGGTTGATTTGGGGTTCTGTCACTTATAACCAGAGTCCTGACTGATACCAAACCCAAACCCATTCTTGAACTCCTTTTCTCCTTTCTCTATGTGTTTTCCCTGGGCAATATCATCCACCTGCCTGAGTTTCTGCTGTCACCTCTGTGTAGATAACCCTGACATATTTTTTGTTTTATTTTTGAAATAATAAAACAGGATCTTTAGAGTAGAATTTTTTTTTTTTTTTTTTTTTTTTTTTTAGTATTTATTGATCATTCTTGGGTGTTTCTCAGAGAGGGGGATGTGGCAGGGTCATAGGATAATAGTGGAGAGAAGGTCAGCAGATAAACACGTGAACAAAGGTCTCTGGTTTTCCTAGGCAGAGGTCCCTGCGGCCTTCCGCAGTGTTTGTGTCCCTGGGTACTTGAGATTAGGGAGTGGTGATGACTCTTAAGGAGCATGCTGCCTTCAAGCATCTGTTTAACAAAGCACATCTTGCACCGCCCTTAATCCATTTAACCCTGAGTGGACAAAGCACATGTTTCAGAGAGCAGGGGGTTGGGGGTAAGGTTATAGATTAACAGCATCCCAAGGCAGAAGAATTTTTCTTAGTACAGAACAAAATGGAGTCTCCTATGTCTACTTCTTTTTACACAGACACAGTAACAATCTGATCTCTCTTTCTTTTCCCCACATTTCCCCCTTTTCTATTGGACAAAACCGCCATCGTCATCATGGCTCGTTCTCAATGGTCGCTGTCTCTTCAGAGCTGTTGTATACACTTCCCAGACGGGGCAGCCGGGCAGAGGGGCTCCTCACCTCCCAGAAGGGGTGGCGGCCAGGCAGAGGCGCTCCTCACCTCCCAGACGATGGGCAGACGGGCAGAGGCGCTCCTCACCTCCCAGACGATGGGCAGACGGGCAGAGGTGCTCCCCACCTCCCAGACAGGGCGGCCGGGCAGAGGGGCTCCTCACCTCCCAGATGGGGTGGCAGCCGGGCAGAGGCACCCCTCACCTCCCAGACGGGGCGGCCGGGCAGAGGCACCCACTTCCCAGATGGGGCGGCTGGGCAGAGGCACTTCTCACATCCCAGACGATGGGCGGCCAGGCAGAGGCTTCCTCACTTCCCAGACGGGGCGGCCGGCCAGAGGTGCCCCTCACTTCCCAGACGGGGTGGCCGGGCAGAGGCGCTCCTCACATCCCAGACGGGGCGGCCGGGCAGAGGTGCTCTTCACATCCCAGACGATGGGCGGCCGGGCAGAGGTGCTCTTCACATCCCAGACGATGGGCGGCCAGGCAGAGACGCTCCCCTCTTCCCAGGTGCGGTGGTGGCCGGGCAGAGGCTGTAATCTTAGCACTTTGGGAGGCCAAGGCAGGCGGCTTTCCACCAACCAGAGGCAAAATGTGCATCTTTCCAGTTTGACAATCCTTCACTGAGGAAACGATAAGGCAGGTACCACAGAGGACAACTAGGCGCTCAGCCCACTTATGCAGCTGAGTCTTTCCCTTGCGTACATTATTGATGCCAAACAATAGGATTCGATCCAAATGATCCATGCGGCAATGTTTTTCACCATAAAATCGAATCATACAGCCGAGGTCAGGATTTGTAGCCTCCTCCTGTATGTGCACAGGATCATCAAATCCCAGCCTGGATAAGTAATCATAAATGATCTGAAGAGGTCGTTCAGTAGGTTCCAGTCTCCTGTAATCCCAGCACTTCAGGAGGCCAAGGAGGGAGGATCACTTGAGGTCAGGGGTTCAAGACCAGCCTGGGTAACATAGTGAAACCGCGTCTCTTCAGGACCCGGATCTCTCCCGGCCGGCGGCTCGCGGGCGCTTCAGGCGGCTCTGGGGGCTTCAGCGGTCCCGCGGGCCCCGGCTCCACCTCCCCCCATCGGCGACCCAGGCTGCACCTAGAGTAGAATTTTTATCATCCTTTTTTTTTTTTTTTTTAGACAGAATCTCACTCTGTCACCCAGGCTGGAGTGCCATGGTACAATCTTGGCTCACTGCAACCTCTGCCTCTTAGGCTCAAGTAATCCTCCCACCTCAGCCTCCCGAGTAGCTGGGACCACAGGCCTGTGCAACCATGCCCGGCTAATTTTTTTTTTTTTTTTTTGTATTTTTAGTAGAAATGAGGTTTCGCCATGTTGCCAATGCTGGTCTCGAACTCCTGAGTGCAAGCAATCCACCTGCCTCAGCCTCCCAATGTGCTGGGATTACAGGCATGAGCCAATATGCCCGGCCTTCTGTTTTATTTTAAATTTAGAGTTGGAGTCTCACTATGTTGCCCAAGCTGGTCTCAAAATCCTGGGCTCAAGCAATCCTCCCACCTTAGCCTTCGGAGTAGCTGGGCTTTTATAGATGTGAGCCACTGTGCCCAGTCCTGACATCTTTATTTCAGGCTCTAACTTTAATCCTGAGCCCCTATTTCCTCTGGCCTACTAGACATTTTGCCTAAGATATCCAGGAAGTATAACATGTCTAAAACTCAACTCAATACTCTGGTTTCTCTTCAGATGGTATAAATCTTTCACCTTTTAAAACTCAACTTATTACCTAACCTCTTTCCCTTCAAATGTCTTTTCCTGTGTTTCATAATAATACTAAAAATAATACCCAAGAGGCACTGTGACTCATGCCTGTAATCCCAGCAATTTGGGAGCCTGAAATGGGTGGATTTCTTGAGCCCAGCGGTTCGAGACCAGCCTGGGCAACATAGTGAGAATCCACCCTACCAAAAAAAAAAAAAAAAATACAAAAGTTAGCCAGATGTGGTGGTACACACCTGTAGTCCTAGCTACTCAGTAGGCTGAGGTGGGAGGAATACCTGGGTCAGAGAGATGGAGGCTGCAGTGAGCTGAAATCACACCACTGCCCTCCAGCCTGGGTGACAGAGTGAAAACCTGTCTAAAAAATAAATGAATAAATAAATAAATTAATAATAATATCAACTGAGCTATTATTACTATGGGCAAGGTCTTGTGGTAGGCACCATATTATTTCAAAGGTCCTAATTAGCATGCAAGGCAGATATTATAAGTCCCCTTGTACAGATGAGTAAACTGAATCTGAGAGCCTAAGCTAATTGGATCAGCAGGTGACTAAGCCGTGGTTTAACTTCAGGCCAGCTGTCCCCAGCCTCGATCCTCCCCTATACCAGGCTGGCTGCCCTTCCTTATTCAGTTAATAGCAGCATCAGCCACTCAGTCGGAAGAAGAAGGCCAGGAGCTCTTCTTCTAGAACATCTCTTGTATCTTCCCCTTTCTACACAGCCACTGTTTTATTCAAGGTTCTCATTCCTAAGGTAACAACAGATAGTCTTCTAGATGACTTCTATTTTCCCAGGCCCTTCCCTTCCACTCCAGTCCATACTGTATTTCTTTATGTTATATGGTTGACCCTTGAACAACATGGGATTGAACTGCACAGTTCATTTATAAGCAGATTTTTTTTTCAACCAAAACACAGTATTCACAGGATGCAAAACCCACTGTGGAGGCGGGGGTACTTTTTGTAAACTCAGGTTTTATAGGGTCAACTGCAGGGACTTGAGTAAGTATGGATTTTGGAATATGTGGGGATTCTGGAACCCTTCCCTCACATATACCAAGGGCTGACTGTAAATATAAACCCCCAGTGAAGGAACAAAATTTCTGCCTCTTCTTCCTCCTCTGCTCAGAAACCAACACCTCCTCCTGCAAGATAGAAGCCAAGCATCTTAGCTGGCAGTCAAGGACATTTTCAACCCAGCCCACAACCTACCTTTTTAAACATAGTTATCCATATTTAAGGTATACAATGTAGTGTTTTAATATACAAATACATAGTTTAATGCTGACTACATTCAGGAAAATAAGCATATCCACAACCCATCTTTTTTATCTTCTCACTTCCTAATGCTCCATTTAATACATTCTTGATCTATCTGCTGCTTCCAGAAAATAACAAGTTTAATTTGCTCTTTTAGAACGATTGAAACTGTTTCTGCTTGAAGTGATCCAACAACTCTCTGACTGTCTTTTGGGTCCATTCTCAGTTTCCAATTCTTCCATAAAGCACTCCTGAATACTCTCACCTACTCTCATCTCCCCACTTTCTGAACTTTTTTGGTTCTCCCACTCATGCAGTGATCTCTGTCTCTCTCTCTCTCTGTCAGTTATCTGCTACTTTGAAAGATTGTTGTCTTATTTCAATTGTGGGTGTCTTGAATTGTTGTCATATTTCGTTATTTAACACATACAATGCATTGCTATTTAACTGCATCTTATTTCCCTAGCTAGGCAGTAAGTGCCTAGAAGTCAGGTGATGGGACTCTTTCTTAATCCGGCCATAGTTCCTAGCACACTTCTTATTATAGCTCTTCTCAACACTGGCTGCACATTAGAGTCTCCAGTGGAGCTTTATAAAAAATACAAATGCCTGGTCCCAAAACCAGAGATTTAGATTTAATCATTCTGAAATGAAGCCAGGCATTGGTATATTTTAAATCTTTCCAGATGATTCTAATGTGCAGCCAGCCTTAGAGCCAGTGATTTATCACATCACAGATACCCAGAAAATGCTTGATGGATGTTTGATTGATTGACCTGAGTCCAGATGTGGGCCCAAATTTCCTAATTAACTACCCAAATGTATTTGGCTACCAGAAAAAGGTGGCTAACCCAATAGACTTAATAAATATTGTTTGGGGCTGAAGATGGTAATCTTGATGTTGACAGTGATTATGGTGATGATGATAAAAATCTGAAACAAATTCTGGCATTTCTAGTCTCAGCACAGGACAACAGTTCCCCAAAAAGAAATCAGATCGGCCCAGCTTCGATTTTTGCAAATTCTTTTCTTCCCTAAGAGGTGCCTTGTGCCTTTCCAGTCACTCTAGATGGGACTCTGCAAGACAACAGGCTTCCTGGATCAGTGGAGCAGACTCACTGGGAATAACCTAGTTCCTCCTCATTCCCAAGGCCACAGTTTATAAAAAGCTTAGTTAATTTGTCATTGTGAGAAACTTTTGGACACAACTAAGTTCCTTTCTTAATGAGGCGTTGCTCCCAGGGAATGGGTAGGGACACAGCCTTTTAGTCTATGGCCTAAAAGGTTTGGGAAGGACAGAAGTTCCTTCAATAGTTGTTGCCAGTTGTTTAGAGACATTTAGAGACATTTACTCATTTGCTAATGAGGCAAGAGTCATGGCTCCATCCCCTCATTTAGCATGGAGTTTTGCTTCATTCTGTGAGTGGTGTTCACCCCTAATCTCACTCAGTCTTGCAAATGCCACTGGAGTATTCATATAGATGGTGAAAGAGGGGGAGGATTGGAGAGAGCATCTTTATCCATAAAAGGTCACCATAGGTATAGCCCAAGCATTTAGGACTGGGACTGTTTCATTTTATAGCAGGTCTGATTTAGAATTATCTTGACTAGAAGGTAATATGGTTTGGCTCTGTGTCTCCACTGAGATTTCATGTCAAATTGTAATCCCCACTTGTTGGAGGAGGAGCCTGCTGGGAGGTAATTGAATCACAGGGACAGACTTCCCCTTTACTGTTCTCATGATAGTGAGTGAGTTCTCACGAGATCTGGTTGTTTGAAAGTGTGTAGCACCTCCGTCTTCACTCTCTCTCTCTCTCTCCTGCTGCCATGTGAAGACGTGCTTGCTTCCCCTTCCACCATGATTGTAAGTTTCCTGAGGCCTCCCCAGCTATGCTTCCTGTACAGCCTGTGGAACTGTGAGTCAATTAAACCTCCTTTCTTTATAAATTACCCAGTCTCAGGTAGTTCTTTATAGCAATGTGAGAATGGACTAATACAGAAGTCAAATGATATTTAGGATGGAAAAATTAAGCCTGTTTTTTCTTTGTCTTTAGCTTAACTTTTATTTAAAGCCTGAAAAAACTAGGATAGGCCCAAGCAGATCAGAAACAGAGGGCCTTGGGTGGTGCTTATTTTTTGGGCAACATTCAGAATATATCAAGAAGGCAGAGTAGTGCAGTATTCAGGAGCAAAGCTCTGGAGTTGAACTGCCTGTTCCCAAACCCCACATTGATCTTTGGAAATTAAAGATCTCTTGCCTCTTGAGGCTTCAGTTTCCATATTTGTAAAATTGGATAATAATAGCAAGTAATAGTGACAATCTCATCAGGCATGAGAGAGATTGGGTTTGTGGGAGCCATGGCATTAAAGAACCCTGTGGCTATTGCAAGTCACAGTGTGGACCCGCATCCTTGTTCCCCACAGCCTGGCTTCTGTTTAGCACACTTACTTAAGGGAACCAGCTTTTCATTTCATTGGCCAATGAAGGGTAATAGGGATTTTTTGTCCACATCCTAATGCTATACTCATTGGGTTTTAGTCAGAAAAGCAGAAACCATTCCAGGACTTCCAAACAGCAGCAGTTTAATATGGGGAACTGGTGACACTGGTAATGCAAGAGCCAAGACGTCAAGAAGAGGATAGTGAGGAGAGCCAGAAATTAGCAAGAGCAGGAAGTCACTATCACCCATGAGCTGCAAGGACAATGGAAGGAGTGAGTGGATTACAGTCCAGGAGCCAGGCCTCCAGGGGGGAGCTAAAACCATGTCAGGGGCTGCTGGAAAGAACCTGGGGCAATGGAGGGAGGGACTGGCTCTCCTCAGTATCCTCTGCTTGACTTCTTGGCTCTTGCACTACCGGTGTCACCAGTTCCCCATATTAAACTGCTGCTGTTTGGAGGCAGAGGCTGTGGAAGGGACACAGTCACTGCCAGAGACAACAGTCAGCACCAAGAAGGTATGATTTTCCGTGACACCACTTGGTCCCAAGGAGCAAGGAAGTCTGGGAGATATGGTTTCCTATGACACCAAGTGAGATAGAGAATACAGGGAATGAGGCCAGATAGGTGGCTCATGCCTGTAATCCCAGCACTTTAGGAGGCTGAGTCAGAAGGATTGCTTGAGGTCAGGAGTTTGAAACAAATTGGGCAACACAGTGAGGTCCTGTCTTTACAAAAAAAAAAAAAAAAAAATAGCCAAGCATGATAGCATGCACCTGTAGTCCCAGCTAGTCAGGAAGCTGGGGTGAGGATTGCTTGAGCCCAGGAGTTTGAGGCTACAGTAAGCTATGTCTGTGCCACTGCACTCCAGCCTGGGTGATAGATCAAGACCCTGACTCTAAAAAAGAGAGACTGAATGAAGGAAATAGATCTGAGGGAAGACAGGTAGCTGACAAGCACAGCTCTTTTCCCACTTCCTAATCTCCCCTGAAGCCAGCACAGAATTGTGTCTCTTTGGCTGAACTAAAATTCAAAAAGGCACTTCTTACCTGGGAAGTGTCAAAAGGCAGAAGGGTGCTGGAACCACGGTGCAGACCCAGGACTGTTCTTTCGGGGTCTGGAATAACAGAGAAAGCAGGAAGGGAATGATGCTGAGATTGTGGGGATTGCAGTGGCTTGTTTTCTTTCATTTTTATTCCCTAACAACTGCTTCAGTTCTTTTCATTATTAATCTGGGAGTTTTTTTATGTTCTCTGCACATCCTTGGAAGATTAATTTAAGCCAAATCTTCACTACCACAGAGGCTAATTCATTTTTCTGACTCTTTGAACAAAGAACAACTATTATTTCTTATCAACAGAAAAGCACAACTTTCTGAGTTAAAAGCCAGAAGAATTGCAAGCCTCCTTGGCAATTTGGAGCCTTGAGACAGTCAGGGAATCTCAGAACAGGCTGTGTTTCTTGTGGGACTTTTCATATTGTGTTAGAGGAAGGAAAGAAGAGGATGGCCTTTGCCACATCAGGCAAAGACTTCAGGACCAAGGGCCTCTCCTCTCTCTTGCCCTCTTCCCACCTCAGTTCTGAAAAAAAGAGGTTTCCCTTCAGCCAGTGGGTAAATGCATAGTGGGGGACCCAGTTCTGCTGGTGGGTAAATGAAATATTTAGTCTGTGAGCTGAAGGGAATCTTTTATCTTTTGTCCGAAGTTCAGAAGCTGGGGCCTTCAAGCAGAAACTAAATTACAGCAGAAGCTCTCCAGGGGGAACTGAGAGACAGCGAATTCTGGAAATGCCAAGTAAGCCTGGCAATTGCAAGAGAAATAACCCTGGATTTCCCCCTCTCCTGCCCTTCAATTCTGGAGGAAGAATCAAAACAAAGACCTTAAAGCCACACAATCTCAGAGCCAGAATGTGTAGGTTTCTATCAAACGTCCCCTCCCCAATCCTTCCCCAAGCACACACAGAGAATCCCGGATGCTGCTAGAACACTTCCACCACTGGAAAGCTCAGGACCCTCCATCCCGTTGGTGGCTGCCCCAGTCATTACAGATTTTCTTCCTTTCACTGAGCCAAATCTGTCCACTGGCTTCCAGGAAGAGGAGGCCTGGTCTGTGCCCCTGCCTGGCAAAGCCCCGTAGACTTTCCTCAATCTTTCAAGTGTCTTCTTTATCTTCTATCCTGCTTATAACATAAGCACCACATTCAGCTTTGGGTTTTATATGTCGGCCTGCTAAGTATCTGAACCAGGTTTATCCAAAATTTGTCACAGTATATGAATTGATGTTCTTTGAAAAAGAACAAAGAAAGTTTTATGGTCAAATAAGCTTTGAAAATGCTGGGTTAATAAGCTTTGGTGGTCACACTAAGTGTTCATCTACATCCCTGGCTCTTCCCACTTTGGCACCCGCCAGCCCCACTGCCACTGTCATCACCTGCACTGCTTTACCTGAGGGCCCTGTCTGGTCCTTGGAGCCCACTTTTTCTGCCCAGGCAACAAGAAGTGTGAAGGAATCAAAACTCTCCAGGAGCAGCCCTCAACCAGAGACGGACTGGAGTTGGTGTGTGATATGGTTTGGCTGTGTCCCCACCCAAATCTCATCTTGAATTGTAGTTCCCATAATTCCCATGTGTTGTGGGAGGGACCCAGTGGGAGGTAATTCAATCATTGGGGTGGGTCTTTCCCATGCTGTTCTCGTGATTGTGCATAAGTCTCATGAGATCTGATGGTTTTATAAAGGTAAGTTCCCCTGCACAACTTCTCTGTCTTGCCTGCTGCCATATAAGATGTGGCTTTCGCCTTTTGCCACCCCTATGCCAAGATTGTGAGGCCTCCCCAGCCAGATGGAACTGTAAGTCCATTAAACCTCTTTTTCTTTATAAATTACCCAGTCTCAGGTATGTCTTTATCAGCATCATGAAAACAGACTGATAACACTGTGTAAATACCCCGGCTCTCCCACACCACCCTTTGGGTGGGATGACACTGAGGCCCTTGTTCTGAGGGCTGCCAAAGTTCCCCTGCAGCATGAAGCTTCTATTCACCATGGGAACTGGCTCCACAAAACATCCTTTATCCCCTGCTTTCCTTCCTGATCTCATTCCCACGCCTTCCAGGAAACAGGAATCTTTGTCTCAGTAAATGCTCATGGGGAACCCAAACTAAGACACAGTCAACTTGTAAATTTCCAAGCAAGGGCTATAGTCCAAGCCCTTTCCAAAACTTATTTGACTGAGAAACTCTTTTCTCACAGTTCACCTGGAGGGACTAGGGTTCTGGAGGACACGCTTAGGGAAGCTCCGTTCTGGCCCTGGGCAGGATGCAGACCTGTCATGGAGTTCCTGAGGGGAGAAGTCAAGGACAGCATGATAGCATGGATGATCAGGGTGTGAAGCAAGAAAGACATTGAGTGGGAATATCCAGCCACCCAGAAACACCTGGAGTTGAGACTCCCCAGGGGCGGAGTCCTCTCAGAGACAGTCTGAGAGGAAGTGGCTGATGTGGGCATTGAATACGTTCATCTGCTGCTACGGATTTGGGGTCTTGTTCTCACACTTCAAGTGCAGTGTGTGGATTAGACTAATTCGGAGTGGATTCATGCTTCACAAAAAAATCATACTGTAGCTGCCTGTGCGAGAATTAACCCACCTGCTCTGCTTCTACCTGTAAGGAAATGGTACCAATTTCCTCAAGCTGCAAGACTGAGAGACAGAGACACCCCAGGATTGGGCAATTATGTTAGGAAATTCAACATTCGAGATGAATGGAAAATGGCTGGGGACTTTTTCTCAACAACTTGGCTCGAACAGGATTGATTCCAGGACTGAGAAGTATTCAAGTGACTCAGTGCCTGCAGTGATATAAAATAGGATCATTTGGTAGCTGGAAAATCTAAGGTGTGCCCTATCATCAAAGCACCGGCATTTAATAAAGTTGATTAAGGATGTTGAAGCAGCAAGGAGGGAAACCAACCATGGAACACCGGGTCAACCCTGCATTAGGAGTCCGGAACATCACAGAGACACAGGGAGATGTCTTCTAAATTTCTGCATGGACCAGGAGACTTTTTCTTGCCTCTAGAAGGACATGGAATGTTCTTTCTGGAACACCCCCCAGCACTGGCTCAGGACATCTCTGTGAGGGTTCTTAGAGGACTCAGGGAATGCTGTCTGCACCTGCACACACAGGTGTGTGGGTTTCCTCTGGGCATTGGCTGCATGTTAGGCATTTGGTATTCTGTCCTATACATGATGGGATAAAGTGTTTAAGAGATAAATGTTCCAAGACCTTCCTGATCTACCCATGAATAAACAACCTGACTGGGACTGCCCTCTACCCCCTGAGAAGGGCACTGCTTGGCAGACCAGCTGCTTATACTCAGAATCTGGAGAAAGGAGGAGGGAGGAAAGTGCAAAAGGCCTGGGGAGTATGGCTTGGAAAATGAAGTTTTTCAAGGTAGTTGGGGGAAAAAATAAGTTCAGAGCCACAGTGGTATGAGAACGAAATAGATGAAAGAGAAAATGGGAGTGTGTTCAGAATGGCTGACATTGGCAGGGCATGGTGACTCATGTCTGTAATCCAAGTGTTTTGGGAGGCCAAGGCAGGAGGATTGCTTGAGGCCAAAAGTTTGAGACCAGCCTGAGCAAGATAGTGAGACCTCACCCGTACAAAATATAAAAAATATTAGCCAGGTGTGGTGGTGTGCATGTAGTTCCAGCTACTGGGGAGGCTGAGGTGGGAGGATTGCTTGAACCAAGGAATTTGAGGCTGCAGTGAGCTATGATCACGACACTGCACTCCAGCCCGGACAACTGAGCAAGACCCTGTCTTTAAAAAATAGAATGGCTGAGGTCTATATGTGTCCTTCTTGGTGTTTGAAAAATATTAGTCCAGGACAGAAGTGCTTGCTTTGAAATTACTCTTGATTGCTGGACTGGACTTTCTTGACCTCAAATACACCGTGGGATTGGGTATTGTGAGTCATGGCTTAAAGTACTACTGAGATGTACGTCCAGACCCTGAGCCTTTTTTTTTTTTTTTTTTGAGACGGAGTCTCGCTGTCGCCCAGGCTGGAGTGCAGTGGCGCAATCTCGGCTCACTGCAGGCTCCGCCCCCTGGGGTTCACGCCATTCTCCTGCCTCAGCCTCCCGAGTAGCTGGGACTACAGGCGCCCGCCACCTCGCCCGGCTAATTTTTTGTATTTTTAGTAGAGACGGGGTTTCACCGTGTTAGCCAGGATGGTCTCGATCTCCTGACCTCGTGATCCACCTGCCTCGGCCTCCCAAAGTGCTGGGATTACAGGCGTGAGCCACCGCGCCCGGCCAGACCCTGAGCCTTTAAACAAATCTACCCACTCACAATAGGCACAGCTAAAGACCAATAAAAATGGGGGGACTGTCTTGAATCTTCTCTCTCCTTTTATCTTTGCTCCTCACTGTCTACTCCAGTCTTCTGTTTACTTCTGACTTTTCAGTAGTTCTCCCATTTTTGGTTACAAAATTTCTCTTTGAATTTGAATAAGGAAATTGACTTTCATAGTATTGATTCTTGCTCTCCTTAAGAAAAATCTTTTCCTCCCTTCTGTCTCTCCCCTATCCTAAGCCTCCAGGGTGAGCACCAGCCCAGCCTGGCTCCAGTTCCTGAACCACCCCAATGCCTGTTAACTGGGCTTGTTCTGCATCTCACTCCCACCTTGCAGGGCCATGAGACAGTGCAGTGTATGTCTGTTTCCCTGGTAGACTGAGCTATGTCTTATTGTTGCATCCTTCCCTGCTCCTAGCACTGCCTCTATTCCATAACAAGGGTTCACTGAGTATTTGTTGATTTCCAGACACAAGATCAGCTGTAGGTCTCAGCCTGGAGGAGATGTTAATAAGAACTGTGACACTTGGAATTTACCATTGAGATGCTTAAATGTGTTAACAGAAATTCCAGAAAGCTAGAGAGGCTCTTGGATAAATTAGAAATCATGAGGAAAAGAGATGTTATTTTCTCGTCAACAGCCAATTCACTAATGATTTAACCAAGTCAATAGCTCATGGGACCTCCGTGACCTTACCACACTGAATTGCTGTTTCTCCTTTTGCTTTTAGAGGTCAATCCTCTCCTGGCCCAGCTAATTTTTCCCCAGCTGGGCTGCACTTTCTTGAGGCCCCTGGACTCCTGCCTGTGTAGCCTCTCCCCTCAGTCACCTGCCTCCTCACCTCATCCAGAAGCTGGAGCCAGATACAACCCAGGTTTCCTTAGGTCTGTGATTAAATATTGAGTTGTTTCTGATTGGACTGCTCACTTTTCCCATTTTTCTTTACTTTTTTCACAAATTTTTTGGTAACTACTATGAGCCAAGCCCTCTGGCAGGCATTGGGACTACAGTGAGTCTCTGACATCAAGAGGCTCCAGCATGATGGGGAAGACAGACAAGCCAGCGGAGAATTGCAAAATGCTGTTCTATAGGTTGCTGGGGCATTGCAGAGGCAGGGAGGTGGACCACCAACCTAGATGAGGCTGGGCTATGTTTGAAGTGGGGGTTGAGGAGGGGAATGGAGTACAATAAAACACCCATACAATAAACGTCTTCCGCTGCATCATTACCATGGACCCATGACCCTGCCTCCCAGACAGATGTGCTAGGCCCTGCTGCTGTAACAAAATCTCAACCCAACAATGATTTATCATTCATTTAACATGCCAGAAACTGACTTCTTGCTCATACTAGCTGTTCTATTCAGATCAGCTAGTGGTAGGAGTCGGGAGGAGAAGGGAGCATTCTTCACACACTCACTTGGGAGCTCAGGATGATGGATGGAAGCTCCTCCATTTGAAATGTCATCTGTGACTAAAGCAAGGAAAGAGACATCTAGAGGGTTTTGCACTGGCTCTTCCATACAGCCATCCTCGCTGACATGTGTCAATTCCATTTAAGCCTGTTAACGAAAATTGCAAGATAACTGCAAAAAATCCCTTCCCTAAGAGCAAAGGGGCTGGGAATGGCGAGGGGAGAAGTAGATGGAAAGTTTGATGGGACCACTGACTCTGCTACAGGTAGGAATATCATTTCCCCCACTTTCCTTCACTAGATGAGGAATAGGGGCACCATTGAAGGAGAGCCACCAACCCATACTGTCAGGCCTGAGATCCCATTGCCCTGGCTCCAATTCATTCACAGGACATTGTGAAGCCTGAGTCCTTAGGAAACCCTTGTGTGAGGTTCATTTTCCTTGGAAATGATAATCACTGCTAGATCTGACTGATCCTGGTCTTCTTTTCATAGTACAGGTACTGTCACCATCAGGAGACAGTATAGGGCAGTGTTTCCCTGACATGGCATCCATCAATGTCCTAGGTCTCTTCCCAGTGAACTCTGCCCACAGGGACTTCACTTTGCTCCCAGTCGCAAAACACAATCACGTAGCAGCGTACTCTTCAATCTTGATATTTCAGATTTTCCTTCACTCTCATTCTCATTCTCTTCTGTGATACCAGTTCCTGGAATTACTGCCATGTTTCCATGTTTCGGTTTAATCATATAGCTCATCTCTGGGGTTGCTGTCACGAGGGGCTTCATACAAACCACTTTTGATAATCATTTTTCAATGTCTTCTCACCCCTCCCTGATACCTCTCCTACACACTAGTGTCCTAGGCATGGTCTTTCTGTTCTCAGCTTGGACTCATTTATTAAAGCTGTTTAAATTTGTTTTCTGCCTAGGTCTATTAATACAGTGCATGTCAATGCCATTGCCTTCCTTAATTCTACATGTGCTGTAGATTTTGACTCAGGGGATATGCACCAGTCCACACGTGTTAGCTTATTGGAAGGCGGAGGGGAGAGGTTTGGCTGAGTAGTGGGAGTTTGAATGGCCTCTGCAGATTGGCCTTCTCCTTACTCCTCCAGTGCATCCACGTTGGTTTCTCTTTCTCATCTCCTCTTATGAGCTCCCCTTGGCTGCAGTCTCCTTCCAGGCAGGCACCATGTCTTCCCTGCACTCATGAGAGTGTACGGGGCCTGCTGGCTGTCAGATCGATCAAGCACTCCACCCCTGTTTCCTCTACTTCCCCCTCACAGATCTTCCCAATTTATGAGGGGCAGGAGTAGCCAGGAGGACTCTCAGCAGCCTTGGAGGGCAAAGGTGCCCTGGCTATCACTTGGGGATGCTTGCCTCCCTCCTTGGCTTTTATTCTAATATAATTTCAGGGAAATCTGAAATACTGCCTACTGAGGACCCTACCTGAAGGAAAATAAAGCTATTGTGGTTTGAGCTGAAACACTGTCTAGCTCATTAGAGGTGACCAGGCTAGCACGGCCCCGCTGCTCTGTCTGAATTTAGAGGGAGACCATCCTGGGGTGGGGAGTCACAGGTGAGGTGGAGATGAGTAGTCCCTGGTGTGTGTGTGTGTGTCTGAGAGAGAGAGAGAGAGAGAATGGCAGAGAGTAACACACTGTATGAGGAGCATGGTAGAATGAAAGAACTGAGAAAATTAAGACTCCAGACCCCAACTTGCTCAAGTTGCTCTTAGGCAAACCACTCTTGCCTTTGAGACCCCATCAATCCTCCAGTGACATGAGCAGTCAGAACTTCATGGCTTCAAAGTTCCTTCCAACTCTGAATGTCTATGGTTTTATGAATGAGCACTGACTAGAGCATCATTTTTCGACCATGGGCAATTTATTTCAACTTTTTATGCTTTAAGATGTTTTTAAAATTCCAAATGGATGATAATCCCAATTCAAGAAACTGTTGTGATCATAAAAGGAGATTAAAGATGTAAACACACTGAAAAAATTGTGTGGTACTTTAAAAATGCAAGTTACTTAACTTGCCTATATGCCTTGCTGTCTTGTAGTCCACCCAGGCTGCTATAACAATGAAATATAATACAGAGTAATTTCACAGTTCTGGAGGCGGAGAAGTCCAACAGCAAGGCACCAGCAGATTTGGTGTCTGCTGAGAGCCCACTCCTCATAGATGGTGCCTTCTACATAACCTCACATGGCAGAAGGGGCAGACAAGCTCCCTGGGCCTCTTTTTTTTTCTTTTCTTTTTTTTTTTTGAGACGGAGTTTCACTCTTTTGCCCAGGCTGGAGTGAAGTGGCACTATCTCAGCTCACTGCAACTTCTGCCCCAGGGTTCAAGTGATTCTCCTACCTCATCCTCCAGAGTAGCTGGGATTATAGGCACTCGCTGTCACACCCGGCTAATTTTTTTTTTTTTTTGTATTTTTAGTAGAGATGGGGTTTTGCCATGCTGGCCAGGCTGGTCTCGAACTCCTGACCTCAGGTGATCCACCCCCTTTGGCCTCTTTTATAAGGGCACTAAGTGTGGAAAAACTCAACCCACTTTTCATCTGCTGTCACACTACAACAATCAACACATGGACTTCTGTGACCAAATATGTGGTGGTTTTCCCCACACACAATTCTGCAGCAGTGGACACCAGCTGGGTGTCCTGAAATTCAATTCCATTCTGAAACCTTCCACCTAGAGATAGCCATGGTCACCTCTAACAAGGTAGATAGTGTTTCAGCTAAAAAAAAAATGGCTTTATGTTTTCTCAGGAAACATCCTCAGTGAAATTGCAAGTAGTTCACAGCCTGGCCCCATGGGTGGGCCTGGACTTTCTGGTGAAGGTTCTTCACTCCATTCAGAGCACAACACAGCATGGGTTTAGCACAGTGGGGACACTTCAGTGTTCTGGGGGTTCAGAAGCTCTGGAGTGACCAGGAATCAGCAGTGAATCCCCGCATAGGGACTGTGCTGTCTCAAGGGTGATGGATGACTGAGCACACAGTAGCTTCTTCTCCACCCCCCTGTTCTGCTTTCTTCTGTGTTGGCTTCATTCACAGCAGAATTTCTCCTCGTGATGTCAAAAATGGCATCTGAGGTACCCACCATCCAAGAAGAGCTCACATTTTCCCCCCAGAGTTCTAGATAATGTGTTGGGTTTGTGTCCATCCCAAACCACTCACACCACCCCTGATATGTGACCCTCTGATTTGCCTGGTCTAGATCCCAGGCCCATACCTGGGGACCATTGGTAGAGTCAGTGTCATCTGAACTACCCAGGTTCCAGGCTAAGAATAGAGTGGGTGGTGGTCCCCAAAGAGGAGATGGGAACTTGCAAATGATGGGTTTGATTTTGAGCTCAGAATTCTTTGACCCCCCTGGGCTAGGTCAGATTTCCTAAAGATTGACTCTGGGACAAGCATTTATATGCTTCTGACGTATCAAGTATATTAGTCTGTTTTCACGCTGCTGATAAAGGCATACCCAAGTCTGGGAAGAAAAGAGGTTTAATAAACTTACAGTTCCACATAGTTGGGGAGGCTTCACAATCATGGCAGAAGGCAAGATGGAGCAAGTCAAATCTTGCGTGGATGGCAGCAGGCAAAGAGAGAGCTTGTGCAGGGAAACTCTCGTTTTTAAAACCATCAGATCTCATGAGACTCATTCACTATCATGAAAACAGCACAGGAAAGACCTGCCCCCATAATCCAATCACCTGCTGCCGGGTTCCTCCCACAACAGGTGGGAATTGTGGGAGTTACAATTCAAGATGAGATTTGTGTGGAAACACAGACAAACCATATCATCAAGGATATATTCTCGGGGAAAATTTCTAAGTAACACAAGGAGGAAGAAAGATACGATTTCAGGCAAAGTACTATGGAAGTTAACTTCAGCCTGAATCCACAGGGGAACTTGGAGTGTAAGTTCCACTTTAGGATCTTCCCAAAACGAGGGAGCTGGGCCTATCAGCTCAGAGCTCACCTGGAGGAAGGTACACTTCTAGCCCCTTTGGCCCTTCCTTGGGTGTGCACACTCTCACTCTAGTAGCCCAAGGCAGTCCTGGGAAGAAGAGTTAAAGGTACCAATTACAGGTAGCAAAAGCACCCTGAAACACACCAGCAGCCGGGACTCTGGGCAGAGTATTGACTGATGGTGTTTACTAGAACCCCAGAGCTCATGCTTTTCTCTCTGTGTCATACTTCCCCATCCTCCAGTTGTCAGTCCAGATATTAACATGCTGCCTTTGCTTAGAGTGAGGTCACTTGGCTCTAAAATCCCCACATCAGAGAAAACTGAGGAATTTGATTAGTGTGGCACTGTTATGACCACTTACCAAAGAACCCTTTTGGTTGCCAAGCCAAATGTACTCTCTGTACAGAGTGGCCTCATCATTTCCTAAACGATTCTGCTATGTAGATGATCTCTGATTTACCAATTGCAGAAGCAAAGAGGCAAATAATTTAAATGGATGCGCTGGAGGGAACTTGGCTCTCCCGTCTTTTCCACCTCATGCTTGGAGAAGAGCTTCCCCTGGCAAGGGCAGCATGCATCATTACAGACTGGCACACATGACCCTTGTGTGTCACTGGCAGTGTCTGCCCTCAGGACACCCATCTTGTCCTGGGAGGGGTGATGTGGTGGAACCAACCCCATTTCTCTCCCCATAACATAGTTGGCTCTGCTGCAGGGGGATTGTCTGTGGCCCCACTTTTCCTTGGCCAAACTCCCTTTATTACTAATGGACTTTTCCCCAGCACCTGCCCTAATTGTTTCTATGACAAACTGTTCTCCCTTCACTAGTTGTATCCAAGCCTTTGGTGTTCACCAACCATTTGAAGATGCAGACTGTGAAGTACTGAAAATTTTCCAAGCAGTCCTCAGCCCTAGTTAGGCAGTGGCTGGCTGTCTCCCCAGCCAGGCTCGCCCTCACTCCCAGATCTTTGTTTGAATGCTTTCCTCAACCAGAAACAACACCTTCCCCAGCCTCATCACCTTCATGGCTCATACTTGCCCTACAAGGACTGTTGGTCATGTCCAGAATTGTTTTCACTTCTTCCATCCTTTCAATAGAAGAAAGGATCAAAAGAGTGAAAAATCAGGTGAAATACTGAATGAGTGAACAAATAAATGAAAGAATGAATGAATGAGCTCACCACATAACATCACACTTCATCCACTGGTATTTTATTGTGTGTACTTTGGTACTTTTAAGTCATTTCCGCAATAACATGATGAGCTGCCCGGAGGAAAAGAGCTATATTTTTACTTCCCTCTGGAGAACAGTCTGATGCAATGTGGCTGCATGGACATAGCACTAAGCTGGAATTCAGGAGCCCAATCCTCCCCCCTACCACTCTTTGAATGAACTTGGACCAGTTTTAGATCTTCTGGGCCTTCTTTTCCTAATGTGTGAAGTGAAGAGATTGGACTGGGAAAGCCAGCTCTGGGATAAAAGTCCAGTTTCCTCTCCCTGCCATCTGGGTAACCTTGGGAAAATACACAATCTCTCTGAGCAAACAAGAAAAGTCATTCCTACCTCATGAGCTGTTTTAAAGCCTTAATGATGTGATGTATGCCAGGTTCTTAGCCCATAGCTAATAATTATAGTCTCTGAGCTCCTGTACACATTGACATAGTGAGAATATTCATTTGAGAATGCTGTATTGGCCAGGTGCAGTGGCTCAAGCCTGTAATCCCAGCACTTTGGGAGGCTGATCAGGACAGATCACTTGAGGTCAGGAGTTCAAGACCAGCCTGGCCAACGTGGTGAAACTGTCTCTACTAAAAATACAAAAATTGGCTGGGTGTGGTGGTGAGCACCTGTAATCCCAGCTACTTGGGAGGCTGAGGCAGGAGAATAGCTTGAACCTGGGAGGCAGAGGTGGCAGTGAGTCCATATTGTGCCACTGCACTCCAGCCTGGGTGACAGAGCAAGACTCCATTTAAAAAAAAAAAAAGCTATGTTAAAAAAGGAACCTTGCAAGATGGGCTACCACAATTTCTCTTTCTAAAAAATGCAAAGCCAATAAGCACATGAAAAGATGCACAACACAACTCATTAGGGAAATGCAAATCAAAACCACAATGAGATACCACTTCACACTTATTAGGATGGCCTTAAAAAGGAATTAAATTCTGATACACGCTGCAACATGGATGAACCTTAACTGAAATAAGCCAGACACAAAAGGACAAATACTATATGATTCCATTATATAAGGCACCTCATGCAGACAGAAAGTAGAATAGTGGTTGCAGGGTTTTACGGGGACAGGGGAATGGGGAGTTTAGTGGGCACAGAGTTTCAGTTTGGAAAAATGAAAAATATCTGGAGACGGATGATGGTGATGGCTGCTCAGCAATGTGAATGTACTTAATGCCACTGAAATATACACTTAAAATTGTTAAAATGGTAAATGTTTTGTTATTTCCATTTTACCATAATAAAAAAAATTATTTAGAGCAATGCAGAACAATTGCCACAAACCACGCTGAGGCTTCTTTGAGTGTGGCTCTTGCCAGGTGAAGGAGGCAGGTTTGTGCTAAAACAATAGAAACTGACTTGGTCTGGTCCTTGAATGCTGGTCTCGGCAGAGGGAAAGCTCTCAGCTGAAGCCAGGAACGTGCACATCATGAAGTTAGGCAGGGCTTCTCCATGGAAATTGACATTTATTTGAAGACGTTAATGCTTGATTTGGCCTTACCCAGAAGTGACCTTCTACACAGGGCCAAAAGAAAAGTGATTTCTTTGATCGTCCATCTGACCCAAAACTGAACTCCTGCCTTTTCCAATTCATTTTGAATCATGCTGTACTGGCCAAAGTGATTCCAGCTCTTAGCAAAGAACATTTCATATTTTACCAACAATTCTGGGCCAATTTCAGATCTGTTCACTTGAACAGCAAGAATAAAATCTGTGAGTTCTCTCTGGGTCTTTCTGATCTTAAGCAGTAGGGAGGGAAGGCAAGGGGAATATTTATAATTTGCGTGAAGCTTGGGGGACAGATGAGAATCGGAAACTCCTCCCTGCTTCAATGTGAACTGGCTCACTTGGGCCACATCTGAGTGGGAGGGAGACGGTGTAACTCGCAGTGCGGGGACTGGGATTCTTTCTTCCTCAGGTGAGGATCAGCATCTTCCCAGGCAAGAGGAGAATATGACTCTTCTGTGTTGTTTACAACACTTTGGGCTGCAAGTAACAGCAAGACCAACTAGAGTTGGATTAAACAACAAGGAAAATGTATCCTCTATAACAGGACAAGAAGAAGGAGCTATACAAAAGAATAAGATCATGTCCTTTACAGCAACATGGATGCAGCTGTAGGCCATCATTCTAAGTGAATTAACGCAGAAACAAAACCAAGTATCACATGTTCTTGTAAGTGGGAGCTAAACATTGGGTGCACATGGACATAAAGATGGGAACAACAGACACTGGCGACTCCAAACGTGGGGAGGGAACAAGGATTGAAAAACTGACTATTGGGTATGTTTTCACTACTTGGGTAATGGGCACACCAGGAGCGCAAATCTCAGCATCACACAATATACCCATGTAACAAAACTGCATGCATACCCCCTGAATCTACAATTAAAAAAAAAAAAAAGACAAGAGGTAGGGTGACTTCAGGGTTGGTATATCAGCAGCTCCGTGCAGTAAGCAAGTCCCTGTGCTCTGTCCTTCTGTCTTGCTTCCTTCATGCTCACACGAGGCTGCTGACTCCCCAGATAGACCAGGCAACGGGAGGGTATGCCTTCCAGACCCCATCCCGACAACCAACAGACTTCCCCCTCATATGAATCATATCCCACGCCAATGCCCCAAATCGGAAGACAGCAACCTTTCTCTGTAAAGGAACAAGATAGTAAATATTTTGGGCTTTGAGGATATACATTTGGTCACAATCACTCCACTCTGCTGTTGGAATGTGAAAGCTGTCATAGGTAATGAATTAACAAATGAGCATGGTTGCATTCTGATGAAATTTTATTTATAAAAACAGGTGGGCTGGCTGGATTTGGCCTATGGGCTAATTTGTCCACACTTTTTCTAGACCAGGTAGCCTCAAAATTAGCTCCAGGATACAAGTGTTGATGAAACAAGTCACAGGCAATTTGTTACCAATTTATAACCACATGCTTGTAAGTGGCTTATTCCATTCTCTGTTGGCATCTACTATTCAAAAGGTCCTAATTCATAACATTGAGCATATGATCACCCAAAAGGCAGATGATATCAGAGCACAGCAAAGCTGGGGCACTGAAATAAATGAGAATAAAAATTTCAAGGCCAGGCGCAGTGGCTCACGCCTGTAATCCCAGCACTTTGGGAGGCCGAGGTGGGCGGATCACTTGAGGTCAAGAGTTCAAGACCAGCATGGCCAACATGGTAAAACCCCGTCTCCACTAAAAATACAAAAATTAGCCAGGCATGGTGGTGCACACCTGTAATTCCAGCTACTCAGGAGGCTGAGGCAGGAGAATCTCTTGAACCTGGGAGGTGGAGGTTGCAGTGAGCCGAGATTGCGCCATTGCATTCCAGCCTGGGTGACATCTCAAAACAACAGCAACAACAACAACAAAAACATTTAATTACATTTATAGGGCATTCTAATCCCCTCTGAATGCCCAAATTCCAATAGAAACTGTTTTCATATCTCCTTTTTTGTTTCTCCTATATTGAAAGTCAAGAATGAAAAAGACCTTAGCACTTTGTCCAAATTTTACAGATGGAATGGAGGTTCAGAGAAGGCAAGCTACTTTCCCCATATCACACAGCCACTCAGTGGCAGAATGAAGATCCCAACCCAGGCTATAGTAGGTTGTTGTATTGTTCAAAATATTTGCTGCCCCTCCAAAGAGGAAGCTTATACAACTCCTGCTGGAATAAGCTTGGTCCTTGTGCCTTATGGTGGCCCTCCCTGTGGAGTAGGGTATATACCACCACCACTACCCACACTGTTGAACTCAGGAGCAGCCAGGCAATTTGTTTTGCCCATGAAATGTGGATGAAAGTAGCATGTATCACTTCCGATTGCCATGTCTGCCTGCCCTCTACCACAAAACATGATGTTCCTGGCAGAGACTGCTCTGCTCCGCTGGGTCACAGAGTGAAGAGGATAAGCACAGTCACAGCTCACCTGTGATGGATGTGTCACATAAGCAAGAAATAAGCCAGTGTGGTCTGGGGTCTTTTGTTACTGCAGCATAACTGAGTCTACCCAGACCAGTACTCAGGCTTTACAACACAGGCACTGCTCTTTCTCACCAGGAGGATTGCATTTCTAGCAGTGTTGCATGGAATTTAACAGCACATGTTTTATTTTTATTGTATGTATTTCTGTAGTGACGAGGTCTCACTTTGTTGCCCAGGCTGGTCTCATACTCCTGGAGGAGCACACTTTTTAGAGTCAACCTGCCTGGATTCAAATCTCACCAGTGGCTAACCTTGGTCAAGTTACTTTCTTGATGCCTCAGTTTCCTCATCAGTAATATAAGGATAACACTTGTACTGTGTTAGTCTATTCAGGCTGATATAATAAAATATCTTAGACTGAGTAATTTATAAACAACAGAAATTTATTGCTCACAGTTCTGGACGCTGGGAAATCCATGGTCGAGGTGCCAACAGATTTGGTGTTGAGTGAGGGCCCATTCCTCACAGATGATGCCTTCTATGTGTCCTCACATGGAGGAAGGGGTGAACAAGCTTCCCCAAGTCTCTTTTATAAGAGAGCCAATCCTATTCATGAGGTCTCCACCCTCATGACCTAATTAATCACCTCCTAAAGGCCCTACCTCTATACTGTCACACTGAGGATTATGTTTCAACAGGAGGATTTTGGGGGAACACAATGTTCAGATCATAGCAGACACCTACCCCACAGGGATATGTTCAGGATTTAATAACCTAAGCCTGTGCTTTGAGGAATTTGGCTAAATGGCTACTATTATTCTACATAGTCTCCCCTTGGCTGACATGGCAGTGATAGCAAGGGGTTGGGGTGGGAGAGGGGTTTGCTAAGATGGTTTCGTGTCTTATACATGCAAACAGCCAAACCCTCAGAAGTCACTCTCCCCCAGGGATGATACTGATGACCATCACTGTCCTTGCAACAGGCCAAGGGGAAAGGACTGGAGGGGCTTTGTTGTGAAGGGGTTGGGAGCAGGGCCTGTGGAGCCAGACTGGTTAGGGTTCAAGCCCTATCTCTGTCCCTTCCTTCCTGGGCATCTGTAGATAAGTTACTAACCTCAGTGAGCCTCAAATCCCATCTCATGGGGTGAGATGAGGATTCAGTGAAATAATTCATGGAAAAAATGCTTGTCACAGTCCTGGCACACTGCAAGGTCTCAGTAGACATCAGGATCAATGTCGGTGTTCTTCTTCTGCCAGAGTAAACCAAAGCGAGTGTGGGCAGAAAAGGAGTCATAGGAGGTGATTCATCTCTCAATGCATCTGAAGGAGCAGCAGGGATCATTGTAGTCTATCCTCTGTCCTCATGAAAACACCACCTCTTGAAATCACAGACTGATTATCTGGCTGGTGTCCAGTTGGTAGAAAGTAAAGCATCCCTCCCTGACATTGCACAACTGTCATGGATTCCCATGGCCAGCACAGACTGCCCAGTCTGCTTGTCATATTGGGGAAGTTATCTTATGTCCATAAAGGTGATGCCCACACTCAGCTGGGAGCAGCTGCTCAGAACGCTGTGGATGTGGGTTTAATGACCTTCAGTCAGGGTCATGCACCATGGGGGAAAGCTCAGATCAGGCAAAGATACACTGTGTCCCTTCACAGAGAGATCCACACTTGGCCTGGAGCTGCCCACAGAAGGAACCCCCTGGCTCACGTCCTTCTCAGCCACATGTCTTAGTGCACCCTCTGCTGAGGGCAGGATCCATTGCTGCCAAGCTGCTGGGCCAGGGCTTTCATGCAGTTGCCAGGTTATAAGCTCTACCTAAGGCCAGGTGTGCTCACCTCCCCGCTGGTTGGGTAGACCCCTGCCCAGGCCTGGCCGGAGGAGGGCTGGAGAATAATCGGTTGGAGGTTAACCTCACATGCCCAGCCCTTGAATTGCTGGCTGTTGGCTTTTTGGCCAGAAATCCAGATTAAGCTCTTAACATGCACACACACCTGGGAGGGGTGTCCGCCAGGCTCCACAGCTGTGTTTCAGCGAGTTCATTAGATGCTGTCATTCATGGCTGCCACAAGTGTTTCCCGAGTGCTTCCAGGTGCCAGGCACTCCTTCCTCCACGTCTGGGGAAGCAAGTACGTGACCAACACTTACAAGGGAAGTGGGGTGGGGGGTTGTGGTCTGGAAGCTTTGCTGACCACACTGCCCTGAGCTACATTTAGAGCTCAGCCTGGGGCCTGGAAAGCAGGCCCAGGGAACCTCATGGGGCCTTCATTCCTGATGAATGAAAAACAGCCAGAACTCCCAGCGTGCCCCTTGGCGGCTACTACACAAGAGCTTGCTGGATTTTCTATAAATATTTTTTTCCCAAATGTCACCATGAGTTAGCAGCGCTCACTCCTGGGGCTGCTGGGAATACATCTTTACTGCTTCCATCAGAACCAGCCTCCAGGTTGGAGAGAAAGCTTTTTGTTTGGTAAGCGACTGTGAAGGTTCATTACTGAGTGAAGGGAGAAGGCAACAAGGGTCTATTGGAGGAAATAGTATGGAAATTGGAATATCTTCAGTGAAATAATTGCAAGGCGACATTTCAGGGTAATTTCCTACCGCGTTTTAACGACGAATAAAGAAGATATAAAAGTGTCATTTATAGAGAAACTCCAGCATTTTGTTTTCTTGGTTATTCTAACAGATCAATTGAAACATATAATATGATTTTTAAAAAAATTTTTGGCCAAACACTGTATTCAGTCTTTCACGCTACAAATCTGTGTCATTACCACTTGTCACCCAGTCAAGATGGAAGTGAGTGGGGTTAAACGAGAAGAAAATTCTGCTCTTTTTCCTTCTGATAATGGGCAAGGAAACCTTGCAAACTCCATCCTAAGGCATTTTCCCATGTTGTTTATTGTGGCTGATTTCTAACTGAAAGTTACAATATTTTCAATCTCAGGCACTGGGGTGGTTTTGGTGAAAACACATGAGGAACCCTTGGGGATTTGGGAGGTGAAGGGCAGTTTTTTAATCCATTAGCTGGGTCTGCCCCGGTTCACCACCCAGAACCAACCCCAAGCCCACCAAGTGGGGTGACATGGACTGAGTATGGCAGTGGGGACAACTTCAGCCCCAGCTCACTCCGTGGATGGGAGGGGCTGAAGACCAGGGCTGCCTGCGGAGAGGACAGCCCCTCCTCCTGAAGACTCCTCCTATTCATCTCACAGAGCCTCTTCCTCCTCTAGAATCAGCCGCCAGGACCTCTACAATCTGACTTCTGCTGCTAGTAACATCGCAAATGCAGAATCTGGCTTCTCTGCAAGGACTTCAGGCTTGTCAAACTCAATCACCTGAAAGTCAGAGAAGAAGAACTGAAATCATCGGAAAATATCTACCCACTGTAAAGCTCAAACCACTGGACTTTCTGGGGAGGTGAAGCCAAAAGAGCTTCCTATACCTTCCCATTTTCCATAACCAGGACGTGATCGCAGTTGAGAACTGTGTTGAGGCGGTGGGCGATGGTCAGCACAGTGCAGCCCTTGAAGGCATCTTTGATGGTGTTCTGAACCAGGGTGTCAGTCTTGGAGTCCATAGAGGCGGTGGCTTCATCAAGGAGAATGATCTGTGGAGGAGGAAACATTATAAGCCAAAGGCGCACTGAGAGGGGAATTTACAGCCTCGGCTCTATTTACTTTAAAAAAAAGAAGAAGAAGAAAAATAAGACCACAAGATGAAAAGTAATTAGCTAAACATCCATCTCAAAAAAGAAAATGAGAAGAACAAGAGTGAAATAAAAGTCACATCACATCACCTCCATCTTTCCAAAGGAACTTGCTAGAGGGACAAGGTTGTATATCCTTTATTCCTCTTTTTAAGTGGTTTATTCTAACCCTACAAACTCATAGGGAGACAGGCTGCACAGGCTTTATCTACTGTGCTAAACTGAGTCGGCATGAAGCACAGCAGCTCCTACATTCATTCCCTATATTGCTGCCATACCAAACAATCACAAACTTAGAGACTCAGTGTAAATTATCTTCTAGTTCCAGAAGTCAGAAATCCTAAAATCAAGGTATTGTCAGGGCTGCATTCTTTCTGTTTCCTTGCCCTCTCCAGTTTCTGGGCCACTTGCATTCCTTGGCCCACAGCCCCTCCTGGCATCACAGCTCCTTCTCTCTTTGACTCTTCTGCCTCCTCCTTGGAAAGCCCCATATGAATATGCTCAGCACACCCAGATCTAGGATCATCTCCCCATCTCAAGATCCTTAATCGCAACTGCAGAGTCCCTTTTGCCAGGTAAGTTAATATATTAAAAGTCTCGGAGGAACATGTTCGCAGGTTCCAAAAATCAGGACATTAACATCTTTGGGGAGGTGGGGGTATTATTCCGCTGATCACAGGACGGATTTGATTTAGCAAATCAGAGCACTTGAACTTAACCCCTGACTCTGCTTGACTGGCCAAGTTACTTAACTTCCCCGAGGCTCTGTTCCCTCGTAGGTGAAAGGGGGCTATGCCTTATTGATGAGCTGGATATGGAGACTACACTTAAACCACTTAGCAGCATGCAGTGCCACGGCAGGCATCAGATCCACGCCGGCCCCTCTCCCCTGACATTAGCACATCTAGAGAATACACACAATGGGTCACATCTTTGATGAGGCTTCAGAGACTGGCATTACTAAAGCAACAGCAATCCCTTCCTGGAAATCAGTAAGTAAGGGTGGCTAAGTTACAAAGAAAAATAAGTATAAATTCTACAATTCCCATATCCTAGCATTCTGATGGCCCTCTTGAGCATCCTGGGGACAGTGTATCCAGATTCAGAATTGTTCAGAGACAATGGGAGAAAGTTGGGAGACAGATTTTTCAAACTCAAACCACTTAGGCAAGCAGAGTGAAAATCTAAGCGAGACCTCCCCAGGGGAAGCCTGGGAGGGGAAGGTGCTCTTGCTGTAAATGGCTGTTACTTTTCAATTTTTATCCCTCACAACTTTGTCTTAAGAAAAAGTGATCGGTTTTTAAATGGCTCAATTGCTGTCTCTTTGCTGAAAGACATACACGTGGCTCTGCCTCCTGGATTGAGTGGCGCTGCGGGAAATATCCAAAATTTGACCAATCCATTTTCCGTGTTTTCTTACCTTTGAATTACGGAGAAGAGCTCGGGCCACACAAAGCAGCTGACGTTCCCCTACTGAGAAGTTTTCTCCATTTTCTGTGACTTCTGCCTGTAATTTTTCTGGGAGTTTCATTATCTACAAAACACAAAAAATGCCACATTTGTGCTGATGATCTATAAAATTGTCCTATGCTGTCTGTATTGATTGCCCCCTTCTCTTGCATTCATCAGCTTGCTTTATTTTACTGTGGCAAAGAAAGTGCAAAACAACAATCATTTCAATATTGCAAACAGGCACCAGGGAAAGACCAGGGAGTAGACGGACATTAATAATTTAAAATCACAGTATGACTCATAGAACCCCATAGACAATTCACCAAAAGAACAAATGATGCAGATGCAGTCCCAGAGAGCAAACAAACAAGTGGAAACAGCTTTCTGGATTGCTGTTTCCAGGGACCAAATAGAGATGGGATGGGAGAGTTTTCTGGACATTAAGGAAGGGTAAGACAGGGTCTGACTTATCCAGAGTGACAAGCCAAAGTGGCCTTGGAAGATGCTCATGTCGGTACCAAGTCCTGGAAAAATATCACGTTGGGCTGCAGAGGTGTCCATGCTCACCTGCTGACCCCAGCTGGGGCTGTAGCTCTTATAGGACAGGGTTCCCTCTCACAGATGGTTCGGTCCTCTCCAACCAGCCATACTTGCCATTCCCAGAACATTCCACACCCTTCTGTTTTCTGTGGCTTGTCTGTTCTGATAGCAAATGAGGCCACTGGCAGAGTAGCAGGGCCTTCCATCTGCTCTACAGCCAGACAGGCTTGAGTTCAAGTCTCCATCCTGCTACTCACTAGCCTGGGCATGTTACTTCCCTGAGCTTTAATTTCTTCATCTCTAAAATTAGGGGTAAGAGTACCAACCTCAGAGCATTGTAGTAAGGACCAAGTGAGATGATACATGTAGTGCTCTTGACTGGATCATTGTAGAGCCCTATTGTTGCTTTTAATAGGAAAGAATAACTAAGGATTATGTTCTACTGACTTACGTGGTGTCTACAAATAAACCTGGCTAAGTGCTGGCCTAGGTGCTTGTCAAATTTAAACATAGGCCAGGAATCTAGGGCAGTGGTGCTGGGAAACAAACTCCTCCTCAACAGCCCCAGAGACCTACTGTGTCTCTCATGAATGTTCTCTCCAGAACCTGCCAGAGCATCTCATCGGTGTGACTCTCAAAGGGATCCAAGTTGTACCTGCAATGAAGGAGAGGAGAGGACAGGGAGCCAGATTTCCAAGGACGAGAGGATGGATGCGGAGCAGGTTTTCTGTAGCATGTGGAGGAGGGTAGGAGGTGGCATGTGATGACCTCGTGCTCCAAGAATAGTGCTCAGTACAGGACAGTGGTCCACAAAATATGGACCTCAGGCCACGAGACCAAGGGCCCACAACTCTGCAATGGAGCAGAGACCACTGAGGCAGGCAATGACAGGTGGAACCCTGCCGAGAGGCAGCTCTGAGCAAGGTGCTCAGAAAGACACACCTGGGCCTCTCAGCAGCCCCGAGTAGCAGAGTGGGTTTGAACTGATAAAAATTCTTGGCAGAGAAAGAGGGAGAGTGAGCAACCCAAATCTGCCACTCCATGTATCGGCAGCTCCTAGGGCCTCACAGGGTGCTGAGCAGCTCAGACGCAGAATGTAAATCTACTGTTTCAAGAGGCAGAATGCATTTTTCAAACAATGAACTCTAAATACAGTAAATACAGTTACCCTACTTCATCTGGTGCTGTATGGGAGAAATGTTCCTCTCATCACAGAGAGAGCTAACTGAGAAACTGCCTTTCCCCTTGTGCCTTGATATCAGATCTGGAGCCCCACAGAAGCTGCAGCCCTACTGTTCTTGTGCTTGAAATAGCTTCTGTTCACTTAGGTGTGGAAATAAATGAATGCACTTTGCAATGGATAGCTGTATACACGGGGTAACTATTTATTTTATTGTGCAAACTGGGACACTTTTCAGAGTGGCCATTGTTAAACCTGATGGGATACTGGGACACAGGCATAAACTAGGGCTGTCCAGAGCCACTGGAATATCTGCTCAGTGTATGAATGAATACAGAAGCATCTTGCTCATTAATAATGTGTTTATAAAACACAAGTAATGCTCAGACCCCGGGCCCTGGCTCCTCCCAAGGCTGGATGCAGAAACAGGGACCAGCAGTGCTTGTGAGCCCCCCTGGGATACTGCTTCCCTCAGACAGAACAGCTCCAGGCCAGCCATGCCCTGGGGACATCACAAAGTTCTTGGTCAGTCTGATTTCACTCTCCAAAAATAGAAATGCACAATGATTAAAAACAGCTACCTTACTGTACCTACAAACAGGACAGGATCCTGTGGGATCACAGTCAGCTTGGTTCTGAGGTCTTCCAAGCTGAGAATGCAGATATCCACCTCATCAATAAAGATTGTGCCACTGGCTGGCTCCACCAGACGAAACAAAGCCATTCCTAACGATGACTTTCCTGGGAACCATAAAAGTAAGAACAACAAATCAAACATCAGTTTGTGCTTCCATCATATCCAAGCATTTAATCAGTGGGATTTTTAATGCAATGCAAATGTCTCCGTAAGGATGACAGTGTAGACAGAAAGTGTCCTCACCAGGGTGGGGGTGGAGGGATGGGCTACCCTGACACAGTTAACCTGCCCATCCTTGCAGGGGCCCTTAGCACACAACTCATCTCTGGAGCCCTGTTGCACTAGGATGATTGTCATTTAATTAATTCAAAAACTGATGTGTTTGCTTCCATCTCTACACACCCATTCAACCTGAAATCCTAATTTACAGTAAAGAGATTTGAGGGAAATAACAGCCAATCTGACACACATACACATCACTCTCTGGTGTGACTTAACTAGGACATCCAGTGGAAATCCAAAGAAAACAACCCAAAAGAAACAAAAGCAGAGCTTGTCCTCACCGGAACCTGTTCTTCCAACAATCCCGACTGTCTGCCCACTTTGTATGTTCAAGTTCAGGCTGTCGAGAACAAGGGGGGTGTTGTCTCTGTATCTCATCTGATAGTCTCTGAAGGTGATCTCCCCACGGCTGGGCCAGTCCTTGGGACAGGTCCCCACTTTGAGGGGATGAGTGCATTCAGGAACACAGGTCTGTAAAGGAGAATAACCAATGACCAGTGACTAGCCATTTGTTTTTTCACTTATTTAACTAATTCATTCATTGATTCACACAGTTTCAGGTACTGCTATTCATGGTGGTGAAATAAACCAATAATGACCCTTAATTCTAGAAACTCACATTCCAGTGGGGATGTCAGATAATAAACAAGAAAAAAAATTAAAAATGAAGACAATAAAACAGAATATTGCAATAGGATACAGAATGTGATTTGTGTGTTGGGAAAGGGGGGTAGGAGAGTAAAAGTACTTGAGGTTTCAGGAAGGCACCTATGTGACATTGGACCTGAGGGCTGGAGTGCTGGGAGGATGTCAGCTACAAGAGAATCAAGTCCAGAGCCCTCCAGGTTGGGGGAATAGCTAGCACAAAGGCCCTGGGGCCAGAATGAGCTTGGGCAATTTGAGGGACGGAAAGAAAAGTCATGTGGCTGGAGCTTAGCGAATAGAGGGATGGATGACTTAGAGGAATACACAAGGGGAAGCTCATACTGGGCCTGTGGGCCTGGGAAAATGTCAGAAGTGTAGCCCTGAAGCTGTGTGACAAGGCCAGACATAGCCTTGAGTTTGCAGAACTCAACCAGATATAATTTCAAAATCTGCAAGAATCATCATTATACTAGAAGAAGAAAGATGATAAGAATGCAGGATGTCAAGTTCAGAGGTCTTTAGACATACATGAAAAAAAAAACATTTAAGTCTCCTAAGAGTCCAAGAAATGCAAGGTCTAATTAAGGAGTAGAGCAGCTTGGCTTCATCACAAGAGCAGCCCCTCCTCTTAAGTCACCTCTGTGTAAACAGCTGGAAATAGGGATCCCGTGTGCCCCATCAGGATGGCGGACCAGCCCAAATCTCTGGTCAATAAGCAACCTCATTTAGCTGAGAAAATACCTGTATTGTTAAGGACTGAGTATTTTTAACCCCTAGAAGATTTAGAATTAGGAATAAAAATATTTTAGAGAAATGAAACTGTAACAGTAATATTTTTAGTTTAAGAAATCTGCACACTTGGTGTTTCAAGTATTCACAATATATTAACAGAACTTGGGCTTGTGACTCTAATTTAAAATGCATAATTGAATAATTGATTTAAACACGATTTTAAGTTAAAAGTTTACTGTTTATAGCATTGATACTGTCATGAAAACTTAAAGCTTACTATGTTTATAAGTTTAATTAATTAAATTTGTACAAACTCAAGAAGGTTTGTTGTTAAATCAGATCATTGAGGTACTTAAAAAGAAATTGAATGTATTAAATTTTAAAATGCAGTTTAAAATGTTTTAAAATCTTTAAGTTTGTAAATGGAGCCAAACACTCTTCAAAGGCACCTAAATGTGATTGCTAGAATTGGCTAGACTTCTTTTAAAAGAATAGCAAGATTTGTAAGTTGGATATAAAAGCTTTTAAAGAAGAGTTAGACTGAGCTTCTATTTTTCAACTTATGACTTCAATCAAATAATAATTTTTAACTTAAAAAAATTTTAGAGTCAGGGTCTAGCTCTGTTGCACAGGCTGGAGTGCAATGGCATCATCACAGCTTACTGCAGCCTCAAACTCCTGGGCTCAAGTGACCCTACCTCCTTAACCTTCTCAGTAGCTAGGACTATAGGTGCATGCCACCACACGTGGCAAATTTGAACTTTTTTTTTTTTTTTTTTTTTTGGTAGAGACAGGGTCTCACTGTGCTGCACAGGCTGGTCTCAAACTCCTGGCTTCAAGCATTCCTCCTGCCTCGGTCTCCAAAAGTGTTGAGATTACAGGTGTGAGCCACTGAGCCTGGCAAAATATTAATTTTTAGAAACCAAAGTAAGCCACTGAATTGTATTTTTCTGTGTATCAAAACAGCCCTTAAGGAAACCTTGTTAAAAAGAACCTCACATTCAACAACAAGAACTTCAGAATGTATTGTAAATACAGGTTTTAAGAAGAGGGATGACTCGTCCGATTTGGGGTTTTTTGTCGTTGCTATTGTTTTTGATTTTTGAGATGGAGTTTTACTCTTGTTGTCCTGGCTGGAGGGCAATGGCACGATCTCGATTCACTGAAACCTCCGCCTCCTGGGCTCTAGTCTCCCGAGTAGCTGGGATTACCACCGCTCGCCACCATGCCTGGCTAATTTTTGTATTTTTAGTGGAGACAGGGTTTCACCATGTTGGCCAGGCTGGTCTCAAACTCTTGACCTCAGGTGATCTGCCCGCCTCGGCCTCCCAAAGTGCTGGGATTATAGGCGTAAGCCACCACGCCCGGCCCGATTTCCGTTTTTTAAAAAGACCCCTTTCGCATCTAAAAAGATCCAGTATTTGCCCAAGTCCTGCCAAAATTAACTTGTCCCTCCTCTCTGATGCACTAATTTCTTACCGAAATGTATTCCCTGAGCAGCTCCACGGAGGTGAATTTGGCTTGCGTCTCTGTTCCCGTTCGCACACACACTTGGAGCAGTCCGCTCAGCTGTTGAAAAGGAGCGAGCAGCCGCAGTTAGAGCCCCTTCCTCCTTCGGGTTCTGCAGCTCCCCGTTCAGGAGGCAGTCCTAGTGAATGATCCCTCCCCTGCCTAGCGCAAGACAGCACAAACAGGAGGCCTGCCTTCCCAGCCAAGCGCCCAGAAGTAAAGATATTCCTGTTCGGGTGTTTTGCCTTTAAACACTTCCTTTGTATTTAGAAACAAATGGTAATTACATTTTTCCCTGGCACTCCAGATGGTGAGAATCATCTCCCCACAGAACCACTTGATCACACGCCTCTTTGAGTGGTGGGAATTCTCCCTGGGAGCTGCAGAACTGCTGGCTATCGGCCCCTTGCTGCCACCTGGCAGGGTCTTGCATCTCAGAGCAGCCCTCCCCTAGCCCCTTGCTCAAAAAACAACTGAAAACCACATCACCATGAGACCAGAAAACCATCAAGCCTGTCTTCTTGTTATAGTAATGAGAAAGTCAAGGCTCAGACTGGGGCATGTGGCTTGCTAAGGTCACCCACCTTAGGCCTGGATCTCCCAAAAGCCAACCCCAAGATTTGACTGCAAGAAGTATATTAGGGCAGGTTGAATGGTGTCCCTACCCCTAAAAGATGTGTCCATTTCCTAATCCCTGGAACCTGCGAATGCTCTCTCATTTGGAGAGAGGATCTTTGCAGGTGTTAGCAAGGATCTTGATATCATCCTGGATCACCTGGGTGGGTCCTAAGTCCAGTGATAAGTGTCATTATAAGAGACAGAGGAGAAGTCACCGAGGAGAAGGGGACGTGAAGGCAGAGGCAGAGACTGGAGTGATGCAGCTACAAGACAAGAGATGCCAGGGATGGCCAGCAGCCACAGAAGCTGGAAGAGAGAAGAAAGATTCTCCCGAGCCTCCGGAGGGAAGCTGGCCCTGCCAACACCTTGAGTGCGGGCATCTGACTCCACAACAGTGAAAGAAAACCTTTCTCTTGTTTGAAGCCTGCAAGCATGTAATTTGTCACAGCAGCCTTCACAAACAAACATAGGCGGTGAACCCAGATTGTACCAGGAGGGGATGGAGGAGTGAGCAGGGGAAGAGAGGCCACCCATACCAGGTGTGTCTGTGAGATGTTACCGCTGTGGGCAACTGAGAGTCCGGCTGGTCTTGGAGCTCTGGGACACTGAATGGAGCACACCTCGGAACTGTCCCGTGCTGGGGCAAGGAAGCCAGGGTACACAGGGCTACAGAGCCACTAACTCCCTCAGTCATTGCTGCACTTGCTTCTGGGTGTGAGAATGCCCGGAACCTCCAGCCTGCCCTGGAAGGGTGGGGCAGCCACAGCATTTGTCACCAAGTGGGCTAGAGGCAGGGCCATCTCATGCATTAGCGAACTTCATTGACTGAGCAGTAGCCATGGGCCAGGTACTGGTTGGGGTGCCGGTTTCCAGAGTTGAAGGTTATAGACAAGATCCCTGCACTCAAGCAGCTTCCATTCTAGTGGACTGGCAGGGATGGTGCACAAGGCCACTGCGGGAGTGACAAGAATGTCCCAAAAGCAGGTTGATGTGGGAGAGGGGCCGGGGCTGGAGAGTTACCTTAGATAGGGGTTTCCAGAGGACTGTGCGAGCTGAGGCATTTATGATAAGAAGTCCACCAGTCAAACTCAGGATAAGAATGCTCTAGTAAGAAGCAAGCGGTCTTAGCAGCAAAGAGGCAGGGGGTGCGAGCAGGCGCGTGACGTGGAGAACGCTATGGGTGCAGACCCTCTGAGAGCCCCTCAGCAGGCCTCCCTGCTTAATACAGTTCAGCAGTTTCCACTTCTTTAGAGCAATGGCTCTCAACCTGCCCTACAGAGGACATTTGGCCATGTCTAGAGACAGATTGGGTTGTCACAACCTGGCGGGAGGGACGTAATACCAGCGTCTCATGAGCAGAGCCAGGGAGGCTGCTGAACATCCTACCACGCACAGAACAGCCCCTCACCAGAAGGATTATCCAGCCCCAAAGCCCACAGTGCCATGGTTGAGAAACCCAGTCTTGGAATACAGGTAATACCCCGCCCCTGGCTTACAAAGCTCTATGTATTCTACTCTGCCGGCACCTCATACCACCTTGCTCAAGCCATGTGGGCTTCTCAGATCCTCAAACATGCCAGGATCATGCCTACCGCTGAGCCTTTCCCTGAGGCACTCTTTCTTCCAGTCTTCCTTGGCTGGTTCTTTATCCTTCAGGTCTCAGCTTGGAAGCCACCTCCCAGCAGAGGCCTCCTCTGGCTGTTGTATGAAATGCTGCTTCCCCTTCCGACAGCCACATTCCTCCACTCGTTGTCTTCCTAACATTTAAACACCTTCTGAGCTTCTCATCTATTTACTTGGCCCTCATTTATTCCAGCTGCCCACTAGAATGAGGGCAGGACTTGTCCAGACTGCTGACTGCTGATTCCACAGCCACTAGCACAGTTCCTGGCTCATGGTGGGTGCTCAGGGGATATCTGGCAAATGAATGAATGAACCCTGCCCTTGAGAAGGGCATATACATCTTTTGCTAAATGCAAGAGTATCAGCTCCCAAGGCCACGGCAGCCCTCCCAGGTTTAGGATGCCCACAAAGGCACAGTGCTGGCCCCAGGAAGTGCTTATTCTCCTACGTGATGTGATATGATGTCACTTTGCATTCACTTTCTGCTCTGTGGGATTTCATGCCAATTTCTCATCCATCTGGGGAGTCTTCTCTAATCTCAAGTGGAGTGCTGTCATTTTGATTCTGTGTTCTCCAAAGGGGGCTAATGCTCAATGAAGCCACAGAGCCAGCTGGAGAACAAGTGTTCCCATAGATCTCAATGCTGTGCACAACCTTACAGGAATGTTTGAAAACAATCTCATGGAAAGCTGATAATATCGCCCAAAAGCATGACCTTAGTTGGGGAAAGCTGTTTTACTTGGACCAATTAAGGGAAACTGTTCAACATCATCTGTTTGATATTTTACTAGGCAACAACAAATGAAGACATCTATCAATACAGGAAACTGGTTACCCAAGGAAAATTCATTTTTCCCCACTTAAGAGAGAGTACAGAGAATACATTTTTGTTTCCTTTCTTCCCAAAATACAATTTAAATTATATCAGAGAAATTTTCCATAAAGAATAGACCTTTAACAGTAAGGGGATTGAGAAGAGATAGCAGTGAATAAGCTACAAATTTCTGCAAGATGGAAAGAGGACGAAAGCCTTTTGATAAAATGGAAGCAGAGCATGCTAGAGTTTAAAGAGCAGAACCCAGAGAGGCTCCAGGTGTGAGAAGGGGGCCCACAAAGAGGCTGGCTGATAGGCTCTGTATATAGACAACCACTCCTGTCTGGTTCACTCACTCCTCTTCCCCTCTTCTTTCTCCTAACCAGAGTTAGTTGGACCCTTTATCCCTAGGCATGGGAGCACACATGCACATGGACACACACACATAAACATGATTTTCTCTAAAGAAATTGAATTAACTGCCTAGGGATAAATTGGGCTCTCTGAATAGTCCCCTGCATAAAAACTCCTTTAAGTCTTGCATTTGGGTACCTAAAAGCCAGCTCCCTGGCTGCTTTCCTGAAGTGAAGCCAGCCTATGGAAAAGCCCCACCACCCACCTACCTGCAGTCATAAAATTTCCCATCAGGAGACACCTAGCAAGGTGAAACAAAGGCAGAGGAAACTCTGAAAACCCAACCCAGTTCCCCGGAGTTAAATACTAATGGGTCAGGAGACAGATGGACAAAACCAATGGCATGAAAGAGCAAGAACGAGAGAAACAAAAAGAAAAACTACCTCTGGAAGAAACAGATAGATGCAAGTCAAAGAAGGGAGGAGAGTTTAGGAGGGGAAAAAAAGACTCTAACTGATATGGTTTGGCTTTGTCCCCACACAAATCATCTTGAATTGTAGCTCCCATAATTCCCACGTGTTCTGGGAGGGACCCAGTGGGTTGGGAGATAATTGAATCGTGGGGGCAGTTTCCCCCATACTGTTCTCATGGTGGTAAATAAGTCTCACGAGAGCTGATGATTTTATGAGGGGTTTCCCCTTTCACTTGGCTCTCATTCTCTCTTGTCTGCCACCAAGTAAGACGTGCCTTTCACCTTCCACCATGATTATGAGGCCTCCCCAGCCACGTGGAACTGTGAGTCCATTAAACTCCTTTTTCTTTAAAAATGACCCAGTCTCAGGTATGTCTTTATCAGCAGTGTGAGAACTAACACACTAATTAATATTAATATCCTCAGAGAGATTCAAAAATATGCTGCATCCATGTAAAAAATGATTCTTTTAAAAACTCAGAGAATAAGAGCTTGTGGAAATTAAATATGTGAATATATGATTGCCAAATTTAAAATTCAAGGAATAGCTGAATGGCAAAGCTAACAAAAATTCCCAAGATAAAAAGACAAGAACATGGAAACTGAGAGAAAAGAAAAAGAAACATAGAGAATTGATGCAAGAAATTCAATATTCAACTGACATGAATACAGTAAGAAAAAAAAAAAGAAAGAAAAAGAGGACATTGTCAAAATGAAGGAGAAAAAGGAGAAATGTTTCCAAGCTGATGAGAAATTGGACTTTAATCTTAAAGAACTCACAGCATCAAACAGAACACATGAATAAAGACCCACATTCAGATACATTATCCCAGAGTTTCAGAGCACTAAGAATAAGGACTATGTCAAAAAAGTTTCCAAAGATAACAAGATTCAAACAAACATGAGGACCAGGTGGCCTGCATTCAAATCCTGGCCCTCACATGTGACAGCTGTTATGATCTTGGGACAAGTCTTTCTGTGGCTCAGTTTCTTCATCTGCAAAATGGGGACCACAGCAGTATTAGAGGGTTGTTGTGGGGAGGAAATGAATTAATTTAGTTAAAAGACAGGGCCTGAAGCCAATCACAATCAATGCCGTATGTTCACCTATTATTGTTATTCAAAAGAAAAAAAAGCAACCAAGAAGAGAAGTCAGTAATTATTTGTCATCAATATTATGACTGTCTCCCCAGCATTCATTTCACTCCCTCCACTGTGGAGTAGCTATGTGACTTAAAGTTGGAAATGGGTGTAACTCCAACCCTAGCCTAACCAATGATCCGTATCCCATCAAACCACTAATTAGTTTTGGGATGCCTAAATTAATCCAATAATAGTAATGCTCCAGGCTTTTGCCTCCATGGCTGGGGCAGGAAATGCTTTCCTCCAATAACAGTAAAGCTCCAGGCTTCTGCCTCCGTGGCTGGGCCAGGAAATGCTTTCTTTCTGCTTCCTCTTTGCTGTAGACCCCAGAGGCTGCTGGTCACCTATGAGGAAAGTCATCACAGGGCATGGGCAAAGCTCAGAGACATGATCCCACTGTGCCTGAAGTCCACACAACCATCCTACTTTTTAATGATGTGAGCCACTAAGCTCCCTTTCTCATTTAAACCCATTCGAGTTGGGGTTTTTGTTGTGTCCATCCAAAAGCACCCTCGCTGATGTATTACAGGCCGGAGCCTCCAGACTAAGCCCAACTTTGCACCAGGCATTACCTGGATGATGTATGACAATGACAGGCCTTTGGATGAAGTACTGATGGAGGAGAAACTCAGGGTCACCAACAAGGCCACAGTGAAGGTAAGGATGTTCATGAGGACATCCATTCTCAGCGCAAACCACCTGAGAGCACAGTTAAAGTAGAGGAGGTGACTGGAGTTTTCGTCGTTTAGCGTCTTAAACCTACAGTCAAGAAAATCAGAAAAAGCAGGAGATCAGGTTGTGCTGTAGACTTAAGGTTAGGGTGACTGGAGAAATGAGGCCAAGGAATTTTTAATCAAGGGAACACACTCTCACATAGCAAACTCTTACAAAAATGAACATATATTCATGCTCTTAAAAATCTGCCACTCTAGACATCTTTGATTTGCACATATTTTGGGAAATCTCATGTGGCAATAGAGTAGGGTGCTAAGTGGCTCTTTCTGTCTTTCCCAGAACTGGCAGCTAGAATCTACAGCTGAGAAGAAGAGGTGCCGAGTGCTTCACATTCTGACTCCAAAGGATCCCTATCGTGGAGTCAGTCACCCTCAAAGGCTTTGTGGAATTGACAATTGGCCCCCTTGATCTATAGAAAGGGTGGGGGTGGGTTGTGGAGGAGGTCACCTTTAGGGAAATCAATGTTTGTGACTGTAGAGGAGGGAAGGGAGGGTGCATGTTAGGTTTCCCTCCCTGAATCAGAGAAAGAAGATTGAAGACAATTGCTTATAAAGCTGGGAGCTTCTTCAAGGACAGGAAGCTGACACCTTGCATCCCTGCTGCACGTCCACGGAGCCAAAGGGCTTGGAGAGGGGGGAAGAAGCACAGAGCGGAGTGACAGGGAGATGACACAGCCAGGGGATGGGGGCAAGACCCACCCCCTGGAGTTCCGCATTCCCCAGATGTATGCAAGGTGGATCCCATCAGCTCCACAGTTCCTAGGGCTGAGATAGCAGAAGGAAGATGACCTTGGAGGCTGCAGTCTTGATGTGACGGTCCCTGGCATGAAGCAAAGGGGCCTCCACATCAGAGGAGTGCAGTGTGAGGGCTGCCAGGCAGAACTCACAGGAAGACCCAGCAACTCCTACCGATGCAGCAATGCTGGCAGAACTCCTGGGGTTCTGGCCCTACTGGGGCCTCCAAGCTGCTGTCCCACATCTGCACAGTGCATTGCAGCAGCAGGAAAGGATAGCAGAAAGGAGAGAATGGCCCAGAGGTGCCAGTCACCCAAGGATGTGTTCTTCCTGCTGTCCCCTCCCCAGTTCCCCCACATGGGCATCAGAGAGCCAGGCCTGGAGAAAAGGAAGAGGGTGTTTAAAAGCACAGAGCAGGTGCTTCTCAATTGCAAGCCTGCCCCACCTGACACACACACACACACACACACACACACACACACACACACACACACACAGCATAGCCTTGCCACACCAAGCCTCTGGGGGAAAGAGACCTGTGGCTTGAATATATTCAAGATTGAAATTTTCACCGCACTGAGCTGACCATTAACCAAAAGAGACATCAGATTCAATTGCCACTGTGGCTTCCCTGATCTAGTGGGGAAGGGCTTCATGAGAACAGCTGGTAGAAACTACTGGGGGAAAAATGAAAACCCTTCCACGCTTAAAGCCCTAAGGAGGTACAATTCCTCCCCTGGCATAGCTGTGAATGGCCTCAGGCACTGCTGCTCCATGCTGTCCTGGAAGGCCTCCCAGAGTTCTGCCTGGAAGCCCCTCTGACCAGCCGCCCTGGGCTCTGCTGCCCTCTCCTCCTCTCTGTTTCAACTCTAACTTATTTTCCCCAGAGCTTAGTCAAAATATTCTTCAAAACACAGTGCTGTTTCTATCATGTAGCTATACAGCATACAAATTCAACTGACAGCCTCCATGACCTGGAAGTCACCTGTGGTCTTATCCGTGTGGTTGGTTAGATTGCATAGAAACAAAATCACTAGCTGGGATCAAATTGGAATTTGACCTCTAATCTTTTTACATTTTTTAAGCTGTAGCATTTTTGTCTGGTGGCAAATGCAATACACGTCAGAAACCCAAGCCCTTTGGAAAGAAACTATTAAAAGAAGGGAACCCCCATCAGTCATTCTTGGCTCCCTATAGGATTCTCTCAGAAATCTTGGAGTAGAAGCTGTGGGAAGACAAAGTTTGCATGTGTGTTTGTTGTGGGTGAGTAGACTAATGGCTCCATGGGCTTTCCTCATGGCCAGGACTTTGGAAGTGTCTATGTGTGAGGCAGGACTCTTGACAAACGATGTTCAGGTCAAACTAGGGTCCGGACTAGGTGCTGACTGAACTAAAGACAAGGTGTGATGTCAAGTCTACTCTGAGATCCTGGGTGGTAAAATGGAGGGGGCGTGAGAGAGAGAATTAGAGGCAATTCTAAATTTAATGCAATTCCAGGCTGGTTGCAGTGGCTCACTATAATCCCCGCACTCTTGGAGGCCAAGGCAGGTGGATCACTTGAGGTCAGGAGTTTGAGACCAGCCTGGCCAACATGGTGAAATGCTGTCTCTACTAAAAATACAAAAATTAGCTGGGCCCCAGTTACTTGGGAGGCTGAGGCAAGAGAATCGCTTGAACCCAGGAGATAGAAGTTGCAATGAGCCGAGATGATGCCATTGCACTCCAGCCTGGGTGACAGAGCAAGACTCTGTCTCAAAAAATAAAAATAAAAATAAATAAATTTAATGCAATTCCAAACTTAGAATGCATTCGATGCACCCTTTAGAACTGCATCTAATTCTTTCTCTCTGAAGGGTGTGTTGGCATTTTAAGGAAGGAAAAGACAGAAAGTGGGAAAGGCTGCTATGGATTCACCAAACTCCATTTTCTTTTCCTCCTTTGGACACAGCTGGACTACATTTCCCAGCCTCCCTTGCGTTAGGTGAGCCCATGTGACTCCAATGTGGCCAAGGAATGTGCAGAAATCTTGGGACACTTCGCTAGGGTTGGACCATAAAATCCCCCTGGGTCCTCCTTCCTGGCCTCTCGCCTTGTCTTCCGGCCTAACACAGAAGATCCGAGAGAATACCTCAGGGCCTTGGGACAGAAGAGCCCCAGATAGAAACAGACTATGCCTGAGTGTGGAGTACAATCACCTACTGTTGCCCCATGGACCTTCACTAAATTGTGACATCAGGAAAAATAAAAATTTATTGCATGATCTCCCTAAGATTTGGGCTTATTGTTACTGCAGTGAGCCTACTGTGATTTATCCTTTTTCTTTTTTTTTTTTTTTGAGACAGAGTCTCACTCTGTTGCCCAGGCTAGAGAGCAGTAGCACAATCTCAGCTCACTGTAACCTCTGCCTCCCAGGTTCAAGTGATTCTCCTGCCTCAGCCTCCCAAGTAGCTGACATTACAGGTGCCCACCACCACACCCAGCTAATTTTTGTATTTTTAGTAGAGATGGGGTTTCGTCATGTTGGCCAGGCTGGTCTCAAACTCCTGACCTCACATGATCCACCCACCTCGGCCTTCCAAAGTGCTGGAATTACAGGCGTGAGCCACCGCGCCCAGTCTGATTTATACATTTTATGTCATATTTTAGAAGTTTGAAGCTGGAAGATGCCAGAGAGATTTACTAATGTAGTCCCCATATTTTAAAAAGAAGAAAATGCTAAGTGAAATGAAAGGTGGCCTTTAGAAATTATTTTTACAAGACTCGTGTAATAACATGAAACAGGCTATTTCAAACTGTTAAATAAATTTAAGAAATGATTATAAATAAGAAGAAAAAGAAGACGCCATGAATAGAAAAAAAGAACAAAAAATGGAAGGAAACATGAAAAAATTAATAGGTTTGGGTTTGGGGAGGGGCTGTAAGTGATTTTTTTCTTCTTTTTTCTTCTTTTCCCTATCTTCCTGAATCAAACACATTTTTACTTTTAGAATGAAAAATAGAACAAATGAGGTTGTCATTGAACAAGCTCCCCTCATTCACATCTTCTGGGGCCCAAGATGCTGGAAGAGAGGCTGTGAGGCCAAGTGTCTTCAAGGACTCCTCCTGATTCTTCCAGCTCTTTGTCTGTGATCAGTCCCCAGCAGCCCAGACTTCCCTCCTCCTGTGCACTCCCCATCGGAGTCAGGCATGAAGCATGGGGGCCTGGGGCAGGGCCCCACATGGGACTCACTAGGTGATGCAGCTCTCCTTCTTGCCATAGGCGTGAATGATGCCCAGGCCCTGCATGGAGGAGGTGATGTGGGTGAACCAGGGTGACCGGCTGACATTCTCCACCTTCTTGAGCTCCTGGACTCCTCTGTGGAAAATGCTGGAAGAAAATTGAAAGGGGCCAGGTGGGCCACAAAGTGAGGTCTCATCAGGCTTGCCCTCACACATACAGAGCCAACTAGGCACTCAGCACAGTGCTTAAGTCAGAGACGGTGCCATCTAACTGGGGATGAAGAGCAGCCTGCCATTCTGCAGTGGTGCCTGCCCCAGGTGTGGGAATGGCGGAGGCGTGAGAACCATGAGTCAGCGGCACCTTCGTTTGGCCACGGTGCTGTGTTTCTCATATCAGGAAAGTCTCGCTCCACAAGGCGTGATTCTAGTCTTCTAAAACCAAAATTTCTCATACAGCACAGCCCCTAAGTATCAGCCAACCACTTTTTGGTGCCCAGCCAGAGAAAAAGTGATCTGATCTAACTCTGGAAGAAAACCCGGTGTGTCAACTGCCAACATGTGGCCTTCTAAAGGCATTTTCAAAGGTAATTTTGAATGAACGTCATTATAGCTGACTTTAAAACCAAACACCCACGGGATGCAGCTCCCCTTTATGTGGAAGCTCCAGGAGCCCTGGTGAGCAGGAGACCAGGGACCTCGGGTGTTTACAGCAGCTGGCTGGCCCCCGAGAGAGAAGACAATCAAACCTCCAGACTCTCAGCCAAAACAAACCCAGGGCAGTGAGGAGGGAAGTCTCATTAGTGCAGAGCTAAAGTGAGTTGTTTGGAAACACTTGGATAATTCAAGCAGGACGAGCTCTGGTCTGTCTAGTCTTTATAGCTAGAGGGGTGGGTACAGAGCAGGGAAAGAGCTTTTACTAAGTAAATCAACTGCATAAACAGGAGGACAGACAAGAGCAATGATCAAATACAGGAATGACAAAAAGGAACATGAGCCCAAAGAATCCACTGTAAGCATGACATCCAGGACTTGCTTTTATCCTGTAAATGACTCTCAGAAATTATTTGTATTTGGTCATCACAATAAACCCTTGAGTTTGGAGACTCAGACCATTTCATTTGGAGACAGGAGAAGAGGGTCTGGAGGCAGGGAACCTAAGGCCAATTCACGCTGACTTCCTAGAACTAAATCAAAATGAAAACCCCAACTTTCCCCGCCTAGGTAACAAAAGGCTCAAAGGCTACTCTCCTTGCACACCTGCCCCTTTTTCTGGATGACAGATGTACCTTTGATTAGTCCCCTCCCACAACCAATCAGGCTGGTGGCAGGCCAAGTCTTCATTTGTATAGGAGTAACTGTAACTTCACTTCAGCCTCTGATTAGTCGCTTTCTGCAACCAGTCAGACTGATCATGGGCCACTACTTCATTTGCATGGGGCGTACACCAAGTGGCCAATGGGAAACCTCTAGAGGGTATTTAAACCCCAGAAAATTCTGTAACTGAGCTTTGAGCCCCTATGCTCAGGCTTGCTCCCATCCTGTGGGAGTGTACTTTCATTTTTAATAAATCTCTGCTTTTGTTGCTTCTTTCTTTCCTTGCTTTGTGCGTTTTGTCCAATTCTTTGCTCAGGACATCAAGAACTTGGACACCCTTCAAGAACCTGGACACCCTAACAATTTCGCTTCCTCAGGGTCACCACGGGAACAGTGAAAGACAGCAGCAAGAGTCCAGCTCTCCCAGCTCTCTAGGGCACAGTGTCAGCTCCCAGAGCCACACCTGCCCCTGCACAGAGTCCAGCTCTCCTGCCCCAGTACATTCCCACACCCGCATTTGCCACTGTCCACGGACACCATCAGCCGACTTGTTGAACAGAACTGAAACATCCGAAACTAAACTCGTATTCTTATTCCCCAAACCGCTTCTCCTCCTGCACCACACGTATCTCTCTTCACATCGCTCTCCACCTTGAAATCATCCTTTGCCTCTCCCATCCCCCAACACCCAAAATTCCACCAGACGTGGGAAGTGAAACCCTGATGACACTACCTTGGAAATGGCTCTCAAATCCACACCTCTCTTCTGTTCCCACTGCTGCTGCCTACGTCTGGTCCTCATTAATTCTCTCACACAGACTGTAGATTTCAAGGGACTCCTGCTCTATAGTCTGCCCTGACCTTTCTGTAGCTCCATTCACCCTCCACACTGTGGCCACAGCAATTATTTCTAAAACTAGGATCTGAGCGTGAAAACCAACAAACCTGTGCACAGGTGAAAGCAAGTCTAGGGTTTGTGGGCTGAATATTTTATTTGGAGGATTCTCTTTCAGATCTACAATAACTAACCCACTGGCTGGGCACGTCTAGGAGCATAATCCTGTGCACAGGTGAAAGCAAGTTCAGGGTTTGTGGGCTAAATATTTTATAATTTGGGGGATTCTCTTTCAGATCTACAATAACTATCCCACTGGCTGGGCAGGTCTAGGATCATGATAAATGATTATTTTTAGTTATGATTTTTATGGAAACTCTTGCATAACAGCTTATTCCATTTTTAACCAACAAGCATTGGTTGTGTAGTCTCCCTGATCCTCACAAGCCCTCTGAAACAGGTGAGGCATATATTTCAATGATTACCATTAAGGAGAGAGGAAACTGAGGTTTGCAGCACCTCTCTGACTTCTCCAAGGTCCTTCAGCTAGTTGTGGCAGAGCTGGGGCTCTAATGCAAATTTCTCTGATTTGCAACCCTTTGCCCTCACCCAATACCCACCATGCTACCTGCTAGGAACCCCAGCTCACCCCAGGAACAGCAGGGAGCCGGGCAGGTCTCCTAGGAGGCTGGAATCATGGCTGTCCTCCTGCTTTCCCCCAGGGTGGGTGTGCACAGCTGCAGTGGGAACCCCCGCCCCGACACTGTGCAAAGCTGCCTAAGGCCTTTCTCTAAACACACCCATGGTTAGGGTGGCGGTTATTTCTCAAAGCTCAGAGCAGCAACGGTAGAGCCCCATGGTTAGGAACATAGCAGCAGAGAGGAGGCAATCATGGCTACTAGTTTCTTGGCCTGGGACCAGTGCCGTAATCTTTCAATAGTTTCCACCTCTCAGGGTTGCTCTGGGGCTAAAATGCCAGATGTATGCAAAGCACCTGGCATTTACTAAGTACAAAAAAAATCAATGGTAGACCATCAGTAAAGACAGCAAGCACTCCATGCTCAATATCACCTGATACCCAGTCAGTGTGTGTGTGTATCGTTTTCTCGTGTAAATAGCACATGGGCCTACCGTAACAGAATGAAGAAGCCTACAGCAAGGCTGGCCACGACTAAAAGGACAGCAGGAAACACAGCAGCCAAGATCACGAGAATAAACACCACCATAAAAAACTGCTGCAGAAAGTTCTCTGCGTGAAACGGCAGCCTCACATCCAGCTCGTCCATATCCTTGGAAAAACGGTTCATTAGCCTGCCAGTGGGAGTCGTGTCAAAGAAACTCATTGGGCTCTTTAAGATCTGTGGAGAATGGTAGAGAGTCAAACAGAGTCGAGATGCGTGCTTAGTAAACCCTGCTGCTCTGCTGGAGGTGAAATTGTGAGCACAGGGCCTGACCTTTTTTCCAGGGCACAACACAGTGTGTCAGGTGATCTTGGGAAAGGGAGGATGCACCCCATTCTTGCGGCCACCGTGAATGAGTGTGAATGTGGGGATTCAGTCTCTGTGTGGAAGTCCCGAGAGACCCCCTATAGGTCAGGCTTCCCCTTCAAATCTGGGATGCAGCCTGAGACGGGAGAGGCTGATGCCTTTGTCGGAGGAAGGAATTTTGTGCCCCATGGCAATAAAAAGCCAAGTTTCACTTTGTCTCTTTACCTCCAAAGTGTGGGCCCCACCCACATGCTCTAGCCAGGGCCCTCCCAGGCCCTGGCTGCCACCCACCACAGCAGTGGAATGCAGAGGGGGCTGGAAGGATCTCTTGAGGGCCGTGTCGCACTCAGGGCTCTTTGGAGCAGGAGGTGCTTGCTTGGCCTGCGCATCTCTGCGGCGGAGTGGCCTCCCACGCCTCCATCCCATAGCCCAGACTCAGGGCTGATCCACCCCCACAGCTCCCTGGAATCTACCTTCAGTTGGTAATTAGCTATTTGGGAGACTCTTCCCAGACTAGACTGCAAGCTCTATGAGGGCTCTGGCTGTCCCCAGAGCCCAGCACCATGCCTGGCACACTGCAGGTGCTCCGTATACCTTGTTGACTGAATAACTGGGTACACCTGCAATGCTTGTGGCCCTACCTTATCAAACACCGTGTCATGCAGAGAGGAGGATGCCATCAGTGTGGTCTTGGTGAAGACGAAGCCTTTGGTGACGCCAAACACCAGCATGAACACCATGCTTGCAGTGTACACCCACTGGTACACATGCTGACCGATGTCTGCCAGCACCGCGCCGACCTCACACATGGTCCTGTTGCCCTGGGGCCCACAGGTCATCTTTGGAGAAAAACAAGAGAAGCACCAAGAATTGATAAATTCCTGCCAGGAGAACAGGAATTTTCCGGAGAATCTTTCCAGAGAGAAGAAACTAAGAAGAAGCACATGAGTGTTTTGAATGAGTCAGGTGGATACAATCTAGTCTGTTCCCTTCTGGGGCCTCTGAGCTTTGTGGGGTTCCTCCTGCTGGCACTCATGACCCCAAGGGGCACCTGACTTGTGAGCTCAGCACAGTGGGAAAAACAAAGCAGAGAAACCAGATGGGCACTGGGCAGACATCCCCGAAGCTCACTGCACCTCGGGAGACCAGAAGCAATGCTGGGCTGGGAAGATCAGAGAGGCAAATGGGGAATTGGAATTCCACCAGGCTGGAGGAGTAACCCTCAGGCAACCCGGACTGGATAGAGGATCAGGAACTGACCTCCAGCATGCTCAGCTGTGTGGCAGCAGCCACCAGGCCTTCAGGGCAACTCGGGGGGCTTCTCTGTATGATGGGCCAGCTCCACAGTCCCTTCCCTTTCTTTTTCCCAAGGGGTAACAGAGAGGGTGCTGGGGTACTGCCCTGGGATCTTTGGTGGGGAGGAGGGTGCCCAGTGAATACAAGTGGCTTTCAGAGGATTCAAAGAATCTGTGGCTCCATCCTGCCCAGTGAAAACACACAATTTTGCCGGCACTTCTGAGGAGAGGGCATCTCCTTGCCCTGAGAAATTGGCAGTTTCGTTTTTCTCTGGGCTGTGTACTAAAAGTCAAGACTGCCCTTGGGGAGCAAACAAGCATCTTTCTTCTAAATGCCATTTTGCTGATTACAGTCATAGCGGAAATGTAAATCAGAGGTGGCTGATGGATGAACATCGTTAAAAGCAAAAGTATCTCTGGGGAGTTGAGGGATAGAAGGCCCAGCCTGAAGAGGAGACACTCCTGTGCCTTTGATTGTGCTGGGGCACCAGGGCCAAACACATGGTTCAACCACCGTGGCTGCATGTCTGGGAGGGCAGGGGCAAACACATAGTGTCCAGGGCACCAGGCGCAAACATACAGTGTCTGGGGCACCAGGGGCAAACACATGGTTCAGCCACCATGGCTGCATGCTTAATCAGCCAATGGCAGTGGGACTCCTGGGGAAGCACCAAGCCTGTGAGGAGGCTGCACCCTGACTCCAAACCTCGGGCTCTCCAAGGACAGGGCTCTTCGTGAGTGAGGGGGGATCTGGGAGAATCTGTCTATTCCAGAGATGGCTCTCTATTTCTGCACAGAGCAGGCCACCCAGCAGCCTCTCCCCTGCCCCCATCTCCCCAGTGCCACCACCCTTTGGTTGTCATAGCAACAGAGCTGTACCAAATGTAATCTTGGAGGATGGGCCAGCGTCCCCACAGCACTCCCCAGGGCTCCAGGAAAGCTTTGAGACCATTGGCCAAAAGCTGGGAGAACTCCCAGCAAGCTCAAGAGAGAGTCAACACATCATTTCTTCCCAGGAAGGGCCCTGCAGAGAAGGGTCCCCCATGGCTCTGTGGCATTTGCAAAGCCTGAATCTGATGCTTGCCCATCCTGTTCATGCAGAGACAACTTTGGGGAGCAGAGACACGTGGGACCTTCTGGCACTGGGCAGTGTCCGTAACAAGATGCCAGTTTCTCTTTAGGAAGACACAAATCAGTGTTAGGCTTTCCTGGAGGAAACTTACAAGAGAGGCTGTGAAACTGACCCAATCTTGTACGTGCCTGATTCCAGACAAGCTGGGGCACAGTCTTCTTTAGTCAACCCTTTAAAATCTGAAAGTGGTGTCTATACCCTGCTTGTCTTGAAAAATCAAAGGGGATTCCAGGGGTTTGGGTCCTGTGGTGTAAGCATCTGACTCCCACTTCTTGAAAAGGGCAGAGGGATGCATGTGGGCTCATGGCATGGTGGCAGGGGCAGTCAGATGCTCTGGCAGCAGAGTTTTACTCCAAGACACAGACTCGGCATCTTCCAATGCCAAAGGGAAACTCACCCGTGAGCCCTTGTCCAACCAGAGACCCAGCCACCAGTTGCTGAAGGCAGCGCTGCCAATCATCAGGAGGAAGAGGAACACAGTGAAGAGAGAAAGGAGGTACCCTGCAAGAGGAGCGGAGAGGCCCAAGGGGCTGCAGACATGAGCACATGGCAGGGGCTGACCTTCCTCAGGACCCAACCCTGATGGGAAATTCAAAACCTGCAGGAAAAGGACTCCCACGCCTGGAAACCACCTGCTAGACTGATGCAGCACATCTGAGTGTTGGGACCCTGAACTGTGGGGACATCTGTTCTACCTGGTTGGAAAATGGCTCCAAACAGTGAACATATTGGAAAAACCACCAATGTGCACTTCAATAGAAGTGACTCAATATTCTTTTAAAAGAAGCCAAGGAAGGTCGGGCATGGTGGTTCACGCCTGTAATCCCAGCACTTTGGGAAGCTGAGGCAGGCGGATCACCTGAGGTCAGGAGTTCGAGACTAGCCTGGCCAACATGGTGAAACCTCGTCTCTACTAAAAATAGGAAAATTAGCCAGGCATAGTGGCGGGTGCCTGTAATCCCAGCTACTTGGGAGGCTGAGGCAGGAGAATTGCTTGAACCTGGGAGGCAGAGGTTGGAGGTTGCAGTCAGCCGAGATTGCACCATTGCACTCCAGCCTGGGTGACAGAGCAAGACTCCATTTCAAAAAAAAAAGGAAAGAAAGAAAGAAAGAAAAAGAAACCAAGGAAAACCCAGTCTTGCTGGAGAGAGACAGAGAGTGAAACTACAGGCATGTTTTGCACACTGAGATGAGCATCTTTTATGGAAGGCTGGCAATGGACTGGCCACTGCTGTACAGAGCAACTGGAGTGCAAGGGTAGGGTTCATGCTGCTGCTCACTCCACTCCAATAAAAGAGAGTCTGGCAGCTTTAATGGAGATAAAGAATGATTCCATTTAAAAGGCTGTATTATCAGACGTTAGTTTTTAGGAGGGGAAAAAATAAAAGCATTGATAAATGGCCCTAGCATAAACAGAATAATTGTTAAAGAAATCATAAAACGTGAACCCAACAGTTTAAGACAGGATTTTTAAAATGCAAATTAAATCAAGAAACTTGTTGTTTTATACTGAACCTCCAGAAGCCTTAATGTACGTGTGATATGTTTTCCAGGTCACGGTTCCTTCCTGGGGGGATTCAGTCTGGATGAGCTGGTGCTCAGGAACTGTGGAGACAAACACAAGTGCCATGGCTCTCACCACTGGGGTGGGGGCCCAGCGAGGTAGGCACGGCCCCTCCACAGACTCCACAACACGGCTAAGGGGGCTGTGATGCATCCTTCCACTCGTCCCATGCTCTCAAATGCACTTCCAACACACTTTTGCTCATTTTGTGCTACTCGGTCTTCAGTACAGCCCTGTGAAGTAAGCTTCTGGTCTCTTGAGAAATATTTATTAAGCACCTACTATATGGTCAGTCCTGAGGATGCAAGGATTGTCTTGGTGTATTTCTCCTAGAAGCAGCACCCAAGAAGAGACTATGAATACATGAGGTTTATTTGGGAGCTAAAGGGAGTAAGGTGTGTCACCAAGCTGGCGACCACTGTGGGCCACTGGGGCTTCATCCCATGTGAAAAATCTCAGAACCAGTGTAGGCACACACTCAGGGCTTTTTCACGTGATGAGAGGGATCTGGGATTTTTCTGTACTGATTCCTATTGGCCTTGGGGTGAAGGCCGCTCCCTGGATGGGGGTGTTAATTCCCGTACTTCCAGCTTGACATTAGCTGGCATCTCCCAGAAAGAGCCCCCAGGCAAAGGAATGCAGAGATGGCATTTGGGAGGGGGCTGGGCATGCTGAAGTGGTAAAGGCACCCTTGTCATCTGCTACAGAGTGAGCAAGAAAGAGGCAGGTCCTGTGTTCTCAGAGCTCATGCCATACAGAAGAAAACCAGCGTATCCCCCTAGGTCAGCTGCTGCATGGACACCTGATTCCCTCAATGTCTGTCCCAGGTTCTTCCATTCCCCAAGGGGAAGGGAAAATGACTGTCAAGTTCTCATGGAAACAAGATTTTGGAGGAAAAGGGATGCTGGATAAAGCAGCTCCTAGCAGCCAGTACTGAATGCATGTCTCTTCCGCTCCTCCACAGAGAAATGCGAAAATGTCGACTCCAAAGCAGAATTATACACCGTACTTGGCTTTTATAAACAGAGATAAATAGAGTTAGAAGAGGGGGCACCCCACATACAGACTGTGCACTCTGGCCCAACAGGAAAAGCTTTCACGCCTCAAAGGCACCTTGCTGAATAGAGCCACCATTATACTCGCTGCCTGGGAACCTGGAGCTCCTTTGAAAATGTTCAGCCTGACTTCAGCCCATTGTGTCTCCCTCTGAAACTGCAAAATGAGGGAGACGCCTCAGCGTGTGAGCAGAGCCTAATGAACAGCATCCAGGAGCACAAAAGGGACTGGTCACATTCCCTCGCAGCCCGCAGGCTGGGGCAGGAGTGCCGCTGATGCTCTGTTTGCCTCGGCTGTGCCTTAGAAGATGCTGTGATGCCAGGCAGGTGGGCAGTGTTGTCTTTAACCAGTTCACGAGTCTTCCCTTCCTCCAGCTTTCACCGCCCTTGACAGCCCCGTTGTTTATCCTTGAGGACTAGGTCTCTCTCCAGCATGAAATTTCACAATTACACTTTCCTCTCCAGAGAGGGGTGAGTGATGAGGAAGTGAGGAGCAGAGATTACTCTCTCCACGGGACCCCAAATCCCGGGCAGCCTGAAGGTTTCTCCAAAAAGCACAGAAGAGATATCTGGGTACTTCAGCCCTGGAAGCCTCTGGAACTGTAAAACTATGTTGCCTTTCCAAATGTGCGTGCATTTGTCACAAGCACCATTGAGGATGCCAGATCTCATCGATTCGAAGGCTCACTTCTTTCCCCCACATTGTAACATCTCTGGAATCTGGATGTGCCTTCCATTTGCTAGTATGTCATATCGTTTAGTTAGCAGAGATTTTTTTTTCTTTCCAAGTGGTAGGTAAAATGGTGGTAGCCTTTAAAAATGGATGGCATCTTAAATTTGATGAAATGTGCGAAGTTTTTTTTTTGGCTATGCATTATTGAGGAACAGAATAACTTGGAAAGCCACCTTGCTGTGTATACTTTGAGGACTATTGACCTCAGTCCTCTCTGTGTCCAGCATGGGGCAAGGGGCAGAGTAGGTGCTCTAGGGATGTGGAGTGAATGAAGGCAGGGTGTCTATGGAGGAGAAGAGGTGGCCTGACCAGGTAGCCCCCACCAGGCTCATCTTCCACATCTCGTCTCCCCACCTCCCTGGAATCTCCTCCTACCCTCAACCTCAAGCCCTCTACCCTCTCCCACCTTCTCACCACAGTGTCCCCAGCAAACTCCTATACAACCTTGAGGGACCAGTCCGAAGGCCACCCCCTCTGTGAAGGCCTCCCTGACATGTTTGTTTCTCTCACCCAAATTCCCCATTACTCTTACTGGTTTCCCATAGTTACCCATCTGCCTGAGTCCCCTCCAGACCACAAGATCCTGAGAACACGGGCATCTCTTCTTACTCTCCTCAGCCCAGTTTAGTACTACTAGGCACACAGTCAATGCTTAACCTTTATTTGTTGAAAGAATAATAACCTTATCCCACCTCAATCCCTTCACTGCTTCATAATCCGTTCTCAATGCTCCCCATAAAGAGTGGGAAGCTCCGTGTCTGCCTTTGCCTCTAACGAATCCCCATGCAGTACTTTGATCTCTCCAGCTCATAATAACTATTGAGCATCACTGTGTGTCAGGCAGTGTGCGAATCATTTTATGTTCATTTTCTCATTTAATCTTTACAAGAAATTGTGGTTGGTACTACTTCCTCATTTTATAGATTAGGAGGCTAAGGTTCAGAGTGGCCAAGTATCTTGCTCAAGGTCACAAAACTAGTAAGTGGTGGAGCCAAAATTTGGACTTAGGCAGTGGAACCCCAAGGCACACAGTACCCTAGACCATCCAATTCTGGCTGCCCAAAATGACATGCACAGTGTCTACACTGTCTGTATCCCAAACGGTAGATGCCCAATACATCCTTAAGTGTATGTGACTGAGGGGATGTGTGGTAAATACCTTTTGTGTCTACAAATTCTGAGCCTGTTTCAGATTCTTTTCCTTCATCTTTCTCATTTCCTGGAGCCAAAACTAGGGTGAGAAATAAAGAGAGATCTGTGTCCATTCAAGCCAAGGACAATAACAGGGATGGGATTCTAACCGATTATACCAGCATCTTCCTCTCTCTCAGCAGGGCTCTCCTTGAAGGCTTCCACCATTGCTGCATTGTAAAGGTGTTCAGGATCCTGGAGACAAAATGAAATTCCTTCTGAATGCTAAGTGACAGGACCTCTCCCAGGCACGAAATCCTGAGGGATTCCGCCCCAATTGTTCCCACACCTGCCCAGGTGTGAGTTACCTTGAACTGCAATCCTCGCAGGTTGTGAATCAGTTTTGCATAGCGCCCTCTCTCCTCCATTAACTCCTTGTGGGTTCCCTTTTCACAAATCTCTCCATCTTCTAATAAAATAACTTCATCACAAGACTCTAAGAACTGCAGAAGTAAGTGATCGACAATGAACTTCTGCCTGGAAAGGAGAGCCCATGCCAAACTCCTCTCCAACCTTAGTTACCACTGTTGACTTTAGGGGCCAGATCATTCTTTGTTTGAGGGGGCTGTCCTGTGCATTGTAGGATATTTACCACCCTCCCTGGCCTCTACCCCACTAGATGTCGGTAGCACCCCCTCCTGGAGGTGTGACAAGCAATGATGTCTCCAGACATTGCCAAGTGCCTCCTGGGGGCAGATTGGCCCCCAGCACAGAACCATTCATCTAGTACCCACAGGTCTCATGAGTCCAAAAAAAAGCCAGCCTTTGGCTCTCACAGTAAAGAACACTGAATCTTCCTTTGCTACTGCTCCTTAAATGAGCTGCCTTCCTAAGAAATCTGATCATGGCCAGGCGCAGTGGCTCACACCTGTAGTCCCGGCACTTTGGGAGGCTGAAGCGGGTGGATCACCTAAGGTCAGGAGTTCGAGACCCACCTGGCCAACATGGTGAAACCCCATCTCTACTAAAAATACAAAAAGTAGCTGGGTATGGTGGCGTGCACCTATAATCCAGCTACTCAGGAGGTTGAGGCAGGAGAATCGCTTGAACTCAGGAGGTGGAGGTTGCAGTGAGCCAAGAAGGTGCCACTGCACTCCAGCCTGGATGACAGAGCAAGACTCTGTCTCAAAAAAATTAAATAAATAAATCGAAATCTGATCATGGAGATTTGGAAAATAAAACTGACAGTCACAGCAGCCAGGACTTGGTAGGGAGGGGAAATATGATCTTCACGAAGGTCCTCCTGTGTTCTAAAATTACAAGCCTCCCTCATCATCCCCATTTAGCCCAGGAGAAGCAGACCACGGTGTGGTCTCCAGGCAAGAGGCCACATTCCCTGGCCTGAGGAATTTATGCCAGCTTTATCTATGAGATAAAAACACAGCTACATTTAATGCTGGCATCCCACATTTTGCCCAAAGCACTTCTGTTTTTTTTAATTTGAATTCCCTTCATTTCCATATCATTCCTGAGATCAAAGAGTTCTGCTAAGAGGGTTTTCCTTTCATTTTGGAATGAGACACAGAGCTCTCCCCCCAGGATCAAGGAAGCTCCCTCCTAGAGGTGGGCAAGATGCTGAGACTAAAGATGGTTTGACCGAAAGAAGCCTTTGCAGTATGGGCCAGAGGTCTTCCCTGATACTGCACGGTTCATCCAAGGTCAAATCAACCTCTGCTGCTCTTGATTACAAGCCTGAAAGAAGTAGCTGTGTTCGGTCATTGTACACTTGATTGGGCGAGTTGGGAGGGTGCCCAAAGGCTGAATGATAACAGTTCTAACAGCTTGGACAGCTCCAGCCCTCATGCCTCCCTCCCACTAACTGCCCAGCTCCCTGTCTTATCAGCTGATTTTTCAGATGGGGAAACTGAGACACCATAAGCCTGTTCCAGTCCCATAGCCACAGCACACGCTCCAGCTCCAGGAGCTCCCGGGGAAGCCCCCTCTGGTCAGCAAGCCCCCAGTTCACTCCAGAGATATGAGGCAGATTTGAGCAGCTTTGTTCTGCAAGCCGTCACCAAATCTGCACCTGGGTTGGATTTCAGTGGTTTCCTTAGAAGAGCGATCATCCACCCCAACCACTAAGATGCTTGCCTGTGGGCCTGGGAGTAAGAGCAGAGGGGATAGGCTCTGGAAAAGCCCCGGGCCGCAGTTCTGGGGCTCTAAGTTCCATTCTCCCTGACAAGGCACAGCAGGACCAAGATCTTGTGCCACCTGGTGGCTACCTGCCTCTTCCAACTTGCAAAAAGTTGGATAAAATGACACGGGAAGGTGGAATCTAAGGAGATGGACCTGGTGTGAAGATGGCTCCTGCCTGAGGTCATACTGCGGCTCAGTCAGTTTCAAAGACCGAACCAGGACCAAGGTTATGATTCCCCTCATGAGGACTCCTGGAGGGACAGCCATGACCCACATCTGTCAGGGATGAGGCATCCCCCTCCAGATCCCCAGAGCCCTTGGAGGACAGCCCTCCCTGCTGCAGGGTGTCTCCAGGGATATTCCAGGTGCAGAGCTAGGGCTGCCAGGTTTAGCATCCAGACTGGGCCAGAGCCCATTCTGTCACCTCATGAGGGTCTTGAAGAAATCCAACCTTGTCCTCCATCCTAACTCAGAAGAAGAACTAGGCCAGAAGAAGAACTAGGAGCTCTTGCCCACACCAGCCCAGCATGATGCTTCCTGGAGGTGCTCAGGCCCACTCAGAGGAAATCCAGACAATCCCCATGCGCAAAATTCGGATGCCTGGAGCTTATTCCGGGACCAGAACTCTAGCCCTGGGCAAAGGTGAGCTCAGGCTAGGGGCAGCATCACAGCAATGGGAAAGCTTGGTTTTACAGGGTCTTCGAGGAACACCCTCTTTAGGCTGGTCCTCCTGGCCACTACTGGAGGGTCCTAAAATGCTGGCTGCAGCATCCTATAGCCATGGCAACTTTATTTGCTGCTATTGCCCCTCCCTCTCCACCCCAGCTTGACTTACCTTTGCAAAGACCTGCTTCCTGCCCCCAGACCAGGCCCTTATGTAACATGTTCTCTGCAGGTAGCAGGAGAGTAAAGAAGACGGGACACTTGCTCTCCTGCTCCAATAGGCCTTTCAACATAAGTCAATCCCAAGGAATCTCTCGTCGGGCAAGGAGACACCCACGTGCACGCATGAACACACACGTGCACACACATGCACTGCCCCCCCTTCCCCCACACATCTCTGGGGATTCCCTACAAAGAAGAGAGAGGGAGATGGTCTGGAAGCAGGGAAACCTGGCCTGGGAGGAGGAGGTTCTTGGATTCCCATCAGGCAATCAGGACGCCTTATGTGAGACCAATGCAGTGAGGGCTGTTCCCACTCTGCCAAATTCTTAAATTCACTGAGGTCAAGCCCAGTCGCTTTCTTCAGTGAGATTCATGCTCCTTAGCCTGAGACAGTGGCCCTGAGCAGAGAGAGCTTCCCCAAAGCCTCAGCCTTAGTCCCAAAGTCCTGGCTTCAAGCCCCTTTCCCCTGGGGTGTGATACCTGGGGCATCTGGGCCCCTCATCCAAGAGGTCTACCACCCCCTGACACCCCCAGTCAAGGTATCCCTGGCCTCAGGCTTGCCCAGAATTGCTGGAGTAAGGGTGGGGCCGTCATTGTTTTCCCTGGCTCCCCATCTTACCAGGCGCCCAGAACTTGGGGAAGGGTGCCCCAATCCACCCACAGGCAGGACTCAATTGCTTCTAGAGAATCTACCCTCTGGTGCAGGAAAAGTCTTGGCCCCACTGAGGCCATGCATGGAGTGGAAGAGGTGGGCCTCCTGGGAGCCAGGAAGGCTGGGGAATCATGAGTGTCTCTTGCATCCCTGGCTCCCTCCCCACATTCCCAGCTGAAGACAGGCAGATATAGGCAGAAGAGGAGGCTCTGTGAGCATCAGATCCCCAGCCACACCCATCCCGTGACCTCCTGGATCCTGCATGTCCCATCACCTGTAGCTGGTGGGTCACCAGGACGACTGTCTTTCCCCTGAGCGTCTTCTTAATGCACTCCTCAAAGACGTGCTTCCCCACGTGGGCGTCCACGGCCGACAGGGGGTCGTCCAGCAGGTAGAGCTGACGGTCGGAGTAGACAGCGCGGGCCAGGCTAATCCTCTGCCTCTGCCCCCCAGAGAGGTTGAGGCCCCGCTCCCCAATCTGTGGACAGGGACAATGCTACTGCCCATTGTCAGCCCACCCTGAAGTTCTTGGGCAATGGAAGCTTCCTGGAGCTTCTCAGGACTCAGGGGAAAGACGTACACACTGATCCTCGCCATATCCAAGTTCCTCCGCCCCTTACAGGGCCCCCGGTCACACGAGACTCTGTGGTGAGTGGAAGTGCTCCACTTGTCTACCTCTCCAGGAAGCCCAGTGGGCAGCGGCAACGAGGGCAAAGCTCTTTCCCATGAGGATTGAGGGGTGCCCATCTCACAAGACCCCAGCCCAATGCAGATCCCACAGGGAGGGGCTACGTCATTTTTATCACCAAAGGGAATTGTGTGAGCAGAGAGCTGGGGAGAATGCAGCAGTGAACCAGAGGGAAACGTGGCTGGGTGCAGATGGAAAAGCGAGTTCCCTATTTTGTTTACTTGTAGAGCAACTATCCCATCCCTAGGCAACTCTAAGCACTGTGGAGAGATAAGCCTTGACTTCCTGGTTCATCATCACCACCCTAAGGCCTGGCACCATGCTGGGCACAGAATAGGTGCTCAGTAAATATTTATGGAAAGGATGATTGCTTGCTGTAGGTGATTCTATCCAATGGAACCCAAAGTGAACCCCAGGTGTTCAGCCAGATGTTGAGTTAGGCACGGGGCGGGACACACAAGCTGGACAAGAGAAGTCCCCTCTCCCTGGGGAGCTCCACGGTGGGCAGGGTAGTTATGTACATAATAGCAGCAGCAAGCAGAATTTCACAAGCGCCTGCTGAAGAGCATCAGTAGAGTACTTTGTGGCAAATTATTCAGGTGGTGGGACTTGGGAAAGCCTTCCTTGAGGAGGCAGATTTTGGGTTGAAACTCAAAGGATAGTGATGTCACAGGAGCAGAGACTTAGAGGCTAGGAAGTGAGTGGACACTTTGGCAGGCAGGTAGGAGCATGGCCTGGAAGGGTGAACCAGGGCTGCAGTGTGGGAGGTCTCAGATGCAGGCCAGGAAGGCTTCACGGCCACTTCCTTGGGGATGCAGACTGAGGGCACCAGTAGAGAAAGACACCCCAAACTGCCTTTCCTCAGAAAGCTTTAGCCTTCTGATCTCCTCTGGGGCTCCTGGGCAAGGTGAGGAAGATTGTGCAGAGAGCACAAGAAGGGTGGGGACCCGAGATGGCAAGGTGACTCCCCTGGGTCTCTTGGGGTGGCAGGCTCAGCCCAGGATGGGGTGGCAGGCTCAGCCCGTTTGGACAAGCACCCCAGGGGGCAATGTTTAGAGGTGACCCCCATACTCCTGGCCTGGGCAGAGCCAGTGAGGCAAGAAGGGGCCCTGGTTTGCAGGACAGAGCCAGCCCTTGGGATGAGGAAGCAGTTTTCACCAGAAACCCTTCCTGAGACGACAGGCAGATTGGGAGTAGCCCCAAGAAGTGACTACACTGTGCCAAACACCAGTAAGCTTGGTGCCACGTCCACTATGACATCCAGCAAGTATAGATCCAGAGGAAGAATTCAGAATGGGTGGAACCTGAGCTTTGCCCACACGTCCTTGGGGCATCTGGATGTGGAACAGGGGCTTGCTGGCCTCAGCCCTTTGGACCTGAGCAAATGTACTGTGTGCAGCTACAGTGGGCTTGCGCTCCCAGCCCCGCTCACCTCAGTCAGGTCTCCATAGGGGAGGTTGCTCAGGTCCTTCTGGAGGCCACAGACGCGGACTGTGTGCTGATACCTGTTGGTGCAAAGCTCAGAAGTAGCTGGGTGAGAAAGACCCCAAGCACTGCTGCCCTGGGCTGCTTCCACAGGCGCTGCTGGTGTTGCTGGGGCAAGGCCAGGGGTGGCGGCTGCTATGTCCAAGGCTCCCTGGCCAGTCGCTCTGCCTTCAATGACCCAAGGGTAGCGTCCCAGTGACCACTGGCCCCTCCCCTGACCTGATGCAGAGTTGATTCAGGAATGGCCCCTTCCCTGGCAGGGTTTTCGCCAAGCAGGGAAGAAGACAACGCTGAACAGGAAAGCCCTGCAGGAAACACTGAGGGCGCCACCTGCTGGACGCTCATGGGAGTCAGAGGAGGGGTCACCCTTGGGGGCTGCAGTTACTGGGGATGGCCTCCTGGGGGTCACAGGGCTGAAGCAGGACCGTGGGTGGAAGAGAGGGTGTGTGTGAAGGAGGCTAACAGCAGGGGGCTGGGTGATCACCAGTGACGACCTTGACATTTGCCCAGCCCCTCCACAAAGCTACTCCATCCACCCCTCACTGCTAGTAGGTTGGAGAGAATGGAGTTTTCTCCCCTGCAACAACTCGGGATACTGAGTCGAAGGGAATGGCACCTGAGGTGAGGGGGCGGAATGGGAGAGAGAGTGGGACTCCTGCTCTTTGGGCCTCTTGGCCTCTCCACTGTGCCCCCTCAGCGTCACGCTCTGCCTAGCCCTGCAGCCCAGGCTTTGGGGAGTTTGACAGCCGAGGCCCTAGCCAGCTCTGCGGCAGCCAAGCCGCCAGGACTAGCGCCCTATCCTGCAAAAAGCAGCAAAGCTGTGGGGTCAGCCCCACAGCGGTCCCCAGGGGCATGACCCCGCTCTGCCCCAGGGGAGGCCTTTGGGGCCTTCTGGCACCGAGGAACCTAGGAACGTCCGTGGTCACTGGGATGTCGTCCCCATGTTATGACAGATGCCCACACCCTCCTCCCTCGGTTTTCTCTGCAACTCAACCTCACTCATACAGCCCCCACCATAAGCAGAACCTTCCCCAGGCATCACAGAGCCCCCGCACAGCCGCCTTGGGGACCCAACTCCTGCTCAGGATGCCTGCAGTGCCTGGCTCAGGTTTGTGCTCCCTCCCAGCAGCTGCTGAGCAGCACCACTGGGCCTTTAGGTTTCTGTCCTGCTCAGCAGGTTGCCTGCCTCCACAGTGGCTGATTGGTTGGTTGATGACAGAATTGATTGATTGATATCATTGGCATTATCGTCATCAGGACCCTCTTTCCTTCAGCGAGTAACAATGGGCAGGCCTCACAACTCAGACATCAAAAGACAGACCTTCCCAATAAAGAGGCAAGAAAGAGAGTGGCAGGCATGAGCAGCTGCCCTTCCGGTTGCACACAGGCCCCAAAACAGAACCTGGGCACAGCCCAAGCATCATGCCCACACACAAACTTTGGGGTTGGTGTACATAGCAGTTATGATGAGGGGCCTTGGAATCAGAGAATGGTTTGAATCCAGCTGGGCGACCTTGGACAAGTGACTGTACCTCCCTGATCCTCACTCTCTGCTCTATAAAATTGTGCAAACAACTAATTCTCATTGGGTTGTTGTGAGAATGGAGCAGAAAAACATGTGAAGCCATTAGCACAGTGTCTGCTGCATGGCAAATTCTCCATCAGTGGGGGCTATAATTGCTATTACTACATTTGCCAATCTGACTCAGACTGCGCAGCACATCTTCCTCCCCTCAACACCTCCCACCTTCAATTTCCTCCCACCCTCCTGCTTCCTATGGCCCTGAGAGCCACAGTTTCTGCCCTAGGAGCAAAATCTCTGCTAAATATGCCACATATGAAGGATGCTAGATCCATCTTTCAAAGCCCAATTCAAGTGCCATCTTCTCTTCCCTGATCCACCATCCTCTCGTGATCTCTGCTGCCTTGGAACAATCCGAGCACGGTCTACTGCCACCTGGCTCATTCCTCCCTGGTGCACTGTCATTTCTGTGCATTTCTTATAGCCCATTCCAGACTTGAGCATCTTAAGGGCAAAGATACACCTGAGCCATCTCTTTCCCCATGTGCCCTGCATGCTGCAGGCATTTGGCACATATTTGCCCTCTGAACATCATTTTGATGAATAAGGCAACCCTCTGTCCAGTCCGCATCCACAGACAGAGAAGGCATTCCAGGTGGGTGGCACAGGCCAAGAGATGCTGAGCAGAGTAATTTGGCTATACTGATCACTGACTCCTGCACTGATCACCTTCCTGCCACACCTGAGCCTCCTGGCCACAGGACGGCATGGCCGGGGAAGAGGAGGTGAATTGACAAGCCTCTTGATGAGAACATACATGCTGCCATACCAGCCAGCAGGGACAGAGTTGGTGGGTAAGATGAGAAAGGCCAAACTACCACTGGAGAGCTGACAGCCAGATTCCTAAAACCAACTCCAGTTCTCTTAATTAAGCATTGTGATGCCTGGGAAGGTTTCTGAGTGACCCAGCTGTCAGGCACCTCCAGCTCCAGAAAACTGATGTTGATCTGGAGCTCAACGTCTAAGTCCAAGACTCAACTCTGACATTTAATAGCATTTAATACCTTGGGAGGGTCAACTCGCCTCTCTAGGCCCTTTTATTTATCTGTAAAATGGGGATATAATGCCACAATCTCTCTAAATGGGTGGTTAAGGGACTCAAATGAGAGAATGTACGTGGCAATACACCAAGCTAAGCAAAGAACCATAGGAAGCCATTACTTTCCAGAGCTTAAAGATGATGGTCCAATCAATGGTGAATTGGATAAAGAAAATGTGGTATATATACACCATAGAATACTATGCAGCCGTAAAAAAGAACAAAATCATGTAGCAACATGAGGCAGCTGGACTTCATTATCTTAAGTAAATTCACACAGAAACAGAAAACCAAATATCACATGTTCTCATTTATACATGGGAGCTAAACCTTGGGTATGCACAGACATAAAGATGGCAACAAGAGGCAGTGGGAATTCCAAAAGGATGGAGGATGAGAGGGCGCACGGATGAACAGCTTCCTATTGGGTACTATGTCCAACAGAGAGTGAACAGGATCAGTAGAAACCCAAACCTCAGCATCACACTATATACCCCTGTAACAAAACTGTACCCCCTGAATCTAATGTTAAAATTAAAATTTAGAAAACTCAAACATTTCAGAAGTAGGGAGAGAATAACTATAGAAATGTCCACGGTGATCACGGTATTAATGAGTTTTTTGTTTTTTTTTTTTTTTGAGAAGGAGTCTCGCTCTTTTGCCCAGGCTGGAGTGCAGTGGCATGATCTCGGCTCACTGCAACCTCCACCTCCCGGGTTCAAGCAATTCTCCTGCCTCAGCCTCCTGAGTAGCTGGGATTACAGGTGCCCACCACCACGCCCAGCTAATTTTTGTATTTTTAGTAGAGACAGGGTTTCACCATGTTGGTCAGGCTGGTCTCAAACCCCTGACCTCATGATCCACCTGCCTCGGACTCCCAAAGTTCTGGGATTACAGGCGTGAGCCACTGCGCCCAGCTAATGGGTTATTAAATGTTCTTAGAGAAAATATTTCTCCCCAAATTGCTGTCTGTTCATTACATACTACAGTTATTACAAATACATACTCGCAATTTTCGTGTTGAAAACATTTACAATATACTATTTCAGTACTTTTGAAATATATAATACATTAAAATTTATCATTGTCACCATTCTGTGCAATAGATCACTAACGCCTATTTCTCCTGTCTAATTGAAACTTTGTACCCTTTGGTCAACATCTATCCTTTCCCCACACTCCCCTCTCCCCCAGCGTCATATATCAAAACACAAAAGTGTACCCCATAGATAAATGTAATTATGTCCATTTAAAAAATAAAATGATATAAAAAAGATGATGGCTCAAAGTAAATCAAGTAATTATAAGTTGAGCTTTGTTTTTATTTAGTTAGACCATTCTGAGGACACTAACAGTGATAATATATCCTGATAGCTCTGATGTCAATTAATAATGTCAGGGCTGATTCATTACATACTTGCTCATGATTCTGAGCAGTTTTGGGTACTCAGCCTAAAGCAAAATTGCTGGATTCACTTTTCTCTAGTCAGACCACATATGCCCTGTTGCAGAGAACCTCGGAACATATGCTCCTCTGCCCTGGGAATGAAGTGCCGATTCTATCCTCTTCCCAGTGTGCAGTCGCAGGTCTGCAGAAGTCGCCTCTCCTGAACGCTTGGCTCAGGAAGAGGAAAACCAGTGTCTGTGTGGATCTGATGAATGTTTAATCAGAATTCATTAAACTCAGAACCCACTTAGCAGTCATTACCAACAGCATCAGCATCTGTAGGAGAGTGTGTACCAAACACAAATGTGCCTCCTGCTTTAAAAGTTAATATTACCTTTGGTGATCATACTTTTCTCCAAAGAGTATGTTTTCTCTCACATTTCCATGAAAGATCCATGCCTGCTGTGAAACGTAGGCCAAAGTTCCATTGACTGCCACCACCCCTTTCTGCAGCTGCATCTGGAACAACAAGACGGGAGAAGCTTCAGGAGCCAAGCCTTGAGAACTTTTCCTCAAATGCCCATTGCACCCTGGCACCCACATATTCCACAAGCATTGGTTATGAAGGCACAAAAGCGTTGACAGGACATCTTGTCCATGCACCAGAAAGCCCAACCATGCAGATGCAGAATCTCAGAGTCAAACACCTGCACAGGGCCAGGCAGGGAATGCTTGAAAAGAGGCAGTGGTAAGCTCTGCTACAAATGGGAGAGCTTGGACTGCAGGGCTGCTCCCAGTGCACATGGCACCTGGGCCCAACTACAACAGGATGTTCTCTGAACAGACTCTTCACAAGAGGCTCCCCTTCCTCCAGGTGCACTGGCTGGATCCAACCCTGCTCAGCCAGGCCCTGGGAGCAGGGCACCACCTGCACGGCTGTGGGTGTTGGCCTTGGCACACCCCATCTTCAGGAAGCAGCCTTGACTCAGTTGCATCTTTGGTGCCATGCAAGGATGCAGGCCTGATGGAGCAGGATTTTCTAATTTGTCCAGAGGAGTCAAAGATCCAGTTTTATATGACATCTTTGGACTTTTAAAGCATTCAGCAATCAATTAAAACTATGCATGGGCTCCAGTTTGTGACCCTGAGTACATATGTTCATTTAAGATGACCCCTCATCGTGGGCATCCAATAGACAATGGTAGACAGCGGGGATGCAACGTTCAAAGTTATCAACAGAGGGTACATGTGGGGCAGGCCACAGTGCTCAGGGCTGATGCTCACGGGGCAGTGGCAGTGGGTCCAGGGGCAAAGAAGGAGAGTCACCAAGGCGGCCGAAGGATGTGATGCCACTTCACCTCAGGAGTTGTGCAATGGACAGAGAATTCAATTTGGAGAAGAGACCATGATAATAACAATAATAATTGTAGTATTTTTAATGTGTAGGGTATATTCCGTGAACTGAATTAAATGTATGTTCAATGTTTTTCACCATGACTGGCCTTGCAAATTATCCTATAGCCAACTATTGCTTACATGATCTCATTCAAACCTCACCACAACTCTCCTTAGTCCCATTTTACAGACAAGGAAACCAAGTGGTTTCATGAGGCTCAGAGAGGTTAAGTTACCTGCCCAAGGCTAAATAGTGAGCATGTGGCAGAAACAGCTGGGGAACCCAGGCTGTCCAGAGTGCCCCCCTGCTTCCCCAGTGACCACAGCCAGGGGCCTGATCCCACCACTGTCTCATGGGAGATAGACTTAATGTTATCTCAAAATTTCCAAAGGACAGAAATTAAAAGGAGGCAAATTTCACTCCAATATACATCAAAACTCTCCAAAGAAGGAACTGGCTGTGACATGATGAGCTTCCCATCACTGGAGCTATCCGAGCAGTTGGGCCATCTCTTATGCAGTAGGATGCTATTAAGAGTATTCACATCATTATGTGGGGAATTGAGCTGAGTCACCTCTATGGCTCACGCTGACTCATCATGGAGGCACACACTCTCAGAGCGTGGGTGACCTCAGGAACTCATCCAATTCAGCCCCCACCTCCACCTCCAGGCAGGGAAGGAGTTGTCATTCTTTCTATAGATGAGTCAACTGAGGCCAAAAGAAGTCACTCATATTAAAACTCATAAGACACATCCCCCCACCACCCTATTCTGGAGTCCCCACTTCTTCAGAAGTACCCCGACCTCTTCCTGAAAGAGGCAATCCCAGCTGCACAAACTTCTCTTTAGCAACAGCAGAGTGGGGAGAAAGAGGACTTAGCATTTTTTTTCCACAAAGCTTCTCATTCATGTGGGATGTGACTTAGAAACCGTGGCAACATAGAGGTTTGTGAAAACTACAAATGGCTTAGCCATTTTCCCTGGGGTCACCCAACTAGAAGGAGCAGGGAAGGGACAATGACCCAAGTCCCCTCCCTCTTCCTACCCCAAGGTTTGCAGAGAAGGTGGGGGCATGAGCTGCTTTAGTTCAGGCATAAAATACATCTATAGTCACCATGAGCTCCAGACTCCAAAGTCCTTCCACACCAAGCTGCCTTGCTGGCATTTCTAAATCAGGGCAGCCCAACTCATGGGGATAACCATGGGTTTAAGGACCCATCTCTCCTTTGACCAAGATGGAGCTTTAGGCAAGGAGGCAATGCCATTCAATAGACCTCCTCATTGGCAAACTCAAGAGTTTGTGAAAAACTCAGCCTCATCTGGCCCAGGGGCCTGGAGCTGCTGCGTGCATTAACCTCCCAAAAATTATTGTGAACCACATGCACAGTGTCCAGTGCAGCCGAGGCCATCTGCTGGGTCCACGCCTGACCGGAAGGGAGCCATTTCATTGTCATGTTAATGTTCCATCTTCACAGCACTCATCACACAGCTTACCTGTCCTAGGAGAGCTGCAAGGAGGGAGCTCTTTCCACTTCCCACATTCCCACATATTCCCAAGATCTTCCCCTGCCAGAGAAACAGAGATGGGACACAGTCACTCTCTCCCACTTCTTAGAGGGTCTGGCCCAAAGGTGCCACTCCCAAACTATGCTGGTCAGGCCAGGCGGAGAACAAGGGGTCACTGCAGGCTCTGGGGCATGGCAGCTGCAGCCACACCACCCTGGCCCACATAAACAGCCTGGGAGGATGCAGGAATGTAAGTCTTAATTAAGTGCTTTCCCTTGTGTGGCATAGCCAAGCACCCACAGGGCTTCTAGAAATCACGTAAGATCACTGGTGTGAAACAGCCTTGTGCTGGTCTGGGAGACACAGGCCTTGAACAGGAAGGCTATTCTGTGCCCAGACTCCAGAAAAGCAAATCTAATGGGATGCAAAAGGCTGTACAACCCAGGGGGACTAGGGTAGCTTTTGAAGTATGGACATCTAGGGGCTTTTCAAAAATCTGGAATTACTGAGAAGTTACACTATTCTAACATTCTACAGCTCCAGATTTATTAATTCAACCAACAAATCATTATCAGAGCCTGCTATGTGCCAAGCACTGTTCCAACCACCAGCAAGAACAGCAATGAACACAACAGGCAATGGCCTGAGTCTACCCTCATAGAACTTACCTTGTAGTCAGGGGAAGATGGACAGGAAGCAAGACAAGCAAATGAAATGTGGGGCAGGCACATCTATGCTTGCCATGGAGAAAAATAAAGCAGGGAAGAGACAGGGAAGGGACAGGGAGTGGGCTAGAGGCTTGGGGGTACAAGGAAAGCCTTACTGGAAAGGTAGATGTCTTAGCTTGAGTTTTCCCAGAAACAGACCTTGAATCAAGGATTTGAATGAAAGTCACACTCACATTTGGAAGGTGCAGGAAATTCCAGTAGGGAAGAGGAGAAGTGATACAGGAAAGGGAAGGTGGCCCATAAAGGGCAGCCTATTGGGTTGGCTCCCTAACAGAATATCCTACACAGGAGGCAAACGGAACTCAACCCTGCAGGGAAACTGCAGGAAACTCTGGGGAACTGACTATAGCTTTGTCCCACCCAATGGCAGAGGAGGTGGGGTATTGATGCCCCAGCAGTCATTGTTTGAGGGCTGCTCTCTAGTCTGTGAAGGTCTTTATGGAGGTGTGCAGAGCCCTTGGGCACGGATGCAGATAAGGCAGTTGTAAGATGGCCAGGAAACACTTAGAGGTCCAGGGCACATGGGCAGGGACAACATCTGCCACAGGTGACATTTGGGTAAGACGTGAAGGAGGTGAGGAAGGGTGCCATGGGGTATCTGGGGAGAATCATTGCAGGCAAACAGCCCATGTGGAGACTGACGTGTAAGCATGTCCACTCATGTTCAAGCAGATATTGCAATACTGCACTTGGAGCATCTGAGAACATTCTCATGTAGGCCTGCTCCCTGCAATCCCTTAGGGCAAAGATGCCCAACATGGGGCCAAATATGGCTTTTTTCCCACCCCAAGCTAGACCAGAAACGCCCATCCCCTGTCTGCCATTCTCAGCACATGAGAGTCGCTGCCTGTCATCAATAATTCCTTAAACAAGGTCTTTGCTGAATCCCAGGCACCTTGGGATAAAATAGTGATCCACACAGAGGTCTCCCTGCCTTTGTGGAGCCCACATGGATGTAAATTTGGTTGGCTGAGTGCAACTGAGTTCAGATTTCAGTTAAGTCCCACTGAGTGCCACCTACTTTGCCTTCTCGCCACTCTCCCGGTGGAGCACCTGACTTCCCCCATGCTGCATTCCCATTTGCCTCCAAGAGGCCTCCGTGAACTTCCTGTGTTCTAAGGACTTTCTGGCCACACAATGACTTTGCTAATGGCTATTCCATATGTCAGTGACTCTGGAATTCCTGCCTCATGAAATGAAGCTGAATCTATTTAATTCCCCTAAAAGGACTTCAATGAACCGGGGCATTAAAGAGACCGCAGATGTGATGCAGCCTCACCAGGTATTTGGCTGCCCTTTGAGTCCTATCCACTTCTTGGGGCCAAGTAAGAAGCCTTCTAGATTCATCCTTGTCTTTAGCAGAAAATCCATGAGGCCTGTATCCTCTGATGATTCTCCCAACAAACACTGCTGGCCACCTCCAAGCCAGGAGCTGGGCTTCGGGATAACGACATAACTGTGAACAAAAAACCCTGACCCCATGGAGGATCCAGTCTGATGGAATTGAGGAGCTAAACTTGGAAAAACCTGGATGCCCTGTAGAACACTTGAGGGCAGCACTTAAGCTGGACATAATTGTTAAAGAAAAAGGCAACAATCATACCTAACATCAGCTAAGACTTACTATGGGCTTAGCATTTTTATGTGGTATCTGAGTTCCCCCACCACCTTGTGAAATGGGTACTTCTATGAAATGCATGGTGCTGGTAAAGAAACAGAGGCTTAGGGAGCTTCAGCAAGACATCCAAGGTCAAGCAGCTAGGAAGTGGCTGGGCCTGGAACTGGGGTCCCTCAGGCTCCAGAGGCATTGCATTGCCCCCACTGCTCCAGAGGCAACAATGCATTGCCCCCACTTTATCTTCAATTTATTCCACAAAACATTGACTGCATCCTTGAGGCAGGAATTCCAGAGTCACCGACATATGGAATAGCACATTAGCAAAGCCATTGCGTGGCCAGAAAGCAGCGTCCTTAGAACACGGGAAGTTCACGGAGGCCTCTTGGAGGCACATGGGAAGGCAGGGCGGGGGGAAGTCAGGTGCTCCACGGGGAGAGTGGCGAGAAGGCAAAGTAGGTGGCACTCATGGGACTTAGCTGAAATCTGAGCTCAATTGCACTCAGCCAACTAAATATCGTTTCCAATGAATACGTGGCAGACAGCTTTGTTAGCTATGAGAGGTACCACTCTCACACCAGCTATTGAGCTTGACATTGCATAATAAATAAGAACCTCTCCTTCTATAGCGCTTGCACAGGGAAAGAGTGAGTCAACAGGATGAGAGATTAAAATACCAGGCACAAGATTAATGTTGAGCCCTCTGCAGCAAAATCAACACTGCCACCCTGGGAGTCTGCTGCTGAGTTCCCAGAGCAAGAAGGAGATGCATGCAGGAGATGCAGGAAGAGGCCAAACATTCCCTAAACCCACAGCGTTGCCTGAAATCTCCATCCCCCAATCTTGAGGGGAGAGAACAACAAACAGACTCTGGCTGGCTTGGCTGGCTTAGCCCTTGGCTGGGTTGCTTGTTATCTCAGTTTGCTTTTTACAAGAGGAGTTTTTGCCGGTGGTTAAGAGCCCAGACTCTGCAGCCAGGTGCCCTGGGTATGAAACCCTCCTCTGCCACTTGCTAGCTATGTGACCTTGGGCAAGCTATTTAACCCTCTTGTGCCTTAGGCTCCTCAACCATCAAGTAGGGGCAGTTATGATGCCTGGTTATTGAAGTGGTTAAGTGAGTTTATTATGTACCTGGTAAATAGTAGTGTTCAAAATTATCAGTCATTATCATCTATCATAATATTCCAATGTGAAATTAAGAACATATCTAGGACAGGAGCAGTGGTTCATGCCTGTAATCTCAGCACTTGACCCAGGAGGCCAAGACAGGAGAATCACTTGAGGCCAGGAGTTCGAGCCTGGCCTAGGAAACATAGCAAGACCCCATCTCTACAAAAAATAAAATAAAATTTAATTTAAAAATTATCCCGCTTTCCCCTGGTAAATAAAAAATTTTAAAAAATTATCCGGGCATGGTGATATATGCTTGTAGTACCAGCTACTTGGGAGGCTGAGGCAGGAGGATCACTTGAGCCCAGGAGTTTGAGGCCGCAGTGAGTTCTGATTGCACCACTGCACTCCAGCCTGGGCAAAAGAGTAAGACCCTGTCTCACACACACAAAAAGAGAACAAATCAAAAAAGATTTATGAAACCTAGTCAGTTCAAGCCTAGCCACCTGGAGTGGACTGTTCATTCAAAACTGCAACTGACTCTAAGAGAAGTACTGCAAATCAGAATGAATATAACCACCGTCTTCTCCACACTTGGAGAGGGGGCCTCCAATGTTCATGTACATAGTTTTAAAACTGGGGGAAAAATACAGGGACTCTGGTTAGAGACATCCCATCACCACCTTCAGCTCTAACTGAACTGTATCAGACCTGGAGAAGGCTGTAGCTATGTAATGCAAGGAGGAGGGCTGGAGGCCACACCTGTGCAACACACACCCACCTTTCTCACCACAAAGCTTATGCTGTGCAGAACCGATTTGAGGCTGTCACTTTGCTCCTCTGGGCCAGTGGCTCCCTTGGCTGGTGGACTCCTCTCACTGTATGCCTCTGACCTCTGTTTCTTGCATAAATGCCTTTTCTGGTTCTGCAATTTCTTTGGGGTACTTTTCCTGCTGGCTTCATGCTCCCATGTCAAGGTGGCATTTGCTAAAAGCAAGACAGTATCTGGGTCTTCTGGTTGGGTGATGTAAGATGGGGGGCTTTTATCTATGAGAATTTTCTAAGATTAAAGAGACAAAATTAACTGAGCAGATGTCATCCATTTGCAAGAATCATCCCAATGTATCTTCTAATGACCCCAAATCACAATTTTGGCTATTCTAACCCACCACATCCAGGAAAGAGGTTCTGAAATTATTCCCCCAGGAGAAGCTGCAGCAGAAATAGTCCACTAGCTCATGCTATCTGGGACAGTTGCCTCTTTAACCACAAGGCCTATGTGGGTCACCCACACTGGAGAATGCTGATCCCAGCCACATTTCACCCTTGTGCCCAAGACAGTCGGTCTTACCAGTCTTTGGGCAGTGGACTTCACTGCTTGGCACTAAATGCTTATGAAATCAAGGTCATATGCTCAGTCTCTGCTGTGTCCTCTTCCGAGGCCACTCAGCCCAGTTCAACAAAGCATTTGCTAAGCCCTAACCATGTGCCAGACTTTGGGGTAAACAGCAGAAATGCAAATATAAATAAGACACAGTTCCTGTCCTTGAAGAGATTACAGTCTGGAGGGAGATGAGAACATGCACGGATCGTTTCTGCAAAATGTGATGAGGACAAAGCACTGTGACTGCCAGAGAAGGGACACTTGGCTCTCATTCTCGAGGTCCATGCACTTGGTGCTAGAGCTGGGTCTGTACAGGTGTTGTACAGGCAGAGATGAGAAAAGGGAAAGAGAATGACAGCATTCTACCTGAAGGCCCAGCATGGACAAAGGCAAGGAGCATGCAAAGCCATGGTTTGTTGGGGTGGTAGCATGAAACAAGCAATTCAGGATTACTGAGGCACAGAGCTCAAGTTGGGAAGGGAAGGGGACACAAAACTGAGAACCCACAGCTGGAGAGCCTGGAGGGGACAAGGGTTCAAGGATTTTGAGCAGCTGAGAATAAGTATTGGTAATCATACCAATATTTTGACAGCTCTCTTGGGGTTGAGTGCTATACGGACTTGAGAAGAATGTTAGAAAAAGAAAGGTTAGTTCATAAATCACTGCGCTAATCAGATGAGAGATAATGGAAGCCTCAACTGAAGGCAATGGCAGTAGGGACAGAGCGAAGGTTGAGGAGTCAAGAAATGCCATCCTTTATCTAGTCTAAGGAGCACCTTTACTTTTTTATCTGATATCATAATACATGCAATTAATGTGATGGTGTCCTTATGTTTGTTCAAAGACTGATAACTCAACAGTGTACCTTCCAATCCAATCTTACAATGGCACCCCTTAAAATGGAGAGAATACCATAATCAGGAGTTGACTTAACAGGGTTCTTGACTGGTTGGATGTGTATGGTAAGGGAAAAGAGGAGTGCATGAATCAGGATGCTTACGATGACTTCTGGATTTCTGACTCGGGTGAGTAAGATCATTCAATCAATTCATAGATGTTTGAACAAGCTTTCGTGTTGACACAAATGCCCTTCTTCCCTTTCCTCTCCTCAGTTGAACTTTCAAACCACTTTATTTGCCCTTCTCAAATGTCAATTATATCCTTATCATGTATAGAAATTCTTAGAGTGCCTGGGTCCCACACTGGAACAGAGGCTCTTGAGGATAAAGCCTCTCTCTTCCTTATATTTGCATTTCCCATGTCTTATATATAGGAGGCACAAAGTAAATCTTTGATGAGTGAATAAATGAATGAATAAAGGGACTAAATGAGTGCATAAATGTAGGGACCCCAACATCCTCTTCATCACTTCCATCACCATGCCCATTAAAGAACAAACTAGGTAAAGTGGGGATGACTCAGAACAAAACCAACCTCACTTGTGGAACACTTAGGATGTATAGATTGTTTAGGAAAAAGAGGATCAGGAACATCTTCTTCATGTACAGAGATTATCTCGTCATTCCTACAGACAACCTATAAAACTCTGCCTGCTCTGTCCTTCATACACATTTATTCATCTAACTCTGAATGGATGCCCTCCTCCCAATGTCAACTCAACAAGCGACCCAGCTCTCCAGCAGCTTGGTACAGCCTCCACATATCTGAGCATTTTCCCACCCCAAAATGAGATCTCTCTTCCCTACTCACCCAGGGTTAGTTATACCTTCATTCTCCTTAGAGAGACATTCGCTTCAGCCATTGCTTTGATGGAGAAGGGCAAGATTGCAATGGAAAACTTCATTACATTAAACATGGCAATCACACTAAATGCCTGAAGAACAAAAGAGAAGTATGAGGGTTTAGAAGGAGAAGTCACGTTGGCTCTAAACCGTTATACACATGGGGTTTAAACTTGCTGAGATGAGAAATGGTGGCATCGTTGGAATGTGCAGAGGAACAATCTTTTCATTTCATGGCTCAGAAACCATCGGTTGGCCAGCTGGGGACAGCAGCATCTTAAATCTATTTTGCTTTGGGATTTTCACCAAAATGGTGGCAAGTATATCCCCTTGTCTCTGTTGATACAGAAGGGAAAAGGTCTGAGGCAGGCCACTAACAGAATACATTTGGCAATCTCCATCCACACTGCATCCTCATTTGAATCTAGACTATTCACTCGAAGCCCATGCAGACTGTCCTAAAGCACCCCCTGCTCTCAGTTCTTCAGAGGCATCTGACCCTTTAGAGTTAGACTACACCACACCACAGCCTCAGGCATGCAGCCGGAGGCTCCCTGGAGGGACCTGCTTGCCCCTGGGGGAAGCTGGAGGGTGACCTCACTCTCCTGCTCCCAGGACCTGGCCTCCATGCCCTGCCTCCCCATTCACCACACAAGGCCAGATTTGAGAGCCTTTGGTCAACTGTGGTTCCCCCTCACCCTTCCCTCCAAAAAATCACCTCTGTTCATGGGGCCTTCCTTGCTGTGCCCTGCATAGTGGGTGGTTAATATTCTACAGCCTCAATGAAAACAAGCCTTCTCCCTTCGGTTGGTGCCCCGGGGGTACATGATTTCATCTCTCCAATTTCATCTTCTCATCTGTCCAAATTGTAATTAGCAGCCGCTCCCTAGCTACCCATTTAAGAAATTAATAATACAACTTTCTTCATCAAATCCTGAGTGATCCTGCCTGCTGTTAAATGGGCCCCATGGACACGGCCCCAGGCTTCAACTAATCCTAGTCCCTTCATTAAAAGGATAATGAAAGATGCTTCTATCACATCTGGTCCTAAATACATCCTCAAAGGGAACTCAGTTCTTCCAGGTCCCAAAGCACCACCTTGGCTCAGGAAGCCCAGGCCTGGCTGACAGAGCGCATGGGCAGCCTGATGTGACTGAATACCCTGGGGCTGACCAACTCCTGACATGACCCTAGCAGAGAAGCGACTGCAATCAGTTCTGAATCCAAAGGACCCAGAGCTTTGCAAATTTGGTTTTGGTCTAGATTCCCTCTAAACTATCATGTTGGAAAATATGAACTACATGCTCTCAATTTGATTTCAAGTTGATTTGCTTGATATGTTGCTGGAGGAAAAAAATAGTTTTCTTTTTGGTCTGGGATCACAGAGAGCCACAATAATTGGGCAGCGTTACATCCAGCCTTGGTGTATCCTTGCCATTCAATCTGGCTTTGGGCTCACAGCTGGGCTGAAGGCCCTAAAGTGTGTCAGAATAAACTGTGCATGAGTGATTGCCTGCTGAAGAACCAGAGAAAATAAAAGCAACTCACCAAGAAACACAGGGCAGTAATGGGATTAAACACAGGGCAGTCATGGGCCCCACAAAGGATGGCTCAGCAAGACCATTCTGGCTTTGCAAACGTCACCTCTTTCCTCCCCCGTGAGGTCCCTGATTTTAGGTGCAATTCTTCCTCTATGAACTTGCTTATTTCCTTCTCTCTCTCTCTCTCATTTTTTTGTTGCCTTTGTTGGCTTTCCTCCAATTACTTGGTTTAATATTTAGTTGGTTTTTTCTTTATTTAAGCCAGGAATCATTTTCCCTCTAGCTTAGCATTTCGTTATCTTTGGATGTCCAGGCCCCTTGTAAAGAACTTGAACATCTCACATTCATCCCAGTTCTCCCTCTAAGGCTTTCAATCCTCATTTGCCTAGCCCAGATGAGAATCAGGCTAAGAAGAATAGCTGACACTTGTATAGGACCTAAGAGCCTGAGATGGTTCTACATGCTTTACACAAAATAACTGATTCAGTCCTCACAACAGTGCTGATTGTGGCTATTATCGTCCCATTTGCAGATTACAAAACCGAGGCCAGAGAGGCTCAATGATTTGCTATAAGTCATAGCTACTAAGTAGCAGAGTCTGGATTTAAACAAGGCAGACTGGGCTCCTAAGCCCAGACTTTGACCCCAACACCACTACTTCTCTTAATACCTATACCTCCTCCCTCCGAGAAAATTTTCTCAAACTCTCCTTCTTGTAGTGTAAGTAGATAAAACAGCCAACTGCTTGTTTGGTTTCCATTTTTTTTTCCACACTTAAAATTGCATTCCAACATTAACTATGACCCCTGCCCAGCCATGGACGTGATTAAGAACCGCTGCCAGGCTCTCCCGGGCCCCTTGTCAGCCCAAGCATTTGTTTTTAAAAGTTGGAGTTGGCCCGGCACTGTGGCTCACGCCTGTAATTCCAGCACTTTAGAAGGCCAAGATAGGTGGACTACCTGAGGTCGGGAGTTCAAGACCAGCCTGGCCAACATGGTGAAACCCCGGTCTCTACTAAAAATACAAAAATTAGCCAGGTGTGGTGGTAGCAGGCACCTGTAATCCCAGCTACTCAGGAGGCTGTGGCAGAAGAATTGCTTGAACCCAGGAGGCAGAGGTTGCAGTCAGCCGCCATCACGCCACTGCACTCCAGCCTGGGTGACTGAGTGAGACCCTGTCTCAGAAAAAAAAAAAAAAAAAGTTGGAGTTGAAGTCACATCCTGTGGCCTGCCATGATTGGATGTTCCTAATGCCAGTATTGAGCGACGGTAGGAAGGGCTTCCCACCTGGGACTTGCCGGGGTCAGGTTGTGAAAGAGCCTCGATCTGGAGCCAGCTCTTACCACGGGTGCGGTGAGTTTGCGTCTCAGGAGGATGTGGCAGGATAATGTCAGCACGATGGCTATGGTGGACACGATGGGGGCCAGGGCAGAGTTTCCACTTTGGACAAATCCAGCTTTTTCCAGTAATTTTCTTTCCCTCCTTCTTATATCTGCAAAATAGAACACAGTCCAAGGTGGTCTCATTTTGCATGTCGAACACTAGCATTATGAAATGTATTAGCCCTACTTGGTCCTCTTCCAGATGGGCGCTCATGAGTCCTGTTGTGAAGTTTAAATGAGAGGAACCACAGAAAGCCCCGGGCACAAACCCAGCAGGTACTCACAGCTCGGTACCTGTCAGCTGCCGTAAGTGGATGGTGTCCAACTTCCCTTCCAGCCCTGACACTCTGTGTGTCAGAAGCCATAAACTCAGATGCTTAGAAGGGCCAGGCAAGTACCATTAATGAAGGAAGTGGGGCCAGAGAGGAGGGAAGACCAGAGCGGGGCTCTGCAGCGCAGCAGAATGGAGAGGAGAATCAAAGGGGCAGCCTCTTCTCAGTGCAGGGGAGGCTGGTGCTACCATGAAATGCAGCAGGGACCTCTCCTAGGAGCCTGCTCCCCACCAACTGCAAGTATGGAAACAAAGGAAAATCTTGAGTTCCTTCAAGGGAAATTCTAGGCACCCAGCTAACCCCTAGAAGTAAATGAGTAACTTGATAAGCAAGAAGGTAACAATAGCCTGAAACAACAGCCAAGGAAGTTAGAGTCACAAGAATGTTTGGTTCCCTATAGAAACTAAAGGTTATATCTTAACATATGTCCTTGAGTTGTATTTCAGAAAACCTGGACCCCCATCCAATTGATCCATTGGCACACAGACCTCAGAGAAGGGGGAGCCGAGGACAGAGCTCTGACTGCAGTTTTTGTTCTAAATTTCTTCCTGAGGGGCCTGGAGGAGGTCACGCCCAAAGGCCGGATCCAACACTCTTTTCTGCTAACTCCAAATCTTTAGACAAAGCTTCCTTTCCTTAACCAGGTGCAAATCAGAAAATCTTTCAATCTACCCATGATTTATAAGCTGCCTACTTTAAGATATCCCACCCTCAGCCAGGAGTGGTGGCTCACGCCTGTAATCCCAGCACTTTGGGAGGCCGAGGCAGGTGGATCACGAGGTCAGGAGATCAAGACCATCCTGGCTAACATGGTGAAACCCCGTCTCTACTAAATATACAAAAAATTAGCCAGGGGTGGTGACGGGAGCCTGTAATCCCAGCTACTCGGGAGGCTGAGGCAGGAGAATGGCATGAACCCAGGAGGCGGAGCTTGCAGTGAGTCGAGATTGCACCACTGCACTCCAGCCTGGGCGAGAGCGAGACTCTGTCTCAAAAAAAAAAAAAAAAAAGATACCCCACCCTTTCAGGCCAAACCAATACATAATCTCCATGTATGAGTTACGATTTTGCCTGTAACTTCGCTTTCCTGAAATTTAGCCCTGCCTTTAAAAACCCTTGCTTGCAAGCCACTGGGGAGGCCAGGTCTTAAGCATGAGCCGCCTGATTCTCCTTGCTTGGCACGCAGCAAATAAAGGCCCTCCTTTCTCCTGCGGCAAAACCTCAGCGTGGATATTTGGCCTTACTGTGCCAGATAAGCAGGCCACAGTTCGGTCCAGTAACAACCAGATCGTCAACCATTTCAAAGTCTGAGGTCCAGATTTTTATTTATTTATTTATATTTGAGACAGAGTATTGCTTCGTCACCCAGGCTGGAGTGCAATGACATGATAGAGCTCACTGCAGCCTTGACCTCTCAGGCTCAAGCGATCCTTCCACCTCAGCCTCCTGAGTACCTGAGACCACAGGCACATACCACCACACCCAGATAATTTTTTTTTTTAATTTTTTGCAGAGTTGGGATCTCCCTATGTTGCCCAGGCTAGTCTCGAATATTTAGGCTCAAGCAATCCTCCCATGAGGTCCAGATTTTTCTGAGACATCTCCCTATTTTTAAATGTTGGGAACTAAATGAAAAAACATTTTTAAATACTATACTGTATGGGGAGAAATAAAACACATGTGCTGGCCTGAAGGCACCTGCCTGGTGTCCCAAGAATAGACACAAAAACTCAAGAGTATTCTCCCCTTCCTAAGTCCAGAACATGCCCACGGCTCTGCAAAGCTCACAAATTACATTCAAGCCTCCTTCACCTCCTGTTTTTTGTCCTCAACCCCAATTCCAGCCTCCTCTGCAAAAGCCCTTTCATATCCACACAGGACAGCTCCAGATGTTCTAATGGCGTGATCACTACATGCCAGGTGCTCTGCTCAACACTTCACAGGTGCTTTCTCATAAGATCGTCCTCACCACTGCATGATGAGAGAGAGTCTGTTATTTTATGCCTTTTTGACAGGAGAGCAAACTGTCTTCGAAGGTTTGCTTGCGCAGGTTTGCTTCACTGAAAACTTGCCTTTTCAGTGATCAGGGCAGAATCGAAGCCCACTTCTCCTGGGATCCAAGCTCTGCTATCCAGGTGCCCTTCCCCTAAAGAACATCCAGCACCCCCTAGTCCCCAAGAGCACCCTCTTATCTCCACCTCCAGGCCTCTGCTCCTCCCTAAGTGGGCTTCCCCAGTTCTCTGTGCGTCCCAATCCTTCCTATCCCTTTGGCCTACCTGAAAGCCACTTCTGCAGGGAAGCCATTCCCAGTCTCCCCAACCCAGTGTGCTCCCCCATGGAGCATCTCTGTTTCTCTTGTGGCACTTCCTCCATCTTCCCCCATAGAATAACGTGAATTCATGTGTTCACTCACTTAAGATATTTGAACCTGATGTCTACTACATGCCAGGTGCTGCACCTGTGTTTGGAGAATAGAGGAGTGAACAGGGTCTCGGCCCTCTTCCAGTGGGATAGATAGACAAGAAAGAAATAAACAATTAAATAATTACAAATTGTGTTGAGTGATCTGAAAGAAATGAGCAGGATGAAGTGATTGAGAGGTAGGGCATGGACATGCTTGGAACTGCAGCCCAGAAGTCCTCTCTGGACATTGAGAAGAGACCTAAAGTCAAGACAAAGTTACTGTAAACATCCAGCAGGAGCGCACTCCAGGCAAAGGAAACAGCAATTGCAAGGATCCCGAGGCATGAACGAGTGTGGCGTGTGGTTCTAGAAACAAACTAAGGCAGACACCGCTAGAGCTGAGTTTCCTAAGGTTACAGTAAAGTGTGATGATGATGTCAGAGAGGTCACCAAGGGCCAGATCATGTCTGACCTAACAGGCCATATGAAAGAATTTGGATTTCCTTCCAAAGACCTAACTTTGAATAATCTTAAGTGTGATAAGAAGCCACTATTTTCCAACAGGGGAGGAACAGGATCTGACTGACATCTTTTAAAGGTCACTTTGACTGCTGAGTGCACAATGGATTGCAGGAGGGAGGGGGAAGGCAGGAGCAGTGCCTAGATGTCTTGCATAGTCCAGGAGAGAGAGGATATTGGCTTGGACTGGGTGGGAGTGGAATGGAGACGAGCAGATGGCTTCCGGATATACTCTGAAGGTAGAGCCAACAAACTCGTGGCTATTTTTGAGCTAAGTTATCTTATCCTCCCTTACTCATAAAAGCAGGAAACTTTTCCATTTCATTTGTGTAGCTCCCATGGCCTTGCACAAAGTAGGAACTTGATATATATTTATTGAACTAAATCGACAAGTTAAATTAAGTTGAAATCACATGGAATCAAATTTAATCAAATCAAATTAAATTGCACTGAAGTGAACTCAGAGTGTGAGGATGTGTTTCTGGGTTTTCAAAGAGGGTCCCCTAGTGCTGCTGGGGTCCCAACCTGGGGCACTTCCTTTGGCCAGCTCAGAAGCAGGTTCTCTACAGCCACTCCCTAGAGGGCAGATACACAGCTTTGGCCCAATTCCATGCTGGTGCAAAAGTGTAATTGTCCATCCAGACAGTCAATTGTAACAGTGGTTCAGATCATTAACTGGTGAACCACCTGAGTCTATGTCAGCAATTATGTAAATGTCCCTGCAATTAGATTTGCATTTATATTTGATCAAAATAGTTTCTATATCAGCTTTAAAAAAAGTAAAACTACATATGCATCTCCTCGTGTCTGCCCAAGGAGTGTTGAGTCAGTGGACCATCCGAACACAAGGACGCTGCTGCAGGCAAAGAGGTCTGTGTAACCCTGGATGTGTGAGTGTATGTGTGTGTAGATGTCTTCTAAGTTAAGTAAATAGCTGGAGACAGCTTTTTTCCTGCTCACAATGTTTTTAGTGGATTATTTTTATAAAAAGTAACTCGCCAGGACCAGGATCCACATGCCCCAGGAAAGAGAAACCATATGTCACTCACCCCTGGGTTCACCAGAACAGATGCCTGGCTCTATTATTAAATCTCCATAATCCTTTGAAAAATTCTTTGACCTGCAGAGCAGCTCAGAGGGTCCCCTCAGCCTCCTTCTGGAATGCCTGGCCCTGGGAACCGTAAGAACCCCTTAGAAGAGCATATTCTACAAGGTAAGTGGTTCTTTAAGCAGCTACTCTTGTCCTACCTTGGATAGTGTTGGTAAAAGATTTCTCCCAGGCATACATTTTGATCAGCCTGATGCAGGTCAGAAACTCATTCATTGTCTGAACTCGCTTGTCTGTCACCAAAATTGCTGACCTTCGGAAAGCTGAATTGAGCTTGGCCATAAACATCTGAAATCAAGGTACAAACACTGTTTTCAGAGAGAAGTGCTGAGTTGCAGCTGGCCTAAAAATCCAGAAATGGGAGTGTAAGTGCCAGAAAAAGTTCTAAAGGAAGTTGGCTTCAGATTCTCAGCCAAGTTCTTCCCTTGAGTTGTGGCTGTTGATGCTGTCTGAGGAACACCATGGGGGGTCAGGCAGGTCATGTAAAGGCATGAATTGCCAGGACTCAAAGAGAGTGCTGGGGGCTTTGACAAATTGAAGAGGCATTCCACTTCCTAGAGCATTCAAATTCAAGCTTTTTTTAAAAACCTTCACTGTGGCCAGGTGCAGTGGCTTGCACCTGTAATCCCAGCTGCTCAGGAGGCTGAGGCAGGAGGATGGGTTGAGCCCAGGAGTTCAAGACCAGCCTGGACAACATAGCGAGACCCTATCTCTACAATTTTTTTTTTTAACTAGCCAGGTACAGTGGCATGCACCTGTAGTCCCAGCTAGTTGGCAGGACTGAGACAGGAAGACTGCTTGAGCCCAGGAGGTTGAGGCTGCAGTGAGCTACGATTGCACCACTGCACTCCAGCCTGGGTGACAGAGCGAGACCCTGTCACTAAACAAAAACAAAACAAAAAACAAAACAAACAAACAAACAAAAAACCACTACTCTGTGCCAAAGGAAGTAAATCTGTGAGTACAAAATGGGGCACAGGCTTCATGCGCCAGAAATGCAGCCTTCCACCCAATTCAGTGAAAGTGTGTGAAATGCAAATACAAAGCAGTTAGAAGCGCAAAAGCCTGCCGTTACCTGGACGGGTATGAATATGACATACACTGATATCCCGATGAGAGCTGTGGGCCCCAGAATGAAAAAGGCGTACGCCGCACAAAAGACCATTAGGATCGGGATGGTGGCTGGCAAAGGACAAAACAAGGCAGCTTCAAACAAAGAATAGCTATCACTTGACAGTATATTGAGCACCTGGAAAGAAAAGCGCAAAGGTTCAGGCTTTGGAAGAGTCAGTCAAACATGTCTTTAAATGAAGGCTTTCAGATTGGCCGAGGGGATCTAGGGAGAAAGGAGAAAAACTTCTCTAAAGCAGGAAGGGGTCACCGGGGACCAATATGATGAGTTTTATGGGTTCTGGTACGACTTTGGAGAGGCTGGTCTTTTAGGGCTGATCATCTCAATGCAGAAAGACAAAGTGTAATGTTACCATCTGGGAGCATGCTGGAGGGACTGCTAGCTGCCTACCCAGTCTCCCCCACCCCCTTCTCCCTCAGCCTTCCTTGTGAAGACAACTCCGCTTCTTTCGGGAAGAGATGGGCCCAGAAAAGACTACATTTCCCAGCCTCCTTTGTGGAAGGAGTGTGGCCATGTGTCCATGTTGAGGGCAATGTGATGTAAGCCAAAGTGTAGAATGGGACATTTGTGATGAATTCTTAAAGGGAGCCAACTCAACCTGGAAGGCACCCCTTCTTCTGTTCCTCTTTCTCCTACCACCTGTCTGAAGCGTGGCTGGGATGGCTGGATCTCTAGCATCTACTTTTGAACCATGATGACAGCCATGTGCAAAGACAGTGATAAAGAAAAGCAGAAAGATCTGGAAGCTCCTGTGCCAACCCTGCATTATTCCCTTCTAGATTCCTTTTACATAGAGTGAAATTAATTACTTTTTTTTAATTCACTGTTATTTTGGGTTTGCTATATGCAACTGAATCTAATCATAATTAAATGCTTTGAGCTTGCTAAAAGAGCAACTAGTAAGAAAGAAGCAAGTCTTTTATCTTACCCCACACCACCTGGGGTTCCCTTGATTCAAGAGTTTTTGTTGTTGTTGTTGTGTGTGTGTGTTTTGTTTGTTTGTTTTTTGTTTTTGATAAGTGTTAAGGATTAAGAGCTTAAGAAAATGTCAACTCTGAAGTCCAATAGGCATGGTCTTCATTGTGGTTTTGGCACCCCCTATGCTACACAATTGGGATTATTGGAGCCATCAGTTCATCCATTTTATTAAATGCCTATAGTGTGCTCAGTACTCCTCCACAGTCCCCACTGACCATCAAAGCGATTGGATTAAGTCTCCCTGAGCCCTGTTCCCGCTGGAACTAGGAAGTCTCTCCAAATTCTCCAGCCTGAACTGAGCCCTCCCTCTCTGAACTCCTCTGGTGTTCTGTGTCTCCACCACCTCACTTAGCCAGGAGATGGGACATGATGGGCAGGTCATAGACAAGCAAAAGGAAGGCAGGTGCTCCACTCAGGATCCACATCTCACATGCACTCAAACCACTCAGGGCCCATTTTCCAACATTAAACTCCTCTGAGCCAGCTTACCTCGCCAACAGAGATGTGGGTCAATGTCTTGAAGGACACTAGGTTTTCAAAAACCAAGGTGGAGAGCGCCACCTTCAACCGGATGGCCGTGCGGTAGTTGATGGCCCAGGCAAGGGCCCAAAAGAAGACTTTGGTAAACTCGGTGGCAAAAAGGGCTATGCACAGTCCAATGCCAACCCAGACTTTCCCAGAGGTCCTCTCAGTCTGCTGGAGGATTTGGTGAATGAGAACTGTCTGTAAAACAGCATGGTGGGGAGAAGAGAGGGCCACTGAGGGCTGAGGCTGGCATAGGAGGCCTCAGATCATGCCAGCAAGCTGACTTTAAGAGGCAAACTTTTTAATTAATTTTAGTGGCTGCTGCTGTGCTTGACAAGGATTCACTTTATGAAAATTCGCCCCCAAGGAGCGCAAAGATAATGACAATGCACTAAACCCACCAGCTCGTAGAGAAAGTAACTAATGACATTCTTTGCTAGGCTGGGGACCTAGCAGATGAGGAGGAAGGGCTGCCGCACTCACCGGCCCTATGGCTGCCATGATGATGCACAGGATGTTGGCCACGATGTCCATCAACACGCGTGTCCTCTGGAATTTCCACACCACGTGGCTCAGAGAGGCCTTCTCAGGACCCACCCTTGCTACCTCTTCATCCCAAAGGACTCGAAATCTGTGATGAAAAAACAGAAGCATAAAATGGATTGGCACTTCTATGTGCTGTTTGAAGCTACGCTGTTGGGCATGCTCTTGCAAGGGTGCTCGGCAGAGCCCCCCTCCCTGGCAGTGGTGCCTTCCAGCACTGGCTCAGCTTTCTGCTCTTCCTGAGCAGGTGGGATTTGGGAAGGGCAGGGGGCAATGCCTAGATACAAGCTGGTATGCCTGTGACATCTGGGTCCTTGCCAGGCCTTCTTTTCCTCTGCCTACCACCCATCTCTGCCACAGTGTCAGCTCTTATAAGAAGGCAGAGGCAACAAAGAGGCCAAGAGAAAAATCTCAGTGCAGCGAAGACATTGTTCATTTCAAAGATCTGGAAGAAGACCAGAGAGACAGGAGTGTGGTGCACAAAGAGGAGGGGCTGATGGAACAGTGGGAAGCAAGGCAGGAACTTTTGGGACCTTGGGGGACTTCACAAGACCTAGGGAAAACCTCAAGGGCCTTCAGGAGTTTAGGTTTCACTCCAAGTGCAAAGGAAGCCATTACAGTTTTTTAAGCCGATGTGACAAGATCATTTTGCACATCTAAAAGATCAATTGGCTGCTATGAAAGTGATGGATGATGGTGTGAGACCACAGCAGGAGATTGTCAGCCTCCAGGTGAGAGGTGGCAGTGGAATTAAAGAAAAGTGGACAGAGAGCGACAACAGGGCTTACTGATGAATAAGATGTGGGAGGAAAGGAGAAAGAGGTTCAAGGACCGACCCCAGTTTTCGGGCTTGGCCAACTGTGTGAATATTTACAGAGACGGAGATGGGAAAAAGCAGAAGAGGAGAGGAATAGTGCTAAGTCTGGGGCCCTGGGTCAAGAATAGGTCCAGCTTTAGATAGAAGATGCTCGTGAGGCATCCAAGTGTAGCCATCCCATTGGATGCTGGCCATGCAGTTTCAGAGTCTGGAAGTGGGCTGTGGCCTGGAGATAGCCACGGACATGTTATTGGGGGAGTCAGCATGTGTTTGGTGTTTAAGCCTTTGGATTGGAGGGGTTCACTTAGGAGCATAACACAGAATGGCAAAGGCAAGGATCTAAGTGGACATTGGGTAGATGGGAGGAAACATTAAGAACAGATGGAGAAGTACTGGCCAGAGAGAACGGCAGAGAGGTGGTCCAGTGCCTTGCCCTCAGTGCTCCCTGGCAACTTTCTCCAGGAGGTAGATTTTGGAATGTACCACTAGCTGAGATTTCTTCGGGGCACAGATGAGGAGAAGCACAATTCTAGAAGCAATTAGGAGGCCATGACTAACACTCCCAGGCCTTCCCCATTCTTTATATTATACATTTAATCAGAACCACAGAGTTCAATGCAGCTGCTGGAAAAAATGAAGTTGATGTCTTCATCCTAACATGGAAAAGTCTTTATAAACTCTTAACTGAAAAGAGCAACATGATCAACAGTTATGTAGTATGCTTCATTTTTTGTTTAGATTAAAATAAAACATGATCTGTGAGTGGGGGGTAAGAAGAGGTACTGATCTGAAGAAGACGGTAGCCCAGGGTGTGTTTAATCAGAGTAGGAAAATTCTGGACAGAGCCACAGTGAGATTTTCATAGTGCTTGCCTCCAGGGAGTAGAGCAGGAGCATGGGAGAGATCCTTCCACGGCTTAAACTTCTGCTGCTTTCACATTTTTATAATGAATATGAATTAGGTTGGACAAATGACATTTACATTTTTACAAGTTAAAATTGTCAAATATTGGCAGTTTCATTAGGATCAACCTAAATATATTTTGTAATATAAAAGTCCAATAATGATGTTTAAAGTAAAACAAAACCTGATGCTGCATGCTGGTCAAGTGGGGTCTGACCAGCACAGGGCAAAGTGAGATTCCAGCCACCTCTGTCCTGATGCGGTGCCCCTGCAAACCAGCTGGAGCTCAGCCAGAAGGGTCCTGAGCCTCAGGCCATAGCTCTTCAATGAGTCCTCTCTCCCCGCTAATGCTGCCTAATTCCCACCTCCCCACAGCTTGGGCCAAGAAGTTCATGCAGTCCAGCCCAAATCTCAGAGAATGGTTACCAACACCCATTGGTGTCATTTTCCATGTTGGGGAAATTGTGAAGCACACAACTAGGGAGCACACAAAAGAGTTTATGGGACCCCTTCCTTAGAGTGGGCTTCTCTCCTGAGGTGACTGATACAGTTTGGCTGTGTCCCCACCCAAATCTCATCTTGAATTTTAGCTCCCATAATCTCCACCTGTCGTGGGAGGGACCTGGTGGGAGGTAACTGAATCATGGGGGTGGATTTTCCTGTGCTGTTCTTGTGATAGTAAGTCTCATGAGATCTGATGGTTTTACAAAGGACAATTCCTCTGCACACACTGTCTTGCCTGCCACCATGTAAGACGTGCCTTTACTCCTCCTTCACCTTCCACCATGATTGTGAGGCCTCCCCAGTCACATGGAACTGTGAGTCCATTAAACCTCTTTTTCTTTATAAATTACCCACTCTCAGGTATTTCCTCATAGCAGTATGAAAATGGACTAATACAGTGACCCAAGCAAATCCTGGTACCTTTTGGCATTGGTGTCAGATGAGTCATATGTCGACAATGGGGGCAGGGTGTCTACGGTCAGCCTTTGCCGGTAGCCTTTCACCATCACCGGCGTGAGCCAGGAAAATGTGGCGAAGGAGAGTAGCCCGGCATCATCCACCGGGTTGGGTGCTAACCTGCAGACAAACAAGACACTCAGCGTTCCAGGCACTGGGGTCATTGCCCCAACTCTCTCTCTGGATTGAACTTGTAACTACAGCAACAACCACAGCTGCACTCAGAATCTGTGACTTGCATTCATTATGTTTATTAGCCCTTTGAGCAGTGATGTGCTGGGGCCAGCTGGTGAGAGCCAATTGTTAAATTTTCAGGAATTTTGCAAGTTAGTTGTTAAACACAGTCAATATTCAAAATTAAATTACCTAAGTTTTAATAAATTGTCTTAAAGACAAAGGTAATAATACTCAAAACCCATCACTTCCTTTTTTTGTTCTTCTTCCTTCATTTCTTCTTCCCCTCCTCTTCCTTCTTTTTTCCCCTCCCATTCCTCCTTCTCTTCCTTTTTTTCCTCCTTCTCCTCTTCTTCCTCCTCCTCCTGCCCAGAATTGCAGGGCATTAATACCCCCAGGGGCAAAACTTCACTAAGGTAGTATAGAAGTCCACCTCACATCCTCTGGGTGGAAAACTGGACACTTTCTAGAAGGACCTAGTAGGATCCAGGCCCCTCTGCTCACAGCAGTGACGCTGAGGCCACACCTCACTTTGCCTTTTCCTCCTTCCCTACATCACTCTCCCTAAATCTTTCTTCTTGCTGCTTGGAATCACTTCTCAAATAAGCTATTTGCCTCCAGGTTCTTGACTGAGGCCCTGCTTTTGGGAGAATTCAAGCTAAAATCATGTGAATAAGGTACTACGAGCTCAGCACATAGTAAAAATTCCCTAAAAGGTGACTTTCATGATACAGTCATGCATTACTTCATATATTCCTCACAACAACTCAGTAAGATGGGTGGCAGGGTCATATTATATGCCTATTTCATAGACAAAAACATCAAGGCACAGAGAGTTTAGAGTATTTGCCCAAGGTCTTACTGCTGGAAAGTGGTGAGATGGGAATTCAAACCCACTGCTTGTTGACTCCAGTGTCCTGTCATTCCCTTCAGCACCTCCCCACATTGCCTCTCCACAAAGCGATTATAAACTGGTTGAAAAAGTGGACAGTTAGAGATCTCCTGGGGCTAGGAATAATAGCCCACGTCCTCACCTTCCAACCTCCACCTCTCACCTTGGAGGGCTTAAATGTGTGTGTCCTTGGCCCAGACAGAGATGCTGGGAGAAGATAACGCAGTGTCCGCTTATTATAGAGTTGCCACTTGGCCTTCTGCTGCTCAGAGAACAAACCACAGGGCCTCGTTCCATGTAGAAAAGGCAGCATTTCATAATGTTATGGTTAGCATAATGCTAATAATATATATAATAATACAATATGCTGCAAGGTTGAGCATGTGAGCTCAGAAATCAGACTACCTGAGTTTCTATCCTGGATTTCAAAAATGACCCCGTTTTCTCTCCCCATCTGTTCCCAATTCCTTGGAATGTGACCTGGCAGCTCATTCCATCAAAAAGTCGAGTCTGTTTCCTCACACTTTGAATATAAGCTGGCTTGTGATCTGCTTTGGCCAATAGAATACAGTGAAAAAAGTGGTGTGCCAGTTGCAAACCTGAATCTCAAGAAGCCCTGCATGCTGTCACTCATTCCCTTGGAAGCCTGCCACATTACTGTGTGACCGAGCCTGGGCTAGCCTGCTGGAGGTTGAGCACACGCGGGGTCCAGTTGCCCCATTGCCCCAGCCAACAGCCGGCCCACCTCCAGCAGCACAGCCACCTTGCTGTACAGGAGTAAGCCTGGTCAAGACCAAATGAACCACCCAGCTGAGCTCAGCCCAAGTTGCTTTATTTTATGGGTCACCCATCAAACTGTAAGCTAAATGAGTGGCAATTGTTTTAAGCTGCTAAGTGTTGAGACAGTCTGTTACAAAGCAAAAGCTACCTGGTAAACCTTAGGCAAGTCACTTAACCTCTCTGTGCCTGTTTCCTCACCTATCAGATAAAGATAGTAACAGTACCTCCAGGGAGTTTGTGAGGAGTGAATGAGAAGATATTTGTAAAGCACTTGGACAGGTCTGGATCATGGAAAGCTCTCCTTAAACCTGAGCTACTGCCTCCTTTTCACCAAAGGACAGGAGGAGGCAAGGAAGTGAGTGACTGATAAATGAATGAACGTGTGCATGGGTGGACGGACAAAAGGACGAGCAGATAGAGCAGCAGATGGGTTGCAGGAGCAGTGCCCACTCTCCTGATGGACATTCCTGGAGGTCCTGCCCTGGCCCTCCCTTCTGTCCTTCTTCTGACTTACCTTGCACAGGGTCGCACTGGGATCATGGTCTTCAGGCTGGGGTCATATCTTTCTGCAAAGGATCTCCGCCGGCCTCGCTGGTCCAGATCTGAGATAAGGTAGGGTCCTTCACCCACCATCCTGATGGCAGCCTGGAGCCCTGGGCTTTTGGCCTGGGGACACTTTCACTCTATGGCAGAGAAATGGCAAAGGTTATTGAGAGGTGAGGATGTCTGATTGGGATCAGGCAGCCTCTACTTTACCCAGATCAGTTCCTTTGCTTTGACCCCTGAGAACTGTTTTCACCAATGAGCTTTCCACATTTGTAGGGGAGTGTGGCCAGAAGACCTGCTACGTCCCTTAATGCTACGCTGAGGCTTTCTTATTAGTAGGACCATTTAATTCCTCTTTTCTCATGTTGGGTTGGCCAAGAGCAGAAAACCCTATGGTGTGGTTTTGGTTGGGAGCCGGTCCAATGACCAAGGCTGAGTCCCAGCCCAGGGAAAGAGCCCCAAGAAAATGGGTTTTCTTAGTATTACTCAGAGTTAAGTTTGGCTGACACACACACACATGCACATGCACACATGCACACACATGCACACACACATCCACACAGATGCACACATGCACACACATCCACAAACATGCACACACACCGCCATGCGCATACACCCACACACACCCACGCACACACATGCACACACCCCTTCTTCTTTCAGATTCTCTCAGATCCCCAGGAGTTTTTGCATCCACATCCCCTCCATCCTGATACCCACTGGTCAGAGAACTTCAACAACACCACCCCTCAGGACCAGCCACATCTGGACAGGCCCACATTCCCCACACTTCTGTGACTGCTGCCCCAAATGAAAACCAACAACCCAGGTGGAGAGGACACTTTTTGCAATGTCTGTTCAGTCCCCAAGCCAGCCACCCCATCCTCCAGCCACCTAAATCCAATCCATAGAGCATGATCCCTGAAGGTTTCCCATGCCTAGTCTTAGTCCTTTCCTGAGGCCTCCCTCTATTCCTGCCCTAGGGTCCCATGACAGCCACTTCCCCATACCCTATAGATAAATTCTCCTTTTTTACCTAAGGTATGTTGAGTTGGTCTCTGCCACTTGCAAACAAAGGCCTTATTATTATATATAAACGGGGTCACATTCCCATGAGTTCTTTCTGGAAGTTTTCATAGCTAGAAGCAGTAGATAAACCAACTCCCATCAAGTTGTTAGTGGCTGATAAAACCATGGCATGGCAGAGCTGGAAGTGTCCTCAGATGCAATCTTTTACACATTTCTCATTATACAGAAGAGGAAACAAAGGCCCAGAGAGAGGAAGGACTTACTCAAGAGTATATAGAGAATGAGTAGCATCTATCTCATCTGGGGCACTCTGGATACAGGAAACTGATGTTCCCTCCCTCCTCCAATAACCCTACAATAACCCTTGCTTATATTATATAACAAGAGGCACTCCTCTGGAATAATATACGTACTTTTTACAACAGAATTTGAAAATCATAATGTCTTCATCTCAAAAAGATAAATCCCCCAACGTGGAAACTGAAGACTCGTAGTCAGATGGAGAAGCCCACATGTTTTAGAGCTAGTAGTTGATGAAAAGCTCTTTAATCATTGTTAATGAATTTAAAGTTTTTGTTGTTATTGTGGTTGTTGTGGAGACGGAGTCTCACTCTGTCGCCCAGGTGGGAATGCAGTGGTGCGATCTTGGCTAACTGCAACCTCTGCCTCCCGGGTTCAAGCAATTATCCAGCCTCAGCCTACTGAGTAGCCGGGACTAGAGGTGCACGCCACTGCGTCTGGCTAATTTTTGTATTTTTAGTAGAGACAGGGTTTTGCCATATTGGCCAGGTTGATATCGAACTCCTGACCTCAGGTAATCCACCTGTCTCAGCCTCCCAAAGTGCTGGGATTACAGGCGTGAGTCACCAAAAAAAAAAAAAAAATTGAGACAGGATCTCACTCTGTCGCCAGGCTGGAGTGCAGTGGCACCATCTCAGCTCATCATAACCTCTGCCTCCTGGGCTCAAGTGATCCTCCCTCCTCAGCTTCCCAAGTAGCAGGGACTACAGGCGTGCACCACCATGTCCAGCTAATTTTTGTATTTCTAGTAGAGACGAGGTCTTGCCATGTTGCCCAGGCTGGTCTCAAACTCCTGGGCTCAAGCAATCTGCCTGCTTCAGCCTCCCAAAAGTGCTGGGATTACAGGCATGAGCTACTGTGCCCAGTGCAGTTAATGAATATTAATGACATAAATATCATAGACCCAGCTGTAGATTCCTAATTCAATGAGAGTATTAGCAGCTACCAGAGACTCCCTAAACCTCTGGCCAAACTGCATACTCTACTCTCCACCTTCTATTTGTACCATTGAATACTGCACTCCAGCCATGTGGAATATCTTACTACTCCCTGGACAAACTGTTTATTCCTCCTGCTTTTTAGTTTTTGTATTTACTACTGGCACAACCTGGAACCATCTAGTATCCCTTTCTTCACTTGACCAATTTCTGCTCAGCCTTCAAGGCTCAGTTCAAACATTTCCTTTTCTAAGAAAACTTTCCTACATACTTTTTTATTTCCCCAAACAAACTGTGGGCTTCTTGTTTGTCTTGTTTGCAGCTATATTTCCAATACCTAGCATAGTCCCTGGTACATCGGAAATGTTTAATACGTATTTGTTGAATGAATGAATAATAGTAAGTATGAGAAACAACTAAGATGCAAATCCTTTCCCCAGAAAGTGAAAAATAAGCACACAATAACACACAGTAAAATATAAATTATTTTGAAATTAAGTATGGGATGATATAAAAATAACAAATAAAGTATAAATTATAACATTGTGTTAGCCCTAGAAAAAATACTTTTTAAAAAGGGTTAAAGCTAAGAAGTCAGTCAAGGAAATAAAATGAAACACTAAATAGTAGATTAACCAAAAAAAAAAAAAAAAAAAGGTAGGCAAGGAGGGACAGAAGAATAAAACACAAAAGGAATAAATAGAAGACAAATATTAATAGCAAGCCAATAGACTTAAACACAACCATATCAACAATTACATTAAATATAAATGGAGTAAATATTTCAATTAAAAAACAAAGATTGTCAGACTGAATATAAAAAGAAGATCCAATGATATGCTTCCTATGACAAGTTTATTTTAAATATAAACACACAAATAAGCTAAAAGTAGCAGGGTGAAAAAGGAATACCATGTTAACAGTACAAAGTACATACAGAGATATGTATTTATGATCTTATGATAGGGAATAATTTCTTAAAGCAATTTTCTTTAAAAAGTCCTAAAGCAAAATCTTGATAAATTCTAGTACACTGAAATTACAGAAGACATAATTTGTAAGAGAAGCAACATACTGGCACAGATGTGACCCATTTAACTGTAAAGAATTAGTATGCAGAATTTATAAAGAATTCTCAATACATTAATAACAGAAGGACAAACAATTAATTAGAGGAGCCAGCAAAAGGCAATTGACAGATGATCCAAATACACACAAAAATATGCTCAATCTCTGAGTATCAGGAAAATATGAATTACAACCACAATCACAATAACAGCCATTTCTCATTCTTCAAATAGACATTATTTAAAAGTCTAAAAATTGCAAGTCTTGGCATATGTATGGAGCACTGCAGCTCTTAAGCACCCCTGGTGGGAATATAAATTGTATAACTAATTTTTAAAGCAATTTGGCATTATCTGGTCAAGTTAAAGATTCTTACTAACATAGGCAGCAATTATCCTTCTTAATTATATATATGCCCTGGAGAAAGCCTGCCTGTTCAAGCAGTCAGATACAGAGTGGCCACTAATTTTGCAGGCTGTCTTCCACTCTCCTGCGAATTTCCTCCCTGCCCCTGCTAGCCTCTCTTCTCTCATACTGGTGTCAACACTGAAGTTCAATCTAGGAAAACACAAGGAAACAATCCACAGAGGATGGAATCTCATGCAAAAAATATTTTTGTGGCCCCTCTACAGGAATATTTATAGTGGCTCTGTTTATAATATCTTAAACATACATGAATAGGAAAATGGATGAACAAATTGTATAATATGAGTTTGGCATATTACTATTCAACAGTAAAACTGAATCAACTAAGTCCACATATCAAACTATGTGTATAGCTCATATGATAAATTGAGAGGAGGGGAAAAAGCTGCAGAAAAATACACACACTTTGATACCATTTATATAAAGTTTGCAAACTTGCAAAATATACAATACACAAATTCATGTGCTTGCAATATATAATAATATATTTTATTTAATAATGACTATATTTGTAGTAAGATTTCATTTCTCCAAGTACTTGAATCTCCTTATATTGGAGAATCGTATTAGAACTAAGATCTGGGCACTAGGTAAATTCTTTGTTATTAGGATGTTGTTGCTTCTAGGCCCTCTCAGCTGACAAAGCAAGGAAATATATGTATGCATATTAACTAGTGCATAAACACATATCTATAAATATTTCTATATGTAACCGTCCATATCTATTTTAAGCTAACAGTGAGTTCATACTGACTCTCCAACTTGAATCCATTACCATAATTATCACAATTCTAGCCTCCTCCCCTTGCTTATTTGTAAGCTCCAATTCTAAAACTGAGAAGCCTGGCTCTCACCATCTACCATGTGTTTACTTAACTGTGTACATGTATAGCAGTATCAGAATTGTCAACCCATAGCCCTGTGAGAAACAACTTAATCAACTAGAATCCAATGCTTCCAAGAGTATAGTACCATATGGAAAAGGAAAAAAAAATAGCAACTTTGCAGTGGAGAAGCCTGGCACACATCACCTCAGCCAGGTAATCAAGGTCAACATCAGCAGTGATAAGTCCTGTTGATAACGTGTACCCTTAATATGATGGGGCAAAAAGGGCACTTTACCTCTGAGGTCCTCCGCCCAAAACCTCATAACGCCGGTCTAATCATGAGAAAAACATCAGACGAATCCCAATTGAGGGACAGTCTACAAAATACCTGACTGGTACTCCTCAAAACTGTCAAGGTCATCAAAGACAAGGAGAGCCTGAGACAGTGACACAGCCAAGGGGCACCTAAGGAGACCTGACAACTACCTGTGAAGAGGCATCTTGGATGAGATCCTGGAACCAAAAAAGGATGTTAGATAAAAACAAAGGAAATCTAGTAAAGTATAAATATTAGTTAACAATGTAGCAATATTGTGCATTAATTACAACACATATACCATACTAACATGAGATGTTATTAATGTTATTAGCAAGGGTAGCTGGATATGGGGTACTGGAGAACTCTGTACTATCTTTGCAATTTTTTTTGTAAACCAAAACCATTCTTAAAAAATAAAGTTTATTTTTACAGAATGAATGGGAACACTCTACACCAAATTCAAGATGATGGTTACCTCTAGGGGTGGGGAAATAAGATCTGGAAGTTACTCAGGTTTCCTCCCACATTGCTGTAATATCTGATCATAAGTTTAAGAATCTAAAGCCGAAAGCAGGCTGTCTGTGCTCAGTGTCACTGAGTAATGCAGACCTGTGCTACAGAAGTTCTGAGAAAGTAGAGGTCAATACGGTCTGGGAGGAGGACGGGGTTAGGGAGGACTTTTGTGGGAGGTGAGACTAGAAGGATTTGAGAAAAAGCCCAAACAGAGATTTTTGCCTGAGCCTTGGTTTGTGTGGTGTGCCCGTGTCATGGGGCTCTATGCACCAGACTTAGGTAAGAGTCGAGACAAGGCTTGGCATGACCGTGAAAGACTTCAGATTCAAAACCTTCCTTGGATCCTTTTCCACAAGACTTCCATTTGTTTGTTTACCAGAAAGCCCTTCAGAATTTTCTGTACCCAAGGCACCCTCCACTCAGAACAGCCTCCTGCTGACCTCTCTGCATTTACTTCAGGAGACAGAGGGAGGCTATCCACTGCAGAGATGCTGGGGCTGAAAAGTTTAAAAATTGGCCTCTCATTCTTGCATAGGTCCTTGGCTCCCTGCATGAACAGAACCCAGCCCTGGTCTGGATCGGAAGCAAGAAAAGAAGCCTGAACCCAAGTACGGCCTTTGGGCACGGTCTTTCTACCACATGTCCACCCGCTCTGCAACTGCCGGGCACAGCGGACAGTCAAGCTGTGGTCCATGATCAACAACCTACGACCTCCCAGTGGCCGCTGGGCCACTGCCCTGCCCTTGGTAACCTGAGCAAAGCAGAGGTAGGAAAGCAGGTTAGCTGATGAAGAAGAAAGAGCTCACGGCAAGTTCTGAAACCCAGCTGAAATTATTTGGGGGAGAATCATAGAATCCAAGACATGGCAAACCAGCCTCTCAGGGAGAATTTCCCTCTGGCCCACCAGATCGGGCCTCAACATGCTTTGGTGACAGACCCCAGTCACTTCTTCTCAAGACGGCCCGCATGCAGTATTCCTGCAGGAAATGCATACCCTGCGTCTAGTCTTGAGAAAATACCAGATGAACCCAAAGGAGCTTTCTACAGAACAAGTGGCCTGTGCTCTTCAAAAACGTCAATTGCACGAAAGACAAAGAAAAGTGAGGAAACATCCCAGATTAAAGGATACAGAAGAGATGTGACAGCTAAAAGCAACACACAAGCCTGGATTGGATGCTTGACCAGAAGAAAATTAATTTGCTATAAAGAACATTATTGGCCCAAGTCAAAGGTCAAACTGTGCACTTGACTCTCAAGTCACCCGCCTGACCCTCTTCCAAGTGTACTTTACTTTCTTTCATCCCTGCTCTAAAACTTTTTAATAAATTTTCACTCCTGCTCTAAAAAAATAAAAATAAGTAAATGAAATGTGTAAAAGAACAGTATTGGAACATTGGAGAAATCTAAATATGGACTATAGATTCTGCAATAATATTTTATCAAAGATAAATTTCCTGATTTTGATATTAATGCTAAAGTAAATGTGGCAAAAATGTCACTGCAAATCTCAGTGAAGGGTAGTTGGGATCTCTTAGCATTATTTCTGTTACTTTTCTGTAAGTTTGAAATCATTACAAAATAAAAAGTTAAGCATTTTCTAAAGAAATAGCCCTAAAGGGGATGATTTTTTTTTCCTTCTGTGGAACTAAATGCAATTTTTCTGCACACTTCTCAGCTCTCAGGAGCCATGCATCCTCCACTGATGTCCTCTTCATGTGCCCTGTGATATTTGAGGACCATTGTCATTTCCGACAACTCACTCCCAGCCACCCAGTGGCTAGTCCTCTCTCATCCAGGCTAATCTTTCCCAGCCCCTTTGAGAAGGTGGAACTCATTGTCAGTGGAGAACCCTTACCTATAACTTCTATTTTTTGGTTCCCTTTTCTAATGGTAAGGGACCCTGGCAGCAAGATGTCATCAGCTTGTCTTAAGGGCTCCTGAGTCCCAGATGCCAAACACTGGAGGCCAGGCCTCCCTGGCCAGGTTTGAGTAATCAGCGCGCATAGGAAATTGGTGCTAGAAGGTAATTTCCTTGAGTGCTCCCCAGGGCATGTGAAGTTTTGATGATCTGAGGCGGCTTGGAAGCATTGCAGCTGGAATGGCACTTTGCTAAATTTGGCAGCCCTGGGGGGAAAAATGAGACTTTTTTTAAAATCAGGAAGCCTGCTTTGGCTAACGTCTCTATCCCCGTCTGTCACGCCATCCTCTGCCAGGAGTGAGGAGCTGCCTGGGGTGAGAAATCTGTTTGCTGGCAATCACAGGATGGGGTCTGAGGGGTACACAGCTGATGAGAGCTGGGAGGAGGCAGTGCCAACCGGGCCAGGGTCCCTGCAGCCATCATGGCTCTGTTCTTGGCATTGTGTTTTCCATGCAGAGCATCTGAGGGTTGGCAGGAGATGCCAAAAAGTCACTGGTGCACCCCTCTGCTAGCAGGCAGGGGGTTCCTAACCTAACCTCAACAGACTGGACAGGCAGAAGCAGGAAGGCCTCTGTTTAGAGCACAGGACACAAAGACCATGTACAACTTGCAGTTCCATTTTATATGGCCTGCATAGTTTAAACATTTTTTTCCAATTTGTGGAAAACATTTAAAAATGAGGAGATACCACATTAAAAAAAAAATAAGACTGGCTTCTGGCTTTCGTCAAATATCAAGAGCTCTGTATGTTCATGTGGTGACAATCCACTTACGTTGAGCACGGCAGCCCCTCCTGGGCAGGGTATACATGCTTTAGTTTGCCACAATCCCCACCACTCCTTACTGTCTCTGTGACTCTGAGATTTGGGGTCATGTAACATTTATTATTGCATTGGCACTGCTGTCTTCCTTATAGTGTTTCCTGAGGCCTTTTTCTCTATCCTTGTCTCTGCCCCAAGAGAGAACAAAAGATGTCTAGAAGTCATCTCAAGAAGAACCATTTTCCACACCTGCCCACTTTGCTCTGTTATATTTCATTTCTGCCCCTGTCTAGCCCAGAAAATTAACAACTTTATGTTTGAGAACTGGACTCTGGGTCTTCCTTGGTGCTCATGATGGGAGTTCCTCCATCAACCAAAAGCAGGCACACCTTTAGTCATAAAATTTTTCCCAGGTATGAGACTACAGCCCTACTTCTTTCTTAATAAATCCATTGTTAATTTAAAGCCACCAAAGTTATCAATATCTGATGGTCTCCCCCAACTCCCACAGCCCCTTCCTCCAGGGCCTGACTGGCCTCCAGCACAGAGGAGACACTGGGGAGCTCTCCCAGGCCCTGCCTGCACCGCACCTCTCCTGTCTGTCCCCAGGTCCCAGGCACCTGTGGCAGCCAGATCAGAAAGCCCTGTGAGTGATGAGGGACTGGGGTTGGGAGGCAGGGAGAGGCAGAGAGGTGGCAGAGGGAAGTGCATGCAGGGGACAGCACCAAGCTGGGGGTGTGGGAAGGGAAGTGGGGGTGCTTTTGCTCAAGTACCCTCATCTCCCAGAAGGCCTAAAACAGTGGCCAGTGATGGCATCTCCAAAAGAGGTCATCCATCCAGTTACAGACACATTCCGACACGATCAAAGAAGGATGCAGAGCCTGGATTCAGAGCAATTCAAATCTACCCTCCCAGGAAAATAATATATTTAAAAGTTAAAAAAAAAAAAAAAAGAAAGAAAGATGAAAACCTCATATGAGAACTGCAGTAAAGCTTTCCAGGTCTTTTTTTTTGGGGGGGAGGTATAAATCCCATAATTAAATTGTGAACACTACCCTGTATATGTGTTTGTGTTTGTGCATGTGTGGGAAAAGACTTAAAATATTCAATGTAGGCTTTTGTATTTCAGAGATTTTGAAATCGCGTCTTGGCATTTCTGCCTTTTCTTTTATGATAGCGGGGGCTCCAAAAGTGGAAGAGGGGCTGCCTTTCTTCTGGGAGCCTCGTCCCTGCTGCCTCCCACTTGGGCAGCCCCATTCAGTGGTGTCACCTCCCCCAAACCCCCCACCACACACACACACAGCCTGTCCTGAGGATGAGAAACAAAGGCCCTTGGGACTAAATGGTGGCCACTAATTGTTACAGGGAGAAGCTTTACCTGGGCTGGAAATGAAGCTTTACCTGGGCTGAGGATGAGAGGGAGGGGAGGAGGGTCAGCAGTCATGGGGCTCAGAGCCTGGCATCTGCTGCCCAGGACTCCAGGGCCTGCTTCTCCCCAAGGACCTCAGATTCAGTTTCTCTTGTCCCACCCGCCTGAAGTCCTCCTCTCCAACTGCCCCATTCAACTGCCACTCCCACCACACCTGAGAGGGAACTCTGGCGGGCCAACATTCCCTCTGCCCACATTAAAGGGCTCTCCCCTCTTCCAGGATGGCCTGTGGCCGGGTCTGGCTCTTTGGTGACAGTCAGAGCCCATGCATGAAAGCACTGTGCATGGCCAGCCCTTCCCTGGCTGTCACAGCACATCCTTGTAGAAGAGAAGGAGAAAAATCCTCTCTCCAACCGTCATTCTACAGACGAGAAGCCCAAGGAACAGAAGCCTGTCCACGACTGGCGTGGGGCTGAGACCAGCACCCAGGTCCCCTGAGTCCCACTCCAGGCTCCTTCCTGAGAGAATGCATCGAATTTTCTACGCTGTGTTCCTGCAACCGGGAATCAACTTTGGGATCAGGGGAAGGGAAGGGAGGGGAGGGGAGGGCAGGGGTAGGGGAGGGCAGGGGTAGGGGAGGGCAGGGGAGGCGAGGGGAGGGGAGATGAGCCTCATCTTCAAAACAGAAAATCTCATTCATTCATTCCCCATTCATTTAACGAAAAAGAAAAGGGTAATTTGAGCTCAATTTGTCTTGAAATGAACGGAAGGTAAGTCTGAGACCTGCACTAGCAGCTAGCCCTTGCATAGAAAAGTTCCCCTGTGTCACCCTTGGAACCCTGCACATCCCGAGCGCAAGCGTGATTCCCGGGGTCCCTTCTGCGCCTGTCCCAGAACAAGCGCCCGATTTCAGGGGAGCCCAGCCGAAGGGTTCCACAGCGCTCAGCGAGCCGGCTGGGAGGGAGCAAACTCTCTAACTGCAGAAAAAAACAAATCTTGATTCCGCTTTAAGGGTTATTTAAACATCTTAGAGGACCTTCCCAGCCTCACGCACGTGGATTTCATGAGGAACTTGGCCGCTACCTTCTCCTGTCCTGCGCAATGCCGCCCCCTGCTGGCTGCCTTCCGGCCCCGCCGCTTCCTGGAGATGCGAATTCACCGCCTTTGCCCAACCTGAGTTCCCTTCCTACCTAGAGGGAGGTGGAAATGGAGAGGGGCTGTGGGCAGCTGTGTAGGAAAATGGGTCCTCCCAGGAAGGCTCCCCGGCCTGGGGAGTGAGCTAGACCGACAGCAGTTTCCTTACACGTGTCCAAAGTGTTCCATTTAATTTCCGTCCATTCTTCCCTTCATGAATGCAAATCACTGCTAATAATATCACTCGACATTTCTGGAGCCCTTTGTGTATCGCAAAATTCTTCATCCTCTTTATCACTTGATCTTCGCAACAACCCCGGGGGTCTCATAAACACAGCAAAGACTCGCTTCCACAATCTTCCAAACGGAGTCAAGTGCTGTCAAGTTTATGGAGGAAGAATGCCGATCAGTTTTCCTCTATCTCCATGAAAGGCTGGGCGGAGATGGATTTCCACCCAGACAAACAGTATTGGGCGCTACGCAAGAAGATTGGTGGGCCTAGCCGGAAACAGAGTGGAGAATGATGGAGAGGGACTGTCCGGTCTGTATCCAAGGAAGTCCTTAGGAAAAGACCAGCCAAGCTCCTGTTCCAGGCAGAGCGTGGACTCACCCATAGTCAGGGAACTGAGGCCCATCCTGGGTGTACACACAGCTCGCGGGGGGGCGAGATAATCCACTGGAATACAAAAAGAAAAAAAATAGAAATCCTTTTCATATTTCTCCTCTTCCTTTAAAAATTCTATTTTGGCTGTGTGCAGAGGCTCAGGCCTATAATCCCAGTACTGGGGGGCCAAGGCAGGTGGATCACTTGAGCCCAGGCATTCAAGACAAGCCTAGGCAACATGGTGAAACCCCATCTCTACTGAAAATACAAAAATTAGCTGGGCGTGGTGGCATGTGTCTGTAGTCCTAGCTACTTGCGAGGCTGAGGTGGGAGTATGAATTGAGCCAGGGAAGTCAGGACTGCAGTGAGCTGTGATCGTGCCACTGCATTCAGGCCTGGATGATGAGAGTGACTCTGTCTCAAAAAAAAAAATTGTGTACAGTGATATACATGTGTAGGGGAGAAAAAGTGTGATACTTTTCCTCACCAGTCATGTGGGTCATGGCTGACACTCTTGTAACAAAAGGCAGACTAACAAAAGGAAAGCATAACAATTTTATTTCATCAAAGTTTAATGTGACATGTGAGTCTTCAGAAATGAATACCGAAAGGCTCAGGAAGAACTGTCCATTTTTATGCTTAGACTCAATGAGGAATGGACAGTGGTATAGAAATGCGATTGGACAGAAAGTTCTGATTAACTGTAATGGACCGAGGTGATGGGATGGGGACCCAGCAGGGCCTGTCTGTTCAGATTCTTCTTGGCCTCTCTGCACAGCATTTCTTCTTTCTAGGTATGGGGCACGACCCCTCTGGAATGAGGGTCTTAGGACCTACTCTCAGACAAAGTTGGTCAGAGAATTTCTTTACGGCCAGCTCCTGTGCAGAAGGGTGGAGGAAAGTTTGAGTCATAGTTTTAGGTTCTATCGGTGGCTTTGGGGGAAGAATTTCTATGACTCACCTTGGGGAAGGGGAACTCTGGTTTCTATGACTCACCTCATGGGAGAAGAGGTGCACAAGGGGTGCAGGAGGGCAGGAGAAGGTCAGAGAGAACTTGCTTCTGAGGCTGCTTCTGAGGTCATCCAAACTCCATCAGTTCAAAGTACTCAGCCTGCCAAAGTGCCATACTTTGGGGTATTGTTGTCCGAGCCTCAACACATGTCCACCCTGCACATCCTTGTAAATAACTATACATGCATAAATTAGGGGTCTGTGTGCGCACATACCAGCAGTGGTGCTCCATGGCAAGGGAAAATTGGTGCTTGATGGGAAGGAAATTTTCCCAGCTCTGAGGTTCTGTGGGGTCTCTATTCCAAAGTGAGGTTCTCGCCGGGCATGGTGCTTCACACCTGTAATCCCTGAACTTTGGGAGGCTTGGGCAGGCAGATCACCTGAAGCTAGGAGTTCAAGACCAGCCTGGCCAACATGGTTGAAACTCCATCTCTACTAAAAATACAAAAATTAGCCGGGCATGCTGATGCACACCTGTAGTCCCAGCTACTCGGGAGGCTGAGGCAGGAGAATCGCTTGAACCCTGGAGGCAGAAGTTGCAGTGAGCCGAGATTGTATCATTGCATTCCAGCCTGGGCGACAGAGCAGGACTCTGTCTTAACAATGACAACAAAAAAGTGAGGTTCTGTCTGAAAAAAAAAATAGAGAGAGAGGAGTGGGGAGACAAAGACGGAAAGAGACAGATAAGAGAGAAAGAGCAGAAAGACTTGGCCCAAAGGCCCCAAGAAGTGCTCAGAAATCAGTGTGTGCAGTTACATAGAATCAATAGCTCACAGTGGCTAAGAGTAGAAACTCTGGAATCAGATCTGTCCTCAAAATCTCTAAATTTCAATGTCGTCAACTACAAAATGAAAACACTATCCTGAAAGCATTGTAAATTAACTAAGGATTAAAGTGGATCATGGAAGTGAAGCGCTTAAACACAGTGCCTTAAACAAACACTCAATAAATGGTAGCTATTGTTTGTGAATAAGAATTTTAAAATTAGCAGGATCTCAGCAGGGCGCGGTGGCTCACACCTGTAATCCCAGCACTTTGGGAGGCCGAGGGGGGCAGATCACGAGGTCAGGAGATAGAGACCATCCTGGCTAGCACAGTGAAATCCCATCTCTACTAAAAATACAAAAAAATTAGCCAGGGGTGGTGGCGGGTGCCTGTAGTCCCAGCTACTCGGGAGGCTGAGGCAGGAGAATGGCATGAACCCGGAAGGCGGAGCTTGCAGTGAGCCGAGATCGTGCCCCACTGCACTCCAGCCTGGGCAACAGAGCCAGACTCCGTCTCAAAAAAAAAAAAATTAGCAGAATCTCGCTAGAAGTAAGAATTCTACCTCCTGGGTTGCTATTAGAATCTGTCTAGTAGAAATACACTGATGTCTCTGCTAAAAGAAGGGGTTTGGATTTTTCACTTTATTTGCCTAATGAACTAAGGCGAGCGATATAAAAGGACTGTCAAACAAAGCTGATGTCAAGTGATTTTGGAAAGTAATTGGAATTTGCATGGACTTTTAAAACAGTAAGTGGAAGAAATATATGTAAGTAAAGCAATAATAGGATTCGTGAGCCAGAAATACATGCATGCAACAGTCAGAGAACAAGCCCTCTAATAAAGAACAAAAATATTTCACAGCCAGAAAATGTGGGTGCTGTTCTCAGCTCCACCACTTAACAGCTTAAAGACCTGAGCAAGCCCCTTGGCTCAGAGAGCTGATCCTAGGAGTTAAAACCTGCCCCCAACATGAGAAAGAATTCTCAAAGAATCCATTCTCAGAATCAGGAAAACTATGCTAATTGCAAACAAATGAATTTTCCATTTAAATGGTGGTCATAACAATCTTGTAATAAACCTATTTCTTTCTTTGCATGGGCTGTTAAGGAGTTTAGAGCAAAAACTCAGCCATCTCTAGTAACTGTACACAATCTTATGGCATGCACTTATATGCAATTATATGCGAGGAAGTGCTCTGTTAAGTCTAAATCATGAACACACCCCAGATCAGTGAAGGATATTGATATGTGAGGGGAGAAGGAGGTGGGGAGCATTTCAGTGAATGCCACTGAGAGGGACTGAGACCCTCATATCAGAACAGAAGTTTCCAAATCGGTACGGTTCTCTCTAGAGTACAATGCTACCCATTAAGTATCTGGGAACCAAGGATTTGGCAAGAAACACGCTTATCAAGTCAGCAAAGTGTACTCCTCTTTGCTCTGATGAATCACAGTTTTGCACTAATGCTCCTCAGAGATGCCGCACTGGATGGCAAGCTCTGCGTAAGGGGCTGTCAGGCACTAGAAATAGAACTTCCATGAAGGGGCAGCCTATCTGTCCCCCTGCTCTGAGCAGGCCATGCTGGCTGGTTTGGGGGTGAGGCCTTTATCCCCAGCCCTTACTGCTTGCTTCATCCTTCTCGTTTTCTTCCCTCTCCTGTTTTATTTTATTATTTTATTTTATTTTGGGGATGGAGTTTTTCTCTTGTTGCCCAGGCTGGAGGGCAGTGGCTCGATCTCGGCTCACTGCAACCTCCACCTCCCAGGTTCAAGCAATTCTCCTGCCTCAGCTTCCCTAGTATCTGTGATTACAGGCGCATGCCATCACGCCCGGCTAATTTTTGTATTTTTAGTAGAGATGGCTTTTCACCATGTTGGCCAGGCTGGTCTCGACCTCCTGACCTCAGGTGATCCGCCCACCTTGGCCTCCCAAAGTGCTGGGATTACAGGCATGAGCCACTGCGCCCAGCCCCCTCTCCTGTTTTATATTCGAGTTCTAAACCAGCCTATTAAAAGCCAGTGGTGTGGTTGTGGGCAAGGTATCTCCTCCGCCTGGGACACGAGTTCCCTCTAGAAAATCAAAGAGCTGAGTTAAATGCAGGTTCTTAAATTGTTTGTGTGCCATGGACCTCTTTGGCATTCTAGTATATTCTCAGAAAAAGTATTTCTATGCATGAGATAAAGTACATAGGATTGCAAAGATAACCAATTATGCAGAATGTGCTTATGATAATATGTATAAAACACAGCTGAATACTGTAAGGTATATGCTTCTATATTGATGCACTAAGTAATGTGATCTAGCAGAAGTTCTAATGACTATTATAATTTCAAAGCATTGATGCATGTAAGTGATATTTTGAGACATCTGAAACAATTGAAATGAGATTTGAGAATACCGCTGATTTCTATTGGTAACAAAGTCACAGATACTGCTAATACTATCTATTTGTTGCCCCATCAAGGAAAACACCAAATTTCAGTTTGTAAAAATAAAGATGTCATTTTTTTCCCATCCAAATTCATAGATGCCCTGAATCTAGCTAAGAGGTCCATGGACCACAGGCTAAGAACAGCTGGACTGACGACTTCTAAAATTGCTTCTGACTCTGAAGCAGTTGGATTCCACAGAATTTTCTAAATGATGCCGGGGGACAGATTAGGGGACATTTAGGATAATGGGGTGAAATTTTACAATCTTAACAGCTGGCACCAGAGTGAATCAGAGGGTGGGAACCGTTTTTGTTTAGCAACTGCCTTGATCTGTCTCTTGGGGCAGTCAGAGACACCCTAATGACTTGCTTGGCAGGAAAGGGCACCAGAAGGGAGAACTAAACTGCTCTGCATAAAATGTGTCCAAGAATTGGGAGGCGGGGGCAGGGAGAACACAGACAGTAATTAGAGAACCAGAGAGGAAACCAGAGCCAGAGTGGGTAGAATGGTGAGGGACTCCTTAAGAAAGCACATGGTTGATATTCAATTGGAAGTTGTTGACTTGCTGTCAACAATTCTTTTGACCCCACCCTTCATTCAAGTGGTCTACACATACAAAGGAAATAAGGAGAAGTGCTGAATTCTCCTGCTAGATGAATGCAGTGGAGCAAAGGAGAGGATGGATGGCCTAGCGGGATGCTCAGGAAGGCAGAGTTAAAAGAGGTCATGCAAATCAAAGTGCCCGGAAGCACAGGAACTTTGGGAAGCACATTCACATGGGGGCCTGGACCCTTCCTGTCTAGATCATATGGGACACGTGCTCTCAGCTAACCTCTGTGTTCTCAGAGCACGGGCCAGAGACCAGCAGTATCAGCAACATCTGAGCCTTGTTAGAAGGGCAAATTCTTAAGCCCAACCCCAGACCTACTGGATGGAACTATATGAGGTTGGGGTCCAGCAATCTGTGTCTTGCCCTCCAGGCAATTTGGATACTCAAGTTCAAGTTTGAAAACTTCTGCTGTCAGGCGTTATTATTTCCATTATTGCATTCCAGTGTCCCAGTCCACAGAGAGGTGTATGCAGAATTTCTCCCAGCACTCAGCCTTGGGGGACCCGCTCCCAGCCTGGGGATAAGAACACTGCCCCTCACCTTGCACTGGAGAGAGCTTTCCAGAGCCAGAAAATGCTCCCAGCCACGGTGAGCTCCCTGCCCCTCCAGGCAGCCACTCCCTCCTGGGACCTTTCCAGTGACCCAAAGGTCCATGCCTTCTAGGCTGGGGCTGCCCTCTGGAGCCACTTTTCTGAAAGAAGCCCTTCCGGACCGGAAAGACTGAAGTCTGAGTCTTCCCCTCTTTCTGCTGGTGCCTTGCACAGCATGGTGCTCTGGCCACCATAGAGGTTGGTCTCTGAAGACTGCTCATTTACCAGTTTCTCTTACGATATTGTCCAGGGCTGCAGACAGAGGGCAGGGCAGGCAGGGCCAGCGTGACTGTGGCCTCCTTTGCTCTGCACATCAGTTGCTGTCATTGTGGACCACACTGTTACAGGAAAGGAGCTCCAATCCAGACACCAAGAGAGGGCTCTCGGATCTCACGCAAGAATGAATTCAGGGCGAATCCATAGAGTAAAGTGAAAGGAAGTTTATTAAGCAAGTAAAGGGGCCTGGCACGGTGGCTCACGCCTGTAATCCCAGCACTTTGGGAGGTGGAAGCGGGCGGATCACGAGGTCAGGAGAGCAAGACCATCCTGGCCTAACATGGTGAAACCCCGTCTCTACTATAATACAAAAAATTAGCTGGGCGTGGTGGCGGGCGCCTGTAGTCCCAGCTAGTTGGGAGGCTGAGTCAGGGGAGCCGCTTAAACCAGGGGGGCGGGAGCGCGGAGGTTGCAGTGAGACAAGATCGCGCCACTGCACTCCAGCCTGGTGACAGAGCAAGACTCCGTCTCAAAACAAAAAAACAAGTGAAGAAATAAAAGAATGGCTACTCCATAGAGCAGCCCCGAGGGCTGCTGGTTGTCCACTTTTATGGTTATTTCTTGATGATATGCTAAACAAGGGGTGGATTATTCATGCCTCCCCTTTTTAGACCATATAGGATAACTTCCTGACGTTGCCATGGCATTTGTAAACTGTCATGGCGCTGGTGGGAGTGGAGCAGCGAGGACAACCAGAGGTCCCTCTCTTCACCATTTTGGTTTTGGTGGGTTTTGGCCGGCTTCTTTACTGCATCCTTTTTTATCAGCAAGGTCTTTATGACCTGTATCTTGTGCCAACCTCCTATCTCATCCTGTGGCTTAGAATGCCCTAACCATCTGGGAATGCAGCCCCGTAGGTCTCAGCCTTATTTTACCCAGCCCCTATTCAAGATGGAGTTGATCTGGTTCAAATGCCTCTGACAACATCACCCCAACTCATGCCTCTAGAACCTCTAAAAAAATTCCATGACCTCCTCTCCGCCAGTATGGAATTGAAAATAAAAATAATAACAAACCATCAAATAAATATAACAAAGCACAGCAAAGCCCTGCATTCTCTCATTATAATTATTTTAGTATTATTTTTGAAAGACCAAATACCAATTTTTAAATGTTTATCATAAAACATTTCTGAAACCTGAAAAGGTGAAAAGAATTATTAAAAATCAAAGCCTCATACACTCACCACTCAGCTTAAGGAATAAAATATTACAATATTGGCTGGGCGTGGTGGCTCACAGCTATAATCCCAACAGTTTGGGAGGCGGAGGCGGGTAGATCACCTGAGGTCAGGAGTTCAAGACCAGCCTGGCCAGCTTGGCAAAACCCCGTCTCTACTAAAAATACAAAAATTAGCCAGGTGTGGTGGCAGGCACCTATAATTCCAGCTACTCAGGAGGCTGAGGTAGGAGAATCGCTGGAACCAGGTGGCAGTGAGCAGAGATCGCGCCACTGCACTCCAGCCTTCACAACAAGGTGAAACTCCGTTTCCCTCCCTCCCTCCCTCCCTCCCTCCCTCTCTCTCTCTCTCTCTCCATATATATATATATATATGTAAAATCAATGTTGTTTAAAAAAACTAATGGTATTTTTCAAAAAATTCTGCTTTATTACTGCTCGGAGCCAATGGTTCTCACATTTTGCTGCTGGAGGTGGGGACGGGGGCAGATGGGATGGGGCTCTGCACACTGAGTGGAAATGGGCTCTATTTCCTGTCCTCTGACTCCAGGGGTCAACACTTTTGTGGCGAATTATCTCCGGGGATCCGGCCAGCTCAGAAGCCCAGTGGGGCCATCACCGCATTTTTGGGACGAGGCTGCCATCTGCTGGTCGCTCAAGGAAAAGACGGCAGCTGCATCTGGCCTGGGGAGGGCCAGTGTGTAGAGAGCTCCCTCACCCGTGATGAGGGCAGTGTCCCACAGCAGTTCTGGGAATGGGGAAGCAGAGGAAGGAGAGTCACCCTCAATGGGCAGATGAGCAGCTGAACTGTGATGGGATGGTAGCATATGGGGTTCCCAGGGACACTTCAGGGCCCAAAAAAGAAAAAAGCCAGGACTGAGGGGAAGGGAATAACAGAGCAAAGGTTTTTTAAGAAAGATAAACCCCCTAGAAGGAGAAGCAGGTGCCACTAGAGAGTCCCAAATGGGGAACAGAAGGTTCGCGCTCCAGGGCACCGGACTTCTCCTGTTCCGTCCAAGGATTGCATCAGCCCCTGTAGTAGCTCATTCCCGCAGGGATTTGTTTGCTGTTCTCTCTGCCTTGAACATTCTTTCCTGCCCCAGTCCCCTTCCTTGGAGTAAATGTTTGTTCAGTGCTCAGGTCTCAGTAAACTGTGCCCACACTGCCTCCAGGAAGTCCCCGGGGGCTGCCTTTTCCTCTGCATCCTGTTCCTGCTTCTAGCCTCAGGTAGCCCTGTTCTGGATCGGCCTGTTTACTTGTTTACAGTTTTACTGTTTACTTACCCTCACGAGATTCCAAATTCCCTGAGGGCAGGGACACCATTTCATCCCCAGCACCAGTGCAGGCAAGAGAGTGAGAAATATTGGTTTACTAAATTGATTTTTTATGGCATTTTTTGAAAATCAGACATCATAATCTGGAATAAAAAGGAAAGTACTTTGAAACATATTTCCCCCAACAACAAGGTCTCCCCAGAAGTAAGTTGAAAATGATTGCCTTTTCTATTTGTCTGTAACCACATGTGGAGGGTGGGGGAGTGAGAACAAGAAAGAGAGAAAACAAATTATTTTATTTTCAGTTGTCATACGTTGTAAGTTATGCTGCTCTTCAGTAAACAATCATAGTAGACAGCTGCTATCTGGGGCCTGGCCAGCATCCATATCCATTCTTCCCTCAGGCACAATTTTACTTTGGTGAAACAACCTCTTCTATTCTCAGTCTACATGATCTAGGGCAGCAAATCCCATCCCCAGGCCCAAATATGGGCATGTGGCTCAGGCCTGGCAAATCACAGTATGCCAACAGCCTAGCACATGATTGATCAGGAACAAGCACATGACCCAAGCTGGCCCAGTGAGATTTCACCCTGGAATCATTGAGGCAAGAAGACCTGGGGGGTGCAGAGTGTGTAGGACGTGAACCTGGAGCTGCAGGCAACCATATTGCCACCATGAGGCAAGAGGAAGTTAGAAAGTGAAGCCAAACAAAGGAAAGCAGAGCTAGGAGAAGAGAAACAGAGACCTCAAAACAGGCATCCTTTCATTCCGGCACCCAACCTTGAACTTTTTCTGTATCTTTCTGTTACAAGACCAACAAACTCTTTTTTTTTTCCAAAGTTAGTTTGAGGGAGTCTCTGTTCCTTGCAACTGAATAAGTACTAGCTAACGTAAAAAGCAGAATGAAGATGGCTGGGTGCAGTGGTTCATGCCCATAACCTCAGCACTTTGGGAGGCCAAGGCAAGCGGATCACTTGAGATCAGCCTGGCCAACATGGTGAAACCCCGCCTCTACTAAAAATACAAAAATTAGCCAGTCATGGTGGCACATGCTTGTAATCCTAGCTATTCAGGAGGCTGAGGCAGGAGAATTGCTTGAACCTGGGAGGCAGAGGCTACAGTGAGCTGAGATTGCGCCACTGCGCTCCAGCCTGGGCAACAGAGCAAGACCCTGTCTAAAAAAACAAAAAGAAAAGAAACGAAAGGAAGCAGAACAAAGAAAGTGAGTTTTCCTTAGTTTTATATTTTACAAAGTCAGTACAGCATTTGCAACACTTCTAACACAGATCAGAAAACTATAAGCTTTTACCTTATTATAAAATTATTCAGCATGTAAGTTAAAAGGAGAACCACATGATCACTGAATCCCATGTCTTAGATGGTTCTGGGGTTCTAAGGTCTTGAGAGCCATCAAGTAGCCTATTCCAGGGTTTCCATCCAGCAATCCCCACCCCCCCTACATTTACCCCTGCTTCCAGGAGAAGTTCTCATCTCCAAACAAGAAGGTCGCAGACTGTGGGCCTCGAAGCTGCACCTGTGTGAACCTCTGAGCTCAGCTGCCAGCCTCCATGAAGTCTCCACATCTCCTTATCTCAGTGAAGAAGTGGCTGTGGCCATGAGGGCTGCGAACAATGACCCAGGCTTCTTCCGCAGTACCTCCGGCCGATCAAATTCTACCACCTGGAGGGTAGAGAAAGGCGAGGGGAGGATCAGGGCACAGCTGAGCTTGTGTCCTTGGAGGACTCAAAGGCATCTGGGGTAGCAGCCTGAGCCCTCATCCTCCCACCAGCCCAAGGACGCAGCCTTCACCTTCCCATTGCCCATAACCAGGATGTGGTCACAGTTCAGCACAGTGGTGACACGGTGGGCAATGACGAGCACGGTGCAGCCCTGGAAGGCTTCACGGATTGTGCGCTGGATCAGGGTGTCTGTCTCCATGTCAATGGAGGCTGTGGCTTCATCGATAAGGATGATCTGATGAATACAAAACAGGGGTGAAGGTGTCTACTTCAGGCCCTAGAGACCTGGGTCTAGCCCTGGTTTACCACTAATTCACCAGGGCCCTTCCTCTCCAGGTCTCCATTTCTTTAGCTGGGAAATGGGAGAATTATGCCGAGTGCAAAGCCCGCTCTGATTGCTGATTATCCATTACCTTATGAAGAGAACGTTAGGTCTCAACCAGGAGCTAACTGCATTTTAGTGGCCAGAGAATTAAGTTCTTGGAAATGAAAATGGCCTAGTGGCAACTTCTTGTTTTATTAACTACTTTCCCATTTACCGAAACTAAAGTAGAGCGGTGTTCTCCAAGAAGGGGCAGGCACACACCCCAGGAGGCACATGAGATGATTTCTCCAGCATATGGATAAACATTCTTTTTAGTTTAACATTTTTGTATTTATTTCATTAACGATATGCATGAGGAAACTGTAACTCACACTGAAAGTGTGATTTCACAAATGGCACTGCTTGGGATGAGGCTGTTTTTGAAAAGGGAGTATCATTAGTAAATCACAGGGTAGGTGGTACCCAGAGATGACAAAAATCATAAAGTAATGACTCAAATTTGGGAAGCAATACAGAGGAAGCCATTGCAGCACCAAATGGCTATGTAATTGAAATAAGGAAGTGTGAAGAAAGTACTACATGTACTTTGCAAATTTGTTGTTCATCTCTCCAAAGAAGAGGGGGAAAGTCCTACCTCCTCTGAAATTTTCCCAGGCTTTGGGCCCCACTGAGCTCTTTTCCCACAGCTCTGACAGTTTGCACCAACAGTTTTTGCATTTATCATTAATTAACCATGATACATGTGTGTGAGCATGCATACATGTGTGAGTATGGAGAAGGTATGTGCATATGCATGCATAAGTATGTGTGTACATGTGTGTCTTGCCTCGCCTACGTAGGAGAAGGTTTGCCCCAGGCTATCTCACATACTCAAACACCTGAAATTATGGACAAAATATCTAGAAAGCTTCTGGAAGCCCTGTTCCGCCAAATTTTTAAAAATATGCAATTTTGCAGCCATAAAAAAGAATGAGTTAATGTCCTTTGCAGGGACATGGATGAAGCTGGAAGTCATCATTCTCAGCAAACTAACACAGGAACAGAAAACCAAACACTGCATGTTCTCATTCACAAGTGGGAGTTGAACAATGAGAACACATGGACACAGGGAGGGGAACATCACACACCAGGGCCTGTCAGGTGGTGGGGGGCAAGGAAAGGGAGAGCATTAGGACAAATGCTTAATGCATGTGGGTCTTAAAACCTAGATGATGGGTTGATGGGTGCAGCAAACCACCATGGCACATGTGTACCTATGCAACAAACCTGCACGTTCTGCACATGTATCCCAGAACTTAAAGTAAATTTAAAAAATATATATATATGCAATTTTGCCCTGGATCAGCATCTGTCATCCAATTCCCAGTTCTAATAAAGATAAAAGGGATGTACTGCATCCAAGTTTTTAAAACAGTATACAGTAGGCAATTTAAAAATCAACGAGGGTCTAATGTGTTGTGTTTTTCTGAGAAAAGAGGATCATCATTTGGTCTAGTTGGAGACATTTCAGCTCAGGTGTAAGGAATCCGCTATCAGGCAGCCTAGGCTGTGAATCTCATCTACCATGCCTCACCCACACCACAAATGCATGTGGAATGGCACTCAGTGAAATGAATAAGCCCATCTTGAATTAATTTTTGTAGAAGGTGTAAGGAAGGGATCCAGTTTCAGCTTTCCACATATGGCTAGCCAGTTTTCCCAGCACCATTTATTAAATAGGGAATCCTTTCCCCATTTCTTGTTTTTGTCAGGTTTGTCAAAGATCAGATGGTTGTAGATGTGTGGAAATAATTAAGAAAATATGGCACATATACACCATGGAATACTATGCAGCCGTAAAAAAGGATGAGTTCATGTCCTTTGTAGGGACATGGATGAAGCTGGAAACCATCACTCTCAGCAAACTATTGCAAGGACAAAAAACCAAACACTGCATGTTCTCACTCATGGGTGGGAATTGAACAATGAGAACACTTGGACACAGGGTGGGGAACATCACACACTGGGGCCTGTCGTGGGGTGGGGGGAGGGGGGAGGGATAGCATTAGGAGATATACCTAATGTAAATGACGAGTTAACGGGTGCAGCACACCAACATGGCACATGTATACATATGTAACAAACCTGCACGTTGTGCACATGTACCCTAGAACTTAAAGTATAATAATAAAAAAAAGGAAATGAATAAGCCCTTTGGATTCTGTTGCTGTTGTTGTTGTTGTTGTTGTTGTTGTTAAGACGTACACCACAGAGCCCAGTGTCCCACGGTAGTGAAGGGAGAGGGAGCCGGTGTGGCTTCCCTCATCATGCGTAGTCTGTGGCTTCCCCTGGCCACACGGCAGTGGTGGCCTCACCTTGGAGTTGCGAAGCACAGCCCTGGCAATGCAGAGCAGCTGCCTCTCCCCCACAGAGAAGTTTCCACCGTTTTCCACCACATCTGTATGCAGCTTTTTGGGGAACTTTGAGATCTGCGATATGGGAAGAAGAGACAACATAACCTGGAAGCCACTGTGGGGTGAGACCCAACCTGACCTTGTCAATCTTCCGCTGTATTGGCAACACTGCCCTCCTCTCTCTACGCTCCAGCCTCTGTTTTCTTGCTCCTTAACTGCGCCTTGCTCACTCTCGTCTCTGGGCCTTTGCATACGCTAGCTCCTGTGCCCAGAATGTCCTCTCAAAAGATCTTTCATCGGCTGCCCCTCAGTTCTTGGTCTCAGCTCAGCTGCCACCTGTTTAAAGAGACCTTGCCTGGCCACCCAATTGAAAAGAGCTGCTCCTGCCCTGACGTTTCTATGGGTCTCATGACTACCTATACAGCCCTTACCAGTATCTGAAAGTATCTCCTGCATTTACTTGTTGCCTTTATCTCCTATTGAATGTACGTACCAGGAGGACAAAGACCTCATCTGCCTTGTCTTTGCTGTGCCCCTGAGCCTAGAACAGTGTCTGGCACACGGTTGGTGTCTGAGTGCCATCAGCCTTGACTTAGGAATGCCAAGTCATCTCATCTCCATGAGATGATGCATCCATGACCCGAAGCAGCAGCAGCTGGAACACCACATGAGAGGAGCCCCAAAGGGGCAGCCCCCCATGGGCGATGCAGACTTAGACCAAGACTTGGGCCTTGGAGCTACTTACGGCCTTGGTCAGGAATGTCCTCTCCAAGGCATCCCAGATCTGCTGGTCAGTGTGACGGTCAAAGGGATCTAGGTTGAATCTACCATATGAGAGAAAGAGAAGTGTTCAACAACATCACCCAGGCTTTGAACACTCATTTATATGCCCAGTGAATGACCAAGAATGTTTAGAACTGGATTATGGGGTTTAGGGAAATTCATGGAACCACCACAAATGGAGATTTTTTGTGCCTCCCAGCACCTGTTCCTTCTGCAGGCAGCAGGCCCAGGTTTTGTTTAGGGGCCACCTCCTCCCCAGTCCCCCAGCCCATGTGTTCCAGGGCAGGCTCCACCATCCACTCCTGATGGAGCAAAGGGCTCAAGGATAAGCCAATCGACATACAGCAATCCCTGGCCATGGTGCTTAGCTTGGGGTGGGAAAGTAACCAATCAGAGTGTATCTCAGGACTTTTCAGGCTACCATGGGAGACGTGCGGAGAGATTGCAACCATCCTCCCACAGGAGTGGGACACATGGAGCCCCCCAGGGCCCTCATGTGGAGTTCAGAATGAAGCAAGGCAATGCTAGGGGAAAACCGGGCCCTGGAACTCAGCCTTGGCCTCCCCATTATCATGCATGAGTCATTAGAGGCCACTTTTCCTTAAGCCATTTGGGTTTTGTTTTATTGTGTGATAGAAAGTACATAATATTTATCATTTTAACCACTTAAAAGTGTACAATTCAGCAGCATTAAATACATTAATAATGTCATGTAACCATTACCACTATTTATATCGAAACCTTTTTCATCATCCTGCTGGGCATGGTGGTTCACACCTGTAATCCCAGCACTTTGGGAGGCTGAGGTGGGCAGAACACTTGAGGTCAGGAGTTTGAGACCAGCCTGGCCAACATGGTAAAACCCCACTCCACTAAAAATACAAAAATTAGCCAGGCACAGTGATGCAAGCCTGTAGTCCCAGTTACTCAGGAAGCTGAGACAGAAGAATCACTTAAACCCAGGAGGTGGAGGTTGCAGTGAGCTGAGATGGTGTCACTGCACTCTAGCCTGGGTGACAGAGTGAGACTCGGTCTCAGAACAAAACAAAACAAAACAAAACAAAACTTTTTCATTATCCCCAACAAAAACTCTATACCCATTAAACAGTCTCTTCTTCCCCCTCCCCACCAGCCCTTGGTAACTTCTATTCTACTTTCCATCGATATGGATTTGCCTATTCCAGCTACCTCATATAAGTGGACTCATGTAGTATGTGTCCTTCTGTCTGGCATCTTTCACTTCGTGTCCATCCATATTGTAGCATGTAACATTTCCCTTCTTTTTAGAGCTGCATAATATTCCATTGTATGTATATACCACATTTTGTTTTTCCATTCATCTGTTTATAGACGTATGACTTGTTTCCACCTTTTGATTACTGTGAGTAGGGCTGCTCTAAACACTAGTGTACACATATGGGTTGAAGTCTCTGCTTTCAACACTTTGGGATATATAACTAGAAGTGAAATTCCTGGATTACATGGTAATTCTATGTTTAACTTTTTTTTTTTTTTTTTTGAGACAGGGTCTCACTCTGTCTACGAGGCTGGAGTGCAGTGGTGCAAACACAGCTCACTACAGCGTTGACCTCTTGGGCTCAAGCAAGCCTCCCACCTCAGTCTCCTGAGTAGCTGGAATTGCAAGCACAGACCACCATGCCCAGCTAATTTTTGTTTACCTTTTTGAGGAATTGCCAAATTGTTTTCCATGGTCTCTGCACAATTTTACATCCCCACTGGCAATGCATGAGAGTTTCAATTTTTTCACATCCTTGTTAATAATACTTGCTATTTACCTTTTATTATTGTTATAGCCATTCTAGTAGGTGTGAAGTGGTAGCTCATTGTTGGGGGGCTGGACTTTCTGTTTCTTGCAGTGAAAAGAATCCTAACATCCAGGTAACTGACATGAGAGAGGGAATCTATCTGGACTTTACACCCAGCAAGCTTTACACTTGCATCTGGAACAGGCAGCACTATAGACACTTCCCTGCTATGCAGCCATGTAGCCCTGAGTGAAACCTGTCAACCTTGCTTTATCCTTCCCCAGTTGTGCCAGCCACGCATATCTTGTGTGTAGGGCTAATGTGTACTAAAGAAGAGGCAGGTCTTATTTGCATGACATTTGATATCTCCAAAGCACTTTCATAGATGGGTTATTTGACATTTTCTCCTCCATGAGATGGGTATACTCCTTTCTTATCAGTTTTAAATGGCTTGTTCAAGGTCACGCCACAAGCCAGTATGAGAGCCAGGCTGGCATCAAGACATTCAGAGAGATGCTTAAGGGTAGAGCCTTAAGTTCTAAGGTAGGATTTCAAGTCCACATTTCTTTCTACAGAAAGAGGTGGGGGGAAATATCACAAATTATGGGTTTAGAACACCTAGGGTTATATCTCATGTTCGCCATTTCTTTGTGTGTCTTTAAACAAGTCCCCTTCCTCTCTAAGTTCCGTGCCTTCATCTGTAAAATGGGGATAATGAAGGGGCCTCACAGTGTTGCTGGGAGAGTTAAATTAGGCAGTATACTAAAGCATTCAGTTGGCACATATAAATGCTCAATAAATGTTAGTTCATATTTTTACTACTCTTCATATCAACGCACAGGAGATTTGGCCACATTCTACTGTAACATAGAAATCTATCACTAAATGTCTTATCATTCCCCTAACACAACCATTTTTTTGTTGTTTTGTGTGGGGGCGGGGAAGGTTTTGAGACAGAGTTTCCTTCAGTCACCCAGGCTGGAGTGCAGTAGCACGATCTCGGCTCACTGCAACCTCCACCTCCCGGGCTCATGCGATTCACGTGCCTCAGCCTCCCGAGTAGCTGGGATTACAGACATGCACCACCACATCTGGCTAATTTTTGTATTTTTAGCAGAGACAGGGTTTTGTCATGTTGGCCAGGCTGGTCTCAAACTCCTGGCCTCAAGTGATCTCCCTGCCTTGGCCTCCCAAAGTGCTGGGATTACAGGCATGAACTACCATGCCCCACCTCATGACCCAGTCATTTTGAAACCCTGTGTCTGTGCACATATTGTTCCTTCTCCTTGAAAAGAGTTTGTCTCCTATTTCTGCCTGGCAAGCTCCTACTCAGCTTTCAAGACCCTGATCAAATGTCCCCTCCTCTGGGAAGCCTTTCTGGATTCACTCAGGCAGTGACTCATCCCAGTCGTAGCTCCCTTAGCATTTTGTACATATCTCTGATCTAACAATTACCCCTTCATACTGTGATTTATTGGGTCTTACCCCTGTACAAAACCATCTTCCCCACCCACACTGTGAGCTCCTGCTGGGGGAGCAGGGAAAATGTACATTCATTAAACTGGCTCCAGTCCCTAGCACAGTGTCCAGACCAGGCAGAAGCTCAGAAAAGGCAAGTTAAATGAGTGGGAGGATGAATGAAGGAATGAATGAATGAAGCTCTGGGGTTCAGTTTATCCTCCTGGCTCTAAGAATTCTCCTTAAATATCACAAAACATGGGGGGACCTAGCCTGCTTTTTAGTGCATCCATCTTCCTCAGTCCCCATGCCTTGATGTTTCCTCCCAGATAAAGTGCATTGTCAGTAGGAGCCTAATCTGGATAAAGCTTTGTCCCTGAGTTGACTTCTGAGGACACAGAAAGTGTAGTGAAGAGGCTGGAAGATCTGGTTCTGTCTGCTTCACTGACTGGGCTGCCTGGATTTTTCTCACATCACTCCTGTCCAGAATGTGTACCATTGAAGAAGCACTTCCTAAAAACGTCCCCAGGGGCTTTGCCCAGTGCACAGAGAGAATAAGCTACATCTGGACAAGAAAGAATATGGTAGCCTGAGTGCAAATGCTTAATGGTGTAGTGAAATCTGACCAATCCCATCAGGGTTTTGTTTCTGTTTTTTGTTTGTTTGCTTGTTTGTTTGTTTGTTTTTTAATAAGAGTCAGGGTCTTGTTGTGTTGCCCAGGTTGGAGCACAGTGGCTATTCACAGGCACAGTCATAGTGTACTACAGCCCTGAGCTCCTGGGCTCAAGTGATCCTCCTGCCTCAGCCTCCCAAATAGCTCGGACTACGGCTGTGCACCACCATGCCATCCAGTTTCTAAAAAATAAAAATATGTTTTGTTTTTGCGTATAACATTACGGTTTACAAAGTGCTCTTATATATATTGAGGCCTCATTTAATCCTCAACAGTACTTCAGTGAGGTAAGCCAGGTAGGCATGAGTGGCCCAGCAGGCCAAGGAGGCCTGGAAATCGGGGCATTGGTCACCAGCTCACTATAGGCAGCCCGGTGCTGGAATCCTGGTCCTGTGACCCACCTCCTGCAGGCTGCCTGCTGGCCCGGCACTCACCTGATGGTTCCTGAGAGCAGCACTGGATCTTGAGGGATCACTGAGAGCTTGGACCGCAAGTCCTCCAGGCCGATGCTGCAAATGTCCACGCCGTCAATGAGAATCCGGCCTGCCATGGGCTCCACCAGGCGGAAGAGAGCCATGCCCAAGGAGGACTTCCCTGTGGGGCAAGAAACAAGCGGGGCCTCAGTTTCCTGCATCTGCACTAGCGGAAGCACAGATCGCACCTGGCGATCACACCTGACCCGCTGCCCTCCGTGGCCCATTCTTCATCACTGTGAGCCCTGAAGGGGTAGGAGAGGGCTGGCGTCCCTGCTCCAGGTGATACCTAATGCCATGAGCAGCTTGTTACAGCCTAGATCAGAGGGCACACGTGGGGCCCCTGGATCAAAGCCAGCCCGCAGACATGTTTTGTTTCATATACACAATGTTAGGATTATTTTTTAATTCCTTGCCAGCATTTTTAAAAATCCTAGATATAAAAGTTCAAATTGCATGTTTCTCTTGAAATTTAGTAGAATTGGCAACACTGGACCCATATCCCCCCCAGGCAACAGCTCGGCTGGAGCTGAGCGCAGCCACTTGGTTGAGACACAGTGGCATTCTCCAGTCACCACCCGCCCTCCCCCGCCCCCATATATCACACCCACCCATGGCACCTGCCAGGCTCCAAAGCATTGGAGGTTTCAACCCTGTTCTCATAGTTAAGCTCTATAAGGGTAGAAGCTGTGTGTCTTCCTTACCTTTCGGTTCCCAGGCACATAGTAGGTGCTCAGTAAAAACCTACTGAATGAATATAGGCAGTAGGGTCAGAATCTACTGAGAGCTTTTCTCTGCCAGACCCCAGCCCTCTCAGGGTTTCCACCAATCGGCAGGTGGAAAATAGCAAGAGAAGAACACCCAAAAGAACATATGTGGAAGCTCTTCACCCTGCAGTGCAGGAGTGCTGAGGAGACAGACCAGGCAGGCCCTCATTATCCATGGGGCTGCCTGGAGGAGGCAGCTCTGGGGTGCCCAGGAGTGGGGGACTGGGGACAAGAACCAAGTCTTAACAGTAGTTTTTGAACAATGCAAAGAGGCAGAGGGAGGGGGACTTGGGCCAGATCTCCCAGAAGTGACAGGAGAGGAAGACAGGGAGAGAAACTGAGGAGGAGAAAGGAAACTGGGAGAGGAAAGAGGAGGAGACAGAGGCTGGTGAGAGCAGTCCAGGAAGGGGGTGGGGAGGGAGGAAAAGGGGAGTCTGGATTTAACTCCTAGCCTGCTCTTCATCCTGGCAGTGCCCTGCAATGCCCCTCCAAAAGTGCTCCTGCCCGGACCCTATACCCCTCAGCTTAAGCACTGGGCTCAGAACCCAGGTATCCAAGGCCCAGTACCACTAGCCCCATTATTCTGCATACCACCCTGTGGCAGCCACCACAGCCTGCAGCTGTCACATTTCCGTCTTTATTTGCTGGTCTATTTAACATCCGTCTCCTCCACTGGAATCCCATGATCACAGGGACCTTGGGTTTCGCTCACCAGTGTTTGTCTAGCACAGGGCCCAGCACAGCATGAGGACCTAATACATATTTGGGGGATGACTGAGCAAACACATGCCCCTAAATAGGTCTAGTGCCCAAAGGGCAAAGGAGGAGCTGGGGACGCTCGCCCAGGAAGCTCAGCTCACCAGAGCCCGTCCTTCCCACGATGCCCACCACTTCGTGGCCGCGGATGGTCAGGTTGATGCCGTGAAGCACGGTGGGTGTGTTGTCTCTGTATTTCATGTGATAATCCTGAAATATGATTTCCCCATGCTGTGGCCACCCCTGGGGACAACTTGTGCCTTCCATGTGTAAAGGAGCTTCCGAGACACACATCTTGTTTTTGAAGAAAGAAAAAGAAATCAATAGTTATCATCTATCTCGGCCCATCCCCTGCGGGCCTGCCAGCCTCCCGCTGTAGGGGGTGTGACCCACCCCAGCCTGCCTTGCGCCAAGGTCAAGCCCCCTGCTGTGTAATCAGAGGAACATCGCCCGTGCCCCCATCGCCTAAAACATACAAAATTTTCCCCAGAAGAGTGAGAAACCTGCATAGCTAATTCCCTTGTTATTAACATAGAGCAATGTTCCTGATTTACTGTGTGACTTTAAAGAAATAGAATCCAAGGTAATGACAGTAAAGGCAGCAGAGACTCCCCCCTTCGGGGGGGTTCATAGCTCAGAGCCCTTGTGCAGACTTAATCTCTCTCTATCCTCATCCTATGAGACAGGCCTTTTTGGAGGCATTTCCCAGGTGAGGAGATAGAGGATCCAACAACTTAAGATCAACAACTTACTTAACGTAAGTTCCACAACTTACTTAAGATCACACAGTTTCAGGTTGGAACTCAAACCCAGATCTGCCTAACGCCGAGCCCACTCTGCATCAAGTGCAGTTGTGTGTGTTGAGAGGAAAGAACGCTGGAGAAGAAGTTGGATCTGACCACCTGGCTGCAAGCCACAACTCCCCATGCTGGTGCCGTGTCACAGCAGCATCCCTGGGCAGGAAATCAGAGCCCTACAATTCATAAATTCCACTCATGCAAGGGGGCAGGAGACCTGGTTTGTAGAGGGCTCTGCCAGCCCCAGCCTGTGTGATCTTAAGCAAAAGTTCTGCCTGGCCCAACCTCGGTTTCCTTGTCTGAAAAATGTGGATAATCATTCAATCAACCTAATAAAATTGTTCCATGATCCCATGAGATAGTCTAGATAAAGGGCTTAGCACCATGCCTGGCCCACAGAAAGGTCTCAATCACAATAATAAAGAACATGATGGAGCCTCACTATGGGTCAGGCAGTGTGCTATGTGCTTTACATGTTATATCATTTCAACTTTGTGATAATCTGGCAAAGGGACGCTATTGTCTTTCTCATTTCAGAGATGGGGAAAAGAGAGTTTGAATAAGTTGCCCAGGTTATTCCAATGATTCAAATGGTAAAGCTTAGACTTGAACCCAGGAAATCTGGCTACAGAATCTGTGCTCTTAACCACCATGACATAAATGGAAGCAATAATAGGAACAAAGATTGTTGTCATCATTATTATTGCACTGGGCAAACCTCTCATTTCCAAGAGGAGAAGATGATCTCCTCTTCCCCCTAGGAATGCTGTGAGGGATGTGGTCAAAGTGAGCAGACAGGTATGGAAGAGCTTCAGCGAGATGGTCAACAAAAGTCTGGGGAAGACAGGGAGGAAAGGCCAGGAGCCTGGTGTTTCCTGGGATGGTCTCAGGGCTCTGAGGCCAGTGGGGCTTGTAGAGGTCACAGAAGTCATGCCCCAACTTGCATGGCTCCCCACACCAGACCCAGACCTGAACCCCACCTTCATGTACTGCAGTATCCTCTCTACAGCCGTGAACTGTGCCTCTGTCTCCAAGCCAATCCGGGCAGTGGCCTGGAAGCTGGACGCCAGCTAGAAGGAAGGAGAAGTATCGGGGGTCAAGAGGCTGCTGGGGTGTGCTCAGGCTCTTCAACGCTCCTGATAACCACTGATTGCCATTGCCCCTGAGTGACCCCTGAAACTAAGATAATTTTCCTAGCAAGAATGGAGCAGAGGCCCCTGGTGCCTCCTCAGCCCACTTCTGAGTTTAGCTGCAGCTGCGATGGGCAATTCTGGGGGAGAACCTCCCCAGACACTGTTCCACCTCGAGTGCCCTCTGTATGTCTTTCTGCTCAAGACCTCTGCCCACATCACAGCAACCACCTAGCCTGTGCATGAGGACATCCCAGAAACCCAGGAGACTTAAGGTTACTGAGAATGAACTTTGACTGATGGGGAACAAGAGCTAGCAGAGATAAATGCTCCCATCTCCCAGCCTTTGAGGGCATGGTCCTGGAAATACCCCATATGCTTCTCAGGAGATCCCAGGACAGTTGAGCCCTAGTGACATAGAACAGGGACCCCAGTGTCACACTCCCATGATGACTTCCTCCTTCCTCATCTCACTTTTCTGCTCCCTCAATCCTGGTTCCTGGGAGCACTTCCCAAATAAGCTGCCTGCACCCAAGTTCCTTTCTCAGGTCCTGCCTTCAGGGAAACCCAGGCTAGAGGAGTTAGGGACTCTTGGGAATTGGGGGCACCAAAGATAAGGAAACTGAGGCGCCAAAAGAAGAAATTACATCCACAGAAACGTCTAGAAGCTGGAGGCAGAGCTGGGCTTGGGGCCCCGGTCTATAACCTCCATTACCCTGGCCCAAGAAATGGGCAAACAGGACGTGCAGGGGGTGCTGGGTAACACATTAATCATACATTCATTCAACAAACTCTGGTGGATGGCTCTGTGCCAGGTGCTGGACCAGGCTCCATGTCCCAAAGTGCAGCAGATGTAGGCCTGCCCTCGAGGAGATCCCAGCTGGATGGAAAGGCAGACAAGGCAACAAAGAATAAAGTGCAGAGGGGCGCACTCCACAATGGAGAAGCCCTGGAGTGCCACTGGGATGCACAGGAGGGGCCCTGGATGAGGGCACAGGGAAGGATTCCAAGAAGAGTCAGTCCTAGAGTGACATTTTTAAGGTGAAGTAAGATGCAGTGGACTAAAGATGGGTGGAGAAGTGTGTTCCAAACAGAACAGCCTATGTAAGCCCTGAAAGCAGCAAATTCTCAGAATACATCCAGGCACCCACAAGCCATTTGGCTATGGCTGAAACAAAAGGGTGTAGGAAGGAGGGGAAGCCCTCTGTAAGTCAGAGAAGGTGGGCACCATGATGAAATGGTGCTTAGTCTGAAAAAGAGGCCAGGGGCGGGTTGGAAGACCACTTTTCCTCCCATCCCTCAGTGTATCACACCCTGCGGGCTGCCTTGCCAGCATCATGTTCAGGTGTCTGGTGGTCTTATGCTTCAGGGAAGCTTGGTTAATCCAAACCAACCACATTAATTCTACTCCTCTTGCCAGAGCTTGGTTTAGGTGTGGGCTCATGATGCCATTCTGGCCGTTGAAGGATGAGAAGGCATCAGATGGGTGTATTCTTGAAAACTTCTCTTTGCTTTTAAAAAGGAACACATGGAAAAAGTTATCTCCTCTCCAGCCTTTGACTGTTATTGTGGGAGGATGTGACACTTGGGGCTGCAGCAGCCATTTTGTGACCATGAATACAGACAGACTTGCAGACAAAGCCAGGCTGTGGATGCCAGCACAGAAAGGTAGAACGATCAAGGGTTCATGCTAGGCCACTAAATGAGCCAACTGAGCATAGGCCTACCCCAGCCTTCTGGTTACATGAGAGAATAAGTTCCCAGATGGTCGAGGCCATTTTGAGTTGGTTCTTTGCCTCGCAGCCAGATGCATCTCTGGCATTTACTGAGAAGCCTCTTGGGGCTGCAAAGCAATGTGATGTGTGATTCCTGCCTCCCAATGCTCGAATGTAATTTTCTCAAAAGCGCATGCAGAAGTCAGTGAGGTTCTGGCTTGACTGGAGCAGAGGGAGCACATTGAGGTCAGGACCCCATAGCTGAGGTTTGGTAGACAGGAGACAGAGTTTTTGAAGGCTTCTGAACGGGGCAGTGACATGATGAAAACTATAATTAAACATTACTCTGGTGAGAGTGTGGAAGGTGACTTGGAAAGTACTGAAGGACTGGGAACTGAGACGTTATTACCAGGATGAAGATAAGATGCTTAAATAGTACAGCAGACCTTGAAAAGAAGAAAAGACCCTCAAGGGCCATTTTGAAGCAGTCAGTCCCCCAGGCAGGGTTTCCCATTAGAGTCTCCTGTGGTGCAACAACCTTTGAGCAACCGCCTGCTGTGAACAGTGCACCCTGGGAGAGATGAGCCTCTGCCTCGCTCCCTACAAGGGCTGCGCTTAGGGCAGCACCAGCACTGGGCAACCTTCGCCCTGAGCGTTGCCCTCCTGATCTATGTCCTGAAGCAGCAGCGGGAGGGATTTCTGGGCCTTAGTGATTCCGAATCCCCTAAGACACTGGTGTGGTGCCTCTCCCTGAGAGTGCCGGAGGTTTGGGGGGCACTCTGTAATGGTGCATGTGTATGTGTATCAGAGAGAGAGAGAGAATGTGAGCCTGTGCACACACCTGTCTCTTATTGGCTATGGGAACATAGCCAAGTTACTTAAACGCTCTAAGCCCTAAGTTTTCTATTTGTAAGACAGGAACAATAATAGCTAATATTCATTGAGCATTTATTCCAGGCCAGGCTCTACTCTAGGTTTTTACAAACATTAAGTCTCACATTTACACATAATCCTCACAAGTCTATGATTTTGAAACTTTTATCTCCCTTTTACAGATGAGGAATCCCAGAGGTTAACCAATTTACCCAAAGCCACACAGCTAATAATGGGCAGAGCCTCTTTGAACCTGGGTATTCCAAACCACATGTTCTTTTTTTTTTTTTTTCTGAGATGGAGTCTCGCTCTGTCACCCAGGCTGGAGTGCAGTGGTGCGATCTTGCCTCACTGCAAGTTCTGCCTCCCAAGTTCACGCCATTCTCCTGCCTCAGCCTCCTGAGTAGCTGGGACTATAGGCACCTGCCACCACGCCAGGCTAATTTTTTTGTATTTTTTTAGTAGAGGTGGGATTTCACCATGTTAGCCAGGATAGTCTCGATCTCCTGACCTCGTGATCCACCCACCTTGGACTCTCAAAGTGCTGGGATTACAGGCGTGAGCCAACGTGCCCCACCCCAAACCACATGTTCTTAACCACTTTGCTCATCTCATGCAGTGTGGTGAGCACTGAATGCCTGGAAGAGAGCACGGCCAGTGCCTGGCATTGCACCAGCTCAGTGGAAGCTCCCAGTCAGCCCAGCTGTTATTGCACTCCCAGTGCATGTACGTGCTTGCTTCAGGGGGCTCAACGAGGAGTGAGATGGAGCCCCTTTGCATGCCCAAAATAACAGCTCAGCATGGAGGACTGATACATGTGCTCATGGACATACATGCACTCCAGCACATACATGCACTCCAGCACACACATGCACTCCAGTACATACATGTGCTCCTGCACATACATGCACTCCTACACATACATGCATTCTTGGACATACACGCACATGCCTGTGTGTGCAGAGCCTTCTGCAGACACATGGACATTCAGAGAGCTATGTGGTCCTCACCCTCAGACGCCTGGGAGTGCAATAACAGCTGGGCTGACTGGGAGCTTCCACTGAGCTGGTGCAATGCCAGGCACTGGCCGTGCTCTCTTCCAGGCATTCAGTGCTCACCACACTGCATGAGATGAGCAAAGTGGTTAAGAACATGTAGTTTGGGGCGGGGCGCGGTGGCTCACACCTGTAATCCCAGCACTTTGAGAGGCCAAAGTGGGTGGATCACGAGGTCAGGAGATCGAGACCATCCTGGCTAACACAGTGAAATCCCATCTCTACTAAAAAAAATACAAAAAAATTAGCTGGGCATGGTGGCGGGCCCCTGTAGTCCCAGTTACTTGGGAGGCTGAGGCAGGAGAATGGCATGAACCCAGGGGGTGGAGCTTGCAGTGAGCCGAGATCGCATCACTGCACTCCAGCCTGGGCAACAGAGCAAGACTCCATCTCAAAAAAAAAAAAAAAAAGGAACATGTGGTTCGGGATATCCAGGTTTAAAGAGGCTCTGCCCATTATTAGCTGTGTGGCTTTGGATAAATTGGTTAACCTCTCTGTGCCTGGGATTCCTCATCTGTAAAAGGGAGATAATAAAAGTTTCAAAATCATAGACTTGTGAGGATTATGTGTAAATGTGAGACTTAATGCTTGTAAAAACCTAGAGTAGTGCCTGGCCTGGAATAAATGCTCAATGAATATTAGCTATTATTGTTCCTGTCTTACAAATAGAAAACTTAGGGCTTAGAGCATTTAAGTAACTTGGCCATGTTCCCATAGCCAATAAAAGACAGGTGTGTGCACAGGCTCACATTCTCTCAGGGGACATACGCAAGATCCCAAGCCAATTAGAGAGAAAGCCACATAACCACAGAGGGGACAATTAATGAATAAGCCCTGGGGGAAGGAGCCCTGGACTGGTACAGCCCAGGTTCCCTTAGGCACTGCCAAGCCGGCCTCAGGCCTTGGGGCCTTCACGGATGCCCCTTCTGTGGGACTCTGTGGACAGTGAACCTTGGCCAGTCGCTCTCTCTCCACATCTCTCCCCATCTCCCAGCCCCCAGTGTGCTGGGCACAGAGGGATTCCGGCCTTGAGGTACACAGCTCACTATATCAGAATCTCCTACAGAACCCGTTTTAAAAATTAGATTCCAGGCTGGACACGGTGGTTAACACCTGAGTGCCAGCACTTTGGGAGACCGAGGCCAGTGGATCACTTGAAGCCAGGAGCTCAAGACCAGCCTGGCCAACATGGCAAAACCCCGTGTCTAACCAAAAATACAAAAATGAGCCGGGAATGGTGGCATGTGCCTGTAATCCCAGCTACTCAGGAGGCTGAGGCAGGAGAATCAAGTGAACCCAGGAGGTGGAGATTGCAGTGAGCCAAGATCGTGCCACTGTGCTCCATCCTGGATGACAGAGTGAGATCCTATCTCAAAAAATAAAAAACAAATTAGATTCCAAGACCCCAGCTCAGGACCAGACTCAGAATCTCTATGGCTGTGGCCCTTGACTATGGTCCTCCTGGCAGCCCCACCCATGCCCAGAGTGAGTCAAACCCCCCGGCTAAGGTCCAGAAGTCTGTTTCAAGTCTTAGGCACATTTAAGTTTGAGAAGCCCTGTTCTAGGGGCTGGGCTGTGAAACCCACCTTTTAAACAACCTTTCCAGGTGATTCAGAAAGGTTTGACAGCTCAATCAGGATAGGAACGGTTAGGTACAAAGACAGCAGCCAGGAAGCCAAGAGATCAGTGTTCTCGTTCCAGCTCTGCTAACATGCATCTGTTTGGACAACTCCTTCCCTTGTCTGGGCCTCAGTTTCCCCATCTGCATAATATGCACACTGGACTCTGTCATCTGTGGGCTCCCCTTCACTCCCAGTGTCCTGTGATCCTATTAAATACCTTTGAATACAGACTTCCCAATTCAGAGCTGACCACAAGGAAACAGAGCAAAGTACCAATTTCAGAAGGCCAAGCACATAGCTCCTAAGATCACACGTGGCCAGAGCCTAAGGTGTCATTGAACACCTGAGGACCCCCTGAGTCTGCCCAGAAGCCACAGGCAGAGGATGAGCAAAGCTCAGAGAGGGCCCACACAGAGTCACCCCCTCACCTGCAGCACGATGTTGACAGCCATGACTTTAAAGGAGTAGGGGGTGGAGGAAATGCCAAAAGCCACGAACAGGGCAACAGCCAAGGTCACAAGGTTGGTCATGATCTCCAGCCTCAATGCCATCCATCGTGTGGAAGATAGAAACAACAGCAGGTAGTTATTCTGCGCATCAGTCAGCCTCTTAAACCTGAGAAGGAAAGCACAGACTAAGAACCATGTGTTTGTCTGACCTAGGGTCTCCCCGGGTCAGGGTAGATACCGGCTGCTTCCTCCAGCATCCAGTTCCCCACTCCCAGCAGCAGGGCCTGATTTTTCTTTGGGGAGTTCCTCCCTACCCCTTTCTCAGCCATGAATTTGGGTGAAGTTGACCTGACTCCTAACCCAGATTGAGGAGTAGGCTCTGCTGCTAAGGCCCATCCTTAGCACGCGCTCCTCGCCTAACCTCTGTGACTCACTCAGGGATGGGTGAGTTACCCCAAATTGGCCACAGAGAGTGAATAAATGCCAGGACGTGTGAGTGAGTGTGGGAGTGATTCCTTTCAGTGGGATGATGGGATATCTGAAACTACCATTCTGCTACTAGGAGGGGAGCCTGGAGCCACCAGAGGGTCTCTGGGAGCTTAAAGGTAAAATAACACCATGGAAGGCAGAGCAGTAAAACCGAGACACCCGGGGAACATTAGCTGAGTCTCTGGATTAAGCCTCACTTTAAGCAAGTCCTCCTCCCCAGCCTTTTGCTATGAAAATTTTTATAAGTACCAAGAGATTAAAAGCTTGATTTAATGAACATCTGTATACCCTCTAATGAAAATTTTTTAAAGTACCAAGAAATTAAAAAGTTTATTCCGTGAACATCTGTATACCCTCTACCTAATTTAGCAATTGTTAGTATTTTGCCATATTTAAGTCATATTTTTAAGCTAGTTTGCATTAGTTTTTTCTGTCACTTCCAACCAAGAAACCTACCAATTTCCAATTTTCACATACCACCATCACAGTTTTCCATGTCAATCACAACCTGTACTGTTATTTGATTAGTATTATTATTTTACTTGCTTTGTTTGAGAATGTATATTAAAAGAAACTTTAATCACAACCTTAAATTATATAAATAATGGGTTTGATATGTTAGTTGCATTTTTTCTAAAGTACATTCAAATAAACCTTTGATTATTGAAATTAAATATTCATTTACTCATCAACTAAAACCATCTTACCATCTGAGTGGGCTATCACCCCAGCAGAGTGGCCCTTCTGACTCACTCTGTCCATACCCTCTGAACCTTTGCATAAGACATTCCAAATTCTGTCCACCTTACCTTTCTATACTGATTGAGTCACCTCCACCTTGAGGCCTTCCCAGATTAAACACAACAGACCCTGGTCACTCTGTGGCCCCTGTGCTCAAGCCACCTTGCTATCCTTCAAACCTACTTCCCCCATCTCATGGTCTTTGCATTTACTGTCCCCTCTGCCTGGAGAGCTCCTACCCACATATTTCCATAGCTCAACCCACACTTCATCTCAGGGTCCTTTTCTCTGACACCTTCCCCAACAACAGCTCCAATCCCTCCAGACTCTCTTCATCTGCTTATCTTAGTATATACCTTGGGGCAGGGTTCTCAGTGTGGGCTGAATGAATGCACCGCTCCAGGATCCCCTCAGTCCTAGAGTCTGCACAGACCTTGAGTGGTCTATAATGCCACTGAGAGAGCAGGTGCCACAATTAATCCAATATTCCAGCTAACTGAGCACATACCGTCTCCCAAATGTGTGCCCAAGTCTTACCCAGGCTTCAAGGCCAGCTCAGATGCCACCTCCTCCCGAAAGCCTTATCTGATTCCCCCAGGCCACCTCCTTCCCCTCTGAATTCCCAAGCAGTTTATCTGCCCCTCTCTTATGCTATCTACCTTCTTCAATCACGTATAATTACAAAAACATGTGCCTGTTTCTCCCTTTTTCCACCAGACTATGAACTTCTTGTAGGTGAAGACCGTGCTTGATTATTCTCTACAAACAGATAAGTTCGTGTTACACCATTAAACCTCAACAACAATCACAGGACTTGTTTGCTTGTTTGTTTCAACATTTAGGGGGCAAATCTATGGCATGAGTAGTGAAGGAAGTTCTATTATTTAGAAAGCTATTGTTCCTCATTATTTTGTTAAAGATAGATATTTGTTTGGAAGTGAAAGAAATAACATAATGCAAGATGTGTTTGCACAGTAATGCACCTTATCATTAAATGTATGTATACATATGTCCATATATATATACACAATATATACAAGGTCTTTAAAGTTTACAAACATTTTTCCTATCATTTACATTTTTCATTCTTATAAATGAAAGAATGGTTCAGCAGGTTCTGGAGGCTCAGAGAAATACGTCCATCGAACAATGTGCTCTCTGATGCTTTTGAAGATGATGCCACTCCCAGACGCTCCATTCTTTCCCTGCTCCCCACCACCCCTGTGGTTCCATCATTCTCAAATGGCAGCAGAAGGACTCACTGGCTGATGAAGTCTTCAGTTTTTCCATAGACATGGATGGAGCTCAGGCCTTGCAGAGAATTGAGGATGTGGGAGAATAAAGGAGACCGGCTATAGTTCTCCAGTCTCTTGAACACACCGATGGCCTTCTTGAACATCCTGCATGGACAGTGGAGGTAAGGGACCTGGACCGTCCACCTCTGGGACCATCTAGTCTGGGTTGGTCCCAGCCTTGCTCCCCAAGTCACAAGCAAAAAGAACCTACTCACATATAATAAATGAAGCAAATAACCATGATTATGGCTCCCATTAACAGGATATATGGAGACAGCACACTGACAATCAACAGGACGGCGATCACCATTAAGGACAGGACCAGGAACTGCTCTGAAAAGATGGGCAAGAGCTGGTCCAGCTGTTCCAAGTCCCCTGCGAAGCAGTTCAAAAGCCGGCCTATTGGGATGGTGTCAAAGAAACTCATGGGGCAGCGGAAAACCTGCAGGGACAAAATCAACGCAGACCATGAGAGAAGCTGCAGGCCCTGCTCAAGATTGGATGAAGATGCCTGTTACCCTTGACTCTAAAGAGCCACGGATCCCAGGGGTCTCCAGGGCAGGCAATGTAGAGCAATGATTTAAAAGCATGGATGGGCTCCACGGCTACCTGACTCCTCCACCTACTGCTGTCTGACCTCGGGCAAGTACTGAGTTCCTCTGAGTCTCAAGGTCCTCGTTAGCGAAATGGGAATGAAAACGATGCTTCACAGAGTTGTAGTGAGGATCACACAACTCCTCAAATATACTAAACACTGAAGTGTATAATTAAAAGGCTGAATGTATGGTATATGAATTATATCCTGTAAAGCTATTAGAGAGAGAGAGAATACATTAAAAATGCTCAGAGCAGTGCCTGCCCCTGAGGTAGGAGGTGAGACTTGACTCTGGAGGCAGGGTTTGAACGCCAGACCAAATTGAGGACTAGCTAAAACAGGGGTGGGGTGGAAGCCACTTTCCATAAGACAGGCCCACCAGTGTGTCGTGTCAGTTTACCATTCCCATGGCAACACCCAGGAGTTACCGCCTCTTTCTGGGTCATCAATGACTTGATGACTTGGAAGTTGCCACCCTTTTCCTAGAAACTTCTGTATAAACTGTCCCTTAATCTACATGTAATTAAAAGTAGGTATAAATATGACTGCAAACCTGCCCTGAGCTGCAGCTCTCAGCACACTGCCTACGGGGTAGCCCTGCTCTGCAGGGTCAGTCACAGAGCTGCAACACTGCCAGAACTGCAACAGTGACACTTCAGTAAAGCTGTTTTCTTCTACCCTACCACTGGCTTGCCCTTGAATTCTTTCCTGGGCAAAGCCAAGAACCCTCATGGACTAAGCCCCAGTCTGGGGTTTACCTGCCCTCCATCACCCCCAGTAGGGCATTCTACCAATACCAGCTCTTATTATTTTCTACAGATGGGACCATTTTCACTCAGGACTGCCAAAGATTAGGAGCAGCAATCCTACTGGGTTGCACACGATTTGGACCCTTGGATCAAATTTAGCCTTAACTGCCCCCTTCTTGAGGGTGGCACCTGCAAGTTGATCTCTAACAGCCAGTGGCCATGAGGCCTTTCGGAGATCAAAGGACATGTCAAACCACAAGGTAGGCTCTAACAAAAGCATTTAGTTTGGTGTCCTTGTTTTGCAGATGAGGAAACTGAAGATTGCAGAAGAGGAAGTGGCTCTGTAACTTACTCATTACGCAAGTGGTTAATGGCAAAACCATGATCCAATTAGGCCTTCTGAGGCTTCCCCAAGCCTGGCACAGTCACTCTTCACAGAAGGCAATTTCTTAAAGGTTCATGGCACTGACCAAATGACCACCTACATTTCCCCATGTACTTCTCAAGCTATAATGCAAGAAGTAGAAATGAATAGAAGCCAATGGCATTTATTAAAGCCAAACTCAAAGAAAGAGGAGGGAAGGACATTTTGACGGTTACTAAATGTAATTATTTGAGCCATGAAGTGTTCTCTGTAGCTGCTCTCATCGCAAATGCATGGATACTGCTGACCAAGCGTAGCTCTCATGTATGTTTGCTTTCTAGCTGGTGGGGTAGTGAGGGTTGGAGGAGCAGATTTAAAGCCTCCTTGCTTTTTCTGCCTCTAAAATCCCTTCAATTTTATTTCCAGAATGTTTTATTAAATACTTGAGCTAAAGCAATCAGAATTGTCATGATCACTCAGAGGAATCAAAGGGCAAAAGGGTCACCCCTTCAAGGACTCTGAGCACACCTTGCAGGTGCGGGGCATGGCAGGGTTGTGGAGGGGACACAGGAGTGGACGTCAGCTCCACTGTGGGTGAGGAAGATGCATCTGTGGAAGCCCAGCATTACTTTGGATTAGGGACCAATGGTGGCGACAAAGGGAAAATGGTTTCAGTTTCTGATTGTCTTCTAAGTATCAAAATGATCTGGGGTTGTTCTTGTTTGTTCATTTTTGCTTCATTTTTTTCTGTTGTGCTTGCAGTTGAGCGAACTTTTTAAGATTTATCCTTTACTTGTGATTCTTTAAAACTACAAAGACAAATTTAAAGTTTAAAAAGCCATGAAAGGACTGGAAAAAGGAAAATATTTTAAACACAAAACACGTTTTCATGGAAAGAAACTTGAACATTTCTCAAAATTAAAATACGAAATGTCATTTAGAGGCATGGGCACTGGATATTTCTAGAATCTTGGAATGTGCCATCAAAAGAAACTCAGAGACCACCTTGAGGGCCGAGGGCCACCCCCAGAGGCCGGGTGGGAAAGTGTCAGGCCTCAGGTAGAATTTCCCCCTCCTGCTTTCTGGTTCTGCCAAGCTTTATCTGAGAGGTGGGGAAAAGCTTTGTCTCACCCTGCCAAAGTTGAAACACTTCATGGCAACACAATTTGCATTCAGTCTACAAGGAACGATGGGCCGCTCCTCACCTCCTGCGTCTCCAAGTCAAAACCCCCACTCCCACCTCTGAGATTAGCCTTCCAGAGCTCCATTCTCCTCCCAGAAGTGCTCTGCTTTTGTTCACCTTCAGTCTCCTGGTCTTGAGCTGGCTAAATCTGATTCCTCCTTCAAGGAGTGAAGTCCCCAAGAAGGCTTTCTGGACTCTCCCCACTTTCTTCCCCTGCCCTCAAGCTAAGACAAGGTGCCTCTTATGTTCTCATGGCCCTGTGTGCTCCATCCCGTGATAAACTTTACATATCTACGACAATGGCCTGTTTTCTTGTCCATCTCCCCCATTAGACTATACATCCATGATGGCCCAAACCCTACCTGCACTGTGCATTCTCTAATGTAAGCCTCATGCCCACTGCAGAACCTGGCACATAGTAACACTTAGTAAGTGAGAGAGAGGAATGACATTTCCAAGAAGCAGTGTGATACCATAAGCAATTTGGTTTTTTTTTTTTTAAATGAGATAGGGTCTCACTGTCTCCCAGGCTGGAGTGCAGTGGCATGATCTCAGCTCACTGCCACCTCCACCTCCCTGGCTCAAGCGATCCTCCTTGATCCTCAGTCCCCCAAGTAGCTGGGACTACAGGCACAAGCCCCCATGTCCGGCTAATTTTTATATCTTTGGTAGAGACAAGATTTTGCCTTGTTGCCCAGGCTGGTCTCGAACTCCTGAGCTCAAGCAATCCACTCACCTCAGGCCTCCCAAAATGCTGGGATTCCAGGCGTGAGCTACTGCACCCAGCTGACAATTCAGTATTCTAACCAAACACATATTCCAACTTTAACATATGTGAGATTTCAGTTTCCTCATATGTAAAATGAGGATAATATCCACTTCAAAGAGAACTCAGGGCAATCATAAGCAACTCTGTATATGACCATGCTCAGCCAGTGGAGGCCAGCGTCACTGTGGCCCTCCATCAGGGGACACTGAGCTCTTAGAACCAGACTTCCAGCAGGAGAGCTCCACCGCACTTTCATCACTCCCTTCTCACCAAGCAGCCTGGTTCACCCAGCTGCAACTACATTTTAGAAAAGGCAAAGCTATGAAGAGAGTAAAAAAGATCAGTGGTTGCTGGGAGTTTGAGGGTAGGGAGGGAGGGATGAATAGGTGGGACACAGGGTTTTGTTTATGGCGGCGGAACTATTCTGTACCATGGATACATGTCATTATACATTTTTCAAAACCCATAGAATGCACAGCACAAAGAATGCACCATAAGGTGAACTATGGATATTCATTAATAATAGTAATTAATAATGTACCAATATTGACTCATCAATTGTAACAAATGTCCCACGTTAATGCAAGATGTTAAGAATAAGAGAAATGGGCCAGGTGCAGTGACTCACAACTGTAATCCCAGCACTTTAGGAGGCTGAGATGGGCAGATGGCTTGAGCCCAGGAGTTCAAGACCAGCCTGCGCAACATGGCAAGACCTGTCTCCACAAAAATACAAAAATTAGCCAGGCATGGTGGTGTGCCCCTGTGGTCCCAGCTACTCGGAGGTTAAGGTAGGGAGGACTGCTTCAGCCCAGGAGGTCGAGACTGCAGTAAGCTGTGATCACACCACTGCACTCCAGCCTGAGTGATAGGCAGGTATATGAGAACTCTCTGTACTTTCATCTCAATTTTTCTGTAAACGAAAAGTGCTCAAAAAATAAAGTTGGCTTGGTTTCAAGTCTTTGCTATTGTGAATAGTGCCACAATAAACATACGTGTGCATACATGTGCATTTATCTTTACAGCAGCATGATTTATAATCCTGAAGCTGGAAACCATCATTCTCAGAAAATTATTGCAAGGACAAAAAACCAAACACCACATGTTCTCACTCATAGGTGGGAAATGAACAATGAGAACACAAGGACACAGGAAGGGGAACATCACACACTGGGGCCTGTTGTGGGGTTGGGGGACGGGGGAGGGATAGCATTAGGAGATATACCTAATGTTAAATGACGAGTTACTGGGTGCAGCACACCAACATGGCACATGTATACATATGTAACTAACCTGCATGTGCACATGTACCCTAAAACTTAAAATATAATAAAAAATAATAATAAAATAAAGTTGGCCGGGCATGGTGGCTCACACCTGTAATTCTAGCTACTTAGGAGGCCAATGTGGGAGGATTGCATTAGCCCAGGATTTTGAGACTAGCCTGGGCAAACAGAGCAAGACCCCATCTCTACAGATAAATAAATAATTAAGGTCTACTAATAAAAAAAAAATAGGCCGGGGGTGGTGGCTCATGCCTGTAATCCCAGCACTTTGGGGGGCCGAGGTGGATGGATCACTGGAACCCAGGAGTTTGAGACCACCTTGGGCAACGTGGTGAAACCCAGTCTCTACAAAAAATACAAAAATTAGTCAGATCTAGTGGCATGTGCCTGTACTCCCAGCTACTTGGGAGGCTGAGGCAGGAGGATCACTTCAGCCTGGAAGGTGGAGGTTGCCATGAGTGGAGATTGTGCCACTGCACTCCAGCCTGGGCTACAGAGCTCTAAAAAATAAAAAAATAAAAAAATAAAAATGAAGCTGGGCAAGTTCAGAGCTCAGCCTTCGGCCCCACCCAGCACCCAGGCCCATACCTTGTTGAAGAGCTTGTTGTGCAGGGCCGTGGATGCCTTCCTCGTGACCTTGGTGAAAATCCCTGAGGAGCAGACCCCCACACAGATGAGGAGCAGGGCGTTGAGCCCGTACACCAGCTGGTAGAAGGACAGTTGAGGATTGTCTGCAATGTTGCCCAGGTCTGCCATGGTTCCATTGCTCTCTCGGCTGCTATTGGTCTTCAAGAAAGAACAGGGGGTCTGACTGCAGGTGTCCGGGGGAAATTCAGTGGCAGGGAAAGCCTTCTCCCTGGGGCCACGTGAGAATCTGTGGCTGGTAGAAGGTGAAGCTGTTTGCCCAAACCTCCCTGCTCAGCGCTTGGCTACTCTCTTTTGCCCTTCATTCCCACTGCCCTGCCCTGCATCAGGCCCTCAGAGTCTGCCCCGTGGACACTGCAGCAGCTGGGCCCTTGTGCACGCTCTGCTGTGATGCAGCGAGAAGCTTGGGAACGTGATTTCCCAGAACCCCTCCCAGCATGGTTTCAGGTCAGATTCTGCCAAGGAGAGGCACCCACAGGGAAACAGAAAGGTGGAAGAGGAGAAGCCAGCATGCTCAGTGGCAACTGTGGGCAGGAGCATGGGGTGTGGGGTTTTTCCAGAGGCTGGAAGGCATCCTGGGAATCACCCACTTCAGTTCAGCTGAGATCCCTGATGGCCAATTCCCCTCCAATGGTTGACTGAGCCTCTAATTCCCTATATTAAATCCTTGGAAGCTCTAAATACTTAGAGTGGCTTCTGCTCTCCTGACCCAAACCTCCTGGTACACGATCCAGAAATTAACCATATGGAGTACTGTGGGAAAAGCATGGCTTCGATTCTAAGCACCAAGTTCAAGTTCCGGCCCTGTCCTGTCCTAGGGCAGGTTCTTCATCCTCTCTAGGCACAGGGTCCCCTTGGAAAAATGGAGACAGTGGAACCTTCCTCTGAATGTGGGTGGGGAGATTAGTGAAATAACTTGACACAGTGTGGCCCGTGGTGGCTCCCAGCTCACAAGACCAGAAGTATATTTTAAATAAACCATAGTATGGAGGCCAGCCTGGAGCTAAAGGAGACAGTTACTGCAGTGGAATGCAAAGATTCTTGGGGCACTGTCTGGGGATATAAATCTCTTGGTTTTCCAGTAAGACTGCACAGGCGACCACCCATTCTACAAAGTCAGGAGGCCTGTGCCAGGGGAACCCCAGAGTCCTGGCTCCCCACGGTTCTCTCTGGAACACCAGCTCTGGGCTTGTCATGTGGGTCCCAAGCCATGCTCTGGCTCTTGTGGTCTCAAGGAGCAAGAAGTCACCCCACCTCACTCAAGCCCATAGAAACACAGCCCATCCACCTCATGGCACTCACCCCCGAGCCCTGCTCCAACCAGTAGCTCAGCCACCAGAAGCTGAAGATCGTTAAGAAGACGATCAGCACCACGAAGAAGAAAATTATGCAAGAGACCATGTAACCTGGGAGGGAGACAGTGGTGATGTACAAGTGCCACAAACAGGTGCGAGGCAACTGCTGACTCAGCTGCTCGGCCATCTCTGTCTTTGAGTGCTTGGAAACCCTTGAGCCCCACCCAATGTGGACACCTTGGAGGAATGGGAAGAGCTGGGTTCCAAAGTCAGAGAGCCCTGGGTTCAAATCCTGGCTCCACCACTTCCAAACCGTGTGACCTTGGATAAGGTACCAAATGTCAGCAACATACCACTTCTTTACCTATGAAATAGTGATAACCTTACCAGCTTCAGAGCCATGCTGAAGATGATATGATATAATGTGTGTGAAGCACTCAGCCCAGTGCCTGGCACAGGGCAGTGTTCTAGAGAAGTTAGTTCACCTTATGCAGGTCCTGCAGGTTCAGTTTTATAAATAATAATAACAGTTACCTTTTATGTGGTACGTACTATTATGTGCTACATGCCAGGAATAGTACCAAATGTATGCATTATTTCTGAATTAGTAATTCCTATCCCCATTTTCAATAGTGCTACTGTGTGAATGTATGTGTCTCTCCAAAATTCATATGTTGAAACCAAATTCCCAAGGTGATGGTATTAGAAAGTGAGGCCTCTAAGAGGTGACGACCATGAGGATGGAGCCCTCATGAGTGGCATTAATGCCCTTAAAAAAGAGGCTTCAGAGAGCTGCCTTCCTGGTTTTTTGTCCCTTTCACCATGTAAGGATACAACATTTATCCCCTCCAGGGATGGAGGACACAGCGTTCAAGGCGCCATCTTGGAAGTAGATACTGGGCCCTCACCAGACAAAAAACTTGCCAGCACCTTGATCTTGGACTTCCCAGTCTCCAGAACAGTGAGAAATAAATTTCTGTTCTTTATAAACTACCCAGTCTAATATATGTTGTTACAGCAGCACAAATAGGCTAATAAAATGAGGAAACTTAATCTGAGAGGGGAACTCCCTTGCCCAAACTTGCAGAGTTGGTGAGTGGCAGAGCTGGGATTTGAAGCAGTTAAGGGCAGGAAAAGGCAGGGTACACTCCTTGGGGCACTGCCTCCTGCTCTAGCACTCCTCTCATCTATTCATGCTCACATGTCCCGTGCCCACAGTCTTTTCCCAAATTCTATCCTTCCTTCAAGGGCTATCTCTTCTTTGATGAGATTTGAGATTCCCTGGCCACAGAGATCTCTCTTACCATCTGATGGAAGCAAGTCTTAATTCTCCAGCTAGATTCCAGGGTTGGTTCTTAGATGACTTTATACCCCTCCCCTCTAGAGCTTGGCACAGTGCCTGGAACATAGCAGGCACTTTGTAAATACAGATCAATGTAAGCTGCTAGATCCATTCATGCATTTCACAAGCATTTGCTGTTTCCTGCTCTGTCTGGGCAGGCCCTGGGTTACTCCTTGCAGGATACCCATGGTGGACGGGGTGGGGACGGCGTTCTGTGTGCACAGCCTACCTCTTCCTCCCCCAGGCATGCAGACAGGAGACATCTTACACAAGGGTCAGCTTCCAATGTAAACGATGAGTAAAAAGTTTCATGGAGTAAAAATTACTCTCAAAAATCTCTTAAATTACTTGATAAGTACAGCACCATATACTGAGTTTTGTGTTTACAACATTGTACAGTAAATATACATGATGATATATACCATTTAATAAGGCAGTAGCTTTGAACTTCTAATTGCCCTCTGCCTGCCTTAAGAAATAAAAATTAAGAAATTTTAAATCACACCAAAATAAAAGTCCCACCACTGTGACCTTTTGCGATGTGGCCGCTATTTTCTCTCCGATTCTATTTCATGTCTTTCAGTGCTGCTCATGATAAACTCAGCTGATTGTAAAACCTGCTAAGGGAGCAGAGCCCAGAGTTTGAAAAACACTGAAATAATGAGGCAGGGGCACTTTGGGAGGCTGAGATGGGAGGATTGCTTGAGGCCAGGAGCTCAAGACCAGCCTGGTCAACATAGCAAGACCCCATGTCTATTCTATTTTTTTTAATTTTTTTTAATTAAAAAATAGAAAAACACTGAAATAATGAGTATACATGAAAATATAACTTCCAACCTTGGCTTTGGTGGTAGAGTTGCTATAACTGAGTAGAGTTTGGTTTTGCAAGTTAGGCCAATAAATACCATGGCTCCTCTGGACCTCTCTACTTCACATGACCTCACGTGTTCCAATCTGACCCAGTTCCAGGGATAGGGCTGCTCCAAGAGAGAGCCCTGGGCTGGCATGGGGACCGTACCTCCAGCTGCCTGGATGTAGTGGTGGTAGACCCTCCAACTCAAGGAGCCTTCTTCCATCTCCTCCTCCTGTGTGAGCTGATGCTCCGGCACTGGGTCAGGGTAGAAGAAGAGAAAAGTGGTATGCCTGCCAATCACATGATCTGCTTCCTTCTGTCTCTGGCTTCGATCCTGTGCCAGCTTTTCACTTTCCAGCTTCAGTGCCCCACCTATGTCTAAGGTTTTTCATGGAAGACTCTACTGAAAGAAACCTTTGACCTGGGCTCCAGAGCCTGGAAAGGGATCCATCCTTAGCCATTCAATAAACTCTGGAGGGACTGCGGGGTCTCACGTGTGTGATGGGCTGAGAGAAACGCAGGAAAGAATGAAGAAAACCACCTGGGACCAGAAAACCTAGGTTTCAGAACTGTCACTATGACACTGTGCAACATCAGGCAAATCACTTAACCCTTCTGTTTCCTTGTCCGAAAAAACGGAAAGCCGAGAAGTTTGCTAAGATGCCCTGCAGCCATACACTTCTGAGATAATGCTTCACAAAACAGCCCTGACACAAGCCCAGGTGGACTCTTGGCCTTGAGCTTGGCCTGAAGACCGGTACCTGGAGATGCCCATAGATGTTTCTGATGATAATTGTAACAACAAACATCACGACAGTGACTGTCTGCTGCTGCTGCCTGCTATTCTCCCTTCTAATAACGACACCCCAGTATTTCCTGGGGAACGGTGCTCTTTTTCTGGAATTTTAATCCTGAGGGAAATTACACCAGGATGGAAATTTTTTGAGTAGGTTTTCTTCAAAAAGCCTCAGTTGGTGGCCGGGCACAGTGGCTCATGCCTATAATCCCAGCACTTTGGGAGGCCGAGGTGGGTGGATCACTTAAGCTCAGGAGTTCGAGATCAGCCTAGGCAACATGGTGAAACCCAGTCTCTACTAAAAATACAAAAATTAGCCGGTGTGGTGGTGCGTGCCTGTAGTCCTAGCTACTTGGGAGGCTGAGGTACAAGAATCTCTTGAACCTGGGAGGCAGAGGTTGAAGTGAGCCAAGATCAAGCCACTGTATTCCTGCCTGGGCAACGGACCAAACTCTGTCTAAAAAAAAAAGACTCAGTTGGAGACAGGAGCCTACAATGTGACAGGTACTGTGTAGGGGGCTTCCCTATATATGACCTCATCTAATCTCCACTTTTGCCGAGAATTCAGAGAGGTTAAGTTAGATGGCTAAGGTCACACAGCTTTGTAAGCAGCAGAGCTGGGATTCAAATCCAGAACTGTCTTACTTGAAAAATGGAAGTCGCTCCCTTCTGCTACTCTGCCCCAGACAAGAGCAAAGCCATGAGCTTCCAGACATCAGGGGCTAAACCCAATTCATTTCTGATCCCTAATACCTTTGCTCTCAATATTTACTCTCTTGCAGTGTGTAATGAATGAATGTCTAGATGCCTGGTCAAGTCTTAAATCTGTGCCACTCAGAGCCAAAGGTACCCCCTATCCTTCCTCTGATGTACAACCTTAGCTGTGCCCCCCACAACACTCACTTCCTGGATCCTTCAGGCCTCCTGCCCATCAGTCTACACCCCATGGCCCTCAACTACTTGGTTCTGGAACCTGTGTATGTAAATGCTTAGGGTCTCAAGACACTGAGGGACATGGCCCAGTCTGGGGTCAAGGAGGAAACACTGGGACCTCTGGAGGACCCAGGCAGGCATGCAGACATTCTTGTCCTATCTCCCACACCATTACCAGCATTTCCGTTGAGAGACTCTTCCAGGGAGGTGGCCAGAGCCTGACTTTCTACCTTTGGCTTCTCTGCTATCTTTGCTGTGTCCTGCAACATGTCCTGGGGAGAGAGCACAGGCCCTGAGTACACGTGCGTCCACCGTGGGTAGTGAGGGCAGTGGGGCAGGACTCACCGAAGTGGCTTCCTTGTGCATCTTCTGGATAAGTTGGGCATATTTCCCCTTTTTCTGCATTAACTCACTGTGAGTTCCATTTTCACAGATTTTCCCATTTTCCAACAAAATGATCTGGCCACAAAATTCTAAGTACTGGACAGTCAAAAGAAAGAAAGGCTTCAGTAAGCACATGGAAAGATGTTTGATTTTACTATTCACCAGGAAAATGTAAATTTAAACCATGATAAAATATTATTTCATACCAACAGATGAGCAAACATTCAAAAGTTGGACAACTCCAAGTGTTGGTGATGATCTGAGGCAAAAGGAACTCTCCTTAACTATCAAGAGGATTGTAGATTGGTACAACTACTTTGGAGAACAATTTGACCTATTCAGTAACATGGAAGATTTTTGAAGAATTATGAACCAACGATTCGACTCCTAAAACCCTACCCAAAAAAACTCTCAAACATGTGTGCAAAGGTACACGTAGAAGGATATACACTGAAGTATTTTTTTTTTTTTTTTGTAGAAGTGAAAAATAAGAAACAACTGTTCATCTTGGAGAAATAAATTCTGGTACATTCAGATATTGGAATGCTATACCAAGGAGAATTAAATAAAGTTATAAGGCTGGGTGCAGTGGCTCATGCTTGTAATTCCAGCACTTTGGGAGGCCAAGGTGGACAGATCACGAGGTCAGGAGTTCAAGACCAGCCTGGCCAACACGGTGAAACC